>NC_000010.11:37312777-37617059 GCF_000001405.40 Homo sapiens | reverse complement strand
CTTCTGAAACATCAGTCCCACGGTTCCACAGCTGACACAGATGAACTGGTGATGGACGCTTAAATACATCAGCATGATCTGTAAAGGTGTGGGGGTGTTTGGCATAAAGGGCCTCCTGGTTTTGGGGGCCTGCTCTTCCGCAGACACAGTGAGATACTCTCCTGCACTTCATCCCCATGATGGCTTTTGTCTGTCATCATATCTCAGTGCATTTCAGAACTCAGCTTCTGTTGTCATTTTTTCACTCTTCTCTTTACAAGGTTTCATTACATTTTCCATGTTTTAATCCAAACAGCCAGTGCCAAAATAAAAAAGGAAAGAAGAAAGTACACCCCTGGTGAGTCATTAAAGTGACTTTTCCAGCTGTTTAACTATGATGTCTGGCCCCACAGCAGCCTCTAAAAGGCTAAGAAAATGTTCTGCTTAGACTTTCTAGGGCTGAGAGTTTACAGATCACCAATTTTTCTTACATTAACAAACCCTTATTACCACCTCTTGGAGAAAGGGAGCAGAGGAACCCAGGGAGGAAATGAAGGATAAAAATGTTTTAGTGTAGTCATAAAAATTGCGAGCACTGGAGTCAACAGACCTGGGCTTCAATCAGGGATCAGCTGCTGATGAGCTCAGGACACTGAGCATGTGACAGCCTTTTTGCGTCTGTGTTTCATTGGTGATATGAGGGTATTATCTCAGTTATAGCATCATTCAGGAGAGTAAATGGATTGATGTAAAAAAATTTACTTCGGCAGTAACTGCCATGTAGCCCGGGCTCCGACCTGGTAGCTGGGATGATTTTGCTAGTCTGGAGGCCTTGTCTGTGGCCCTGGCTCTTCCCTCCCTGGAGGCACGTGGGCTTTGCATTGTGTTTCTCCCAGCAGTTGGGGTGTGGAGGGGGAGTGCACAGCAGGCTGCGGTTTTGGGCCAGATGGCCCAGGTGTATTACTTTCATGAAATTTACAACATGAGGTATTTACACCTGTCACAGCTATCTCTCACTACAGGCAGATCAGAGAGCGCACCCTGAGAGCTGAGTAGGCTCTCTTCCTAGCGGCCTTGCAGGGTGGAGAGGTTGCTTTTCCATCTTCCCCACTCAGCAGCTAACTCAGTGTAAGGAGAGTCCCGTTTTGTACTCTTGCTCCCTTGTCCCCTAACACCCTTGGGAATTTAGGTATCTGCAGGGAGGGTGGTTCTACCTTTAAGAGATTGCTGGATGTATAAGAAAATAACCTGGTGCAGCTGGGAGGGTCTGGGACTGGAGTCTGGCACTAGACTTACAATCGTGTTGCTGGTTGGCAGTGATATTTCACCATATCCAGCATAATTTTCATTTTAATTACTAGATATAGAAAAAGTGACTAATAAATAATGAATTTTTTGAAAGTCGTTAATTATAGACCCAGAGATGACAAAGATGTTGGAATTAGCAGACAAATATAAAGGAAATTATGAGCATAATGAGTGAACAGATGGGGAATCTCAGTAGAGAAATGGTAATTGTAGAAAATGTTAACATGGAAATAGCAGACCTTAAAACCTAAAATATCTAAAATTAGTTAATCACTTAACTAATTAGTAAATTGGTGGAATACTGTGGAAACAATATCAGAAAATCTGAGGAAATTGCAGTAAGAAATAACAAAAATGAAGCACATAGACTAAAAATGCTGAAATATGAAATAATGACAGTCTTAAAGACAGTGGGACAATATCCAATGCCCTCACATACATGTAATTGGACTCCTAGGAAGAAAGGAGAAAGAAATTGGGATAGAAAACACATTTGAAGAAATAGCCCCAAATTTTCCAAATTTGCTGAAAATATAAACTCTTAGATCCTAAGCATTCAATAAATTACAAGCAGATTGAACATATACACAATAAAAAACTTGTAGAACTATCATAGACATATCTCTGTAAAAACAATGATAAAAAGCAAACTTTTTTTTTCCAAGACAGAGTCTAACTCTGTCACCCAGGCTTAGTCCAGTGACAAAATCTCGGGTCACTGCAACCTCCACCTCTTGAGTTCAAGCAATTTTTGTGCCTCAGCCTTTCAAGAAGATGGGATTATGGCATGAGCCACCATGCCCAGCTAATTTTTTGTGTGTGCATATGTGTGTGTATGTCTGTGTGTGTGTGTGTGTATTTTTAGTAGAGATGGGGTTTTGCCATGTTGGCCAGGCTGGTCTCAAACTTCTGGCCTCAAGTGATCTGTCCACCTCAGCCTCCCAAAATGCTGGGATTACAGACATGAACCACTGCTCCCGGTCTGAGAAAACCTTAAAAAGCAACAAAACACTAAGTATAATACACACAAATAGAAGGAAAACATAAATAAAAAGTATTGTGTTTCTTACAAAAAAGACAATGCAAGCCAGAAGATATGGAAATTCTATCTTAAAAATACTGAAAGAAAAGATAACATGTCAATCTAGAATTCTATAACCAGTGAACATTTTTTTAAAAATGATGTTAAAATAAAGACATTTTAAAATAAACAAAAGTTAGAAGAATTCAGCACCACAAATTTGCACTGAAAGAAATGTCAAATAAGGTTCTTCAGACTAAAGGAGAAAAATGTCAAGTGGAAATTTGGATTACACTTCTAAATGAAAGCCATGGAAGTAGGAAATACATTGGTAAAAATAAAGACATTTTCTTTTTTAAAAACTTGTTTTAAAAAATTGAACCTTAGGCTGGGTGTGATGGCTCACACCTGTAATCCCAGCACTTTGGGAGGCTGAGGCAGGTGGATCACAAGGTCAGGAGTTCAAGACCAGCCTGGTTAAGATGATGAAATCCTGTGTCTACTGAAGATACAAAAATTAGCCCAGTGTGGTGGCAGGGGCCTGTAAAGCTACTCAGGAGGCTGAGGCAGGAGAATTGCTTGAACACAGGCAGCAGAGGTTGCAGTGAGCCGAGATCATGCCACTGCACTCCAGCCTGGGCAACAGACTGAGACGCCATCTCAAAAAAAAAAAAAACAAAAAAATTGAACCTTAAAACAAAATAATGGCAATGTATTGTGAGGTATATACAAAATGAAATAAAATATACAACAACAGTGGAATAAAGGATGAGGGAGCAGTGAAAGTATGTTGTTATAGATCTCTTACCTAATATGTGAAGTGGTAAGTAGTATTGCTCTTTTGACAGAGACTATGATATGGTCTCCATTTGCAATAGACCCACCTCTAAAACTAAAACAAAAGTGTATTGTTAATGAGACAATAATCAAGATAAAACAGAATACACACACACACACACACACACACACACACACACACACACCGCTTATTAATCCAAAAGAGGTAAGGAAAAGAAGCAAAGGGAAACAAAGAATAGATGGGCCGAATAGATGGGCCAAATAGTGGGAGAAATGACAGGATGTAAACTCAATTACATCAATAATTACTTTAAATGCAAATGGATGAAACACTCTAATTTAAAGTACAAATTGTCCATCTAGAAAACACACATACAAGATTCATTATATGCTTTTAACAGGAGATTTATTTTAAATATAAGAACACAACTAGGTTAAAAGTACAATGATGGGAAAAGATATACCATGCAAACGTTAATCATAAAATGGCTAGAGTGGGTAGAAAGTAGATGCTTCAAACATGGAATGTTAACTGAGATAAAGAAGGGCATTTCATAATGCTAAAAGGTTCAATTCTTCAAGGAGACATATATATCCACCTTATAAAAGAAATTCAAGATATATAAAACAAAAACTGACATAATTAAAGGAGAGATAGAAAAATCTGCAATTATAATTGGAGATATTAACTCTTCTCTTTCAATTATTAATAGAAACAGTAAACCAAAAGTAAAATAAAAAATAGTAAGAACATAAAAGGTCTGATCAACACTCTCAGTACACCTGACCTAATTTATATTTATACAACAGTTCATCAACCAGCAGCAGAATACACACACTCTTCAGGTACACATGGAATATTTAAAAAGATGCACCATATAATGATACATAAGATAAGTTCATTAATTTAAGACTACTGACATGACACAGAGTGTATTTTCCAAACATAACAGAAGTAAAGTAGAAATTAAAAGCAGAAAGATATTTGTAGAATCCCCCAAATATATGAAAATCAAAAATCACATTTTTAAGCAACCCAGAGGGCAAAGAAGAGATCACAGGACACACACACACACACACACACACACACACACACACACAACCAACAACAACAAAAAAAAACACAAGATGTATATGGGATCCTGAGGAAAGTACTTAGCCATAAACACCAGCTGGATGACACACAGGGAGGGACCAAGAATCCAGAGGGTGAATCTGAGAGCAATAGTGACTTTTTCTAACTAAGTTATAGCCAAGGAACTGGCAGCATGTGCCCACATGCATTTCAGAATTGCTATAGACTAATGAGTGTGAAGTGCCTCGTGTTTCCCTCTTCTTCAAATAGGACATCTACAGTGGTTTTGCTCTGCTGATCTTACCCTTGCACATTGGGTGCCTGGGAAGCAGGTGATATCTTTAGCTCATAGATCTTCTGACTGGAGAAACTGTATTTGCAGAAACTCACCTGCAAGGCCTCATCTGCACCTGGACATTATTTTAGATAATGAGAGTCCCAAATGTGGGCTTGATAAATTGGTCATAATCTAGATTGAAACTTGTACTTATCAAAAAACACTACTTAGAACAGGTATAGTCAGCCCTCAAATTGGAAGAAAGCATTTACAATAAATACATATAACAAATAATTTGTACCTGGAATATATAAAGAACTCCCATAATTCAATAATACAAGGGCAAACAACAAAGTTTAAAAATTAGATCAAAGTTTTAAACAGACACTTTACTAAAGAATATAAATTATCAATTTGTGCATGAAAAGAGCTCAACAGCTTTTGTCATCAGGGAAATGAAAATTATAACTGTGCTAACTTACCTTCCCACCAGACAGTTAAAGTTAAAAGGACTGACATCAACTATTGAAGAGGTAGACAACTGGAGCTCTCATACATTACTCACTGGAGTATAAAAGGTTTTAACCATTTTGGCAAATAATCTGGCAGGTTCATCCATGAGAATACAGTTGGCATTATTTATCCATGAGAAATGAAAATGTATGTTCATAAAAAGATTGTTCATAGTGACTTTCTCATAATAGCCAAAAAACGGACAATAATAAATTTTCATCCATGAATGAACAAATTGTGTTGTACTCATCCAGTGGAATACAACTAAGCATTAAAAATAGTAAATGAGTGATTACTGATAAAACGTGACTGACTCTCAAATACAGTTTAAGTGAAAGAAACTACAATGCAGTGGCTCACGCCTGTAATCCCAGCACTTTGGGAGGCTGAGGCAGGTGGATCACCTGAGGTCAGGAGTTTGAGACCAGTTTGGCCAACATGGTGAAACCCCGTCTCTACTTAAATACAAAAATTAGCTGGGTGTGCTGGTGTGCACCTGTAATCCCAGCTACTTGGGAGGCTGAGGCAGGATAATCACTTGAACCTGGGAGGTGAAGGTTGCAGTGAGCCGAGATCGCGCCATTGCACTCCAGCCTGGGGGACAAGAGCAAGACTTCATCTCAAAAAAAAAAAAAAAAAAAAGAAGACACTGAATGATTCTTTTTATATGAAATTGTAGAAATAGCAAAAATAATCTGTAGTCAAAGACGTCAGAACACTAGTTGCATTTGGCAAGGAGCAGTAGTGGGGATTGACTATCCAAGGGCCGTAGGGAATTTTCTGAGATAATGTACATACTCTGTATCTCTATTTCAGGTGTAAGCATTTCTTAGCACACATTAAACTATATTATTGAGAATTGTTCATTTTACTATATATAAAGTTTTTCTCAAGTAAAAATATTAAACAAGAAAAAAGTGGTCAAGAATTTAACACACAAAGTGCTAGGATAGTTATGAGGGGAGAAAAGAGATTATGTTCATTCTGTGAAGCAGGTATTGTGGGTGTCTTAGAGAAGGTGGTATTTCTTCTGGTCCTTGAAAATTATAAGGGATTCTGGACCACAGACACTGTAGGAAGGAAATTCCAGTAAGATGTATGCACAAGAGTAACCAAAAGTATAATTACAGAAGTATGTGGGCTATTCAATGAGTAGCAATTAATTTCTTTTAGCTAATGAGTAAAAGGAATGATGAAGCCAGATGGTTGAGGAATTTGAAGCAAAGGGAAGAATATTGGATTTTATTCTATAGGTAATTGAGGCACACATATGATTTTGCACAAGTGAGTGAAATGATCAGAACTATGGTTTTGAAGGTATAATACAAATGAAAACGTGAATGAATAAGAGGAAGAGAAGAAACTGTGAGGCTCTTGAAATATTCCATCTAGATAAAATGAATACAGTTGCTACAGGAAAAGAAAGGAGGGATCAAAGCAAGGAACAAAACATTCTGGGTGCAAATCAGAAAAACTCAGCACATTTTGGGCCAAAATAGCAAAGAAAGAGTAGGGATAAATAATAATGTAAGTTTTCAAGTTATAATTGCTCAGTAGAGTGTTGACAAAATAAATAAAGTTTCTTGGTTCTATTTCTAAATTTGCCTTCAGTAACAAATTGTTTAAATAATTTTTTAAATATAGTAATGGCTTAATTTTTGTCATGCTTGAAACAGACTAAAAGAGTGTCTGGAGCTTTAATGAAGACCAGTTGTATGTTTAGGCAGAGTTTCTCTTGGTTTCCTTATAAGAAAGAAACTTTCTAAATTTCCGCAATCCGCTTCCACTATAGCCAAATATGCCTCCTATGCTATTTTCATTCCTTTTCATTAATACTCTGCTTCCATTAGAAATAAAAATACCTCCTAGAAGGTGCCACATACACATTGAGTACTATTTCAGTCTGAATCAGTGTCTGAAAAATAACTTGGGTGATCATCTGTAAGGCCACAGAGTCATGAGATGGAGATCAGGTAAGTTTCAAAGAAACAGGAGAAAAAAAAGAATCACCTTATAGATCCCTGAAGTGAGGAGTCTGGGAAGCCAGGATGAAGTGTTACCATAAGGACACACATTCTCTGAACCAAATGCAACAAAGGGAAGGGAGAGGAAAAAAGCAGAGGGATGCAAGGATGTGGGAGAATAATTTCTACCCATTTCATAACTGTAAGACCAAATAGTAACACAAAGCAAACAGCAAAATCTCCAGTAGCTGTAGCATAGGCAAGCACATTCAGTGCCAGTCTGATGAAAGAGGATAATGAATTGTCTTTATTCAGGCTGCGGTAAAAAAATACCTTAGACTAGGTAATTTATAAATACTAGAACGGTTTTGGGGGCTGGGAAATCCAAGATCAAGACACCAGCAGATTTGGTGCCTTCCATGTGTCCTCACATGGTGGAAGAGGCAAGGCTTCTTCTGGGGCCTCCTTCACAATGTCATTAATCCCATTCACAAGGATGGCGTTCTCATGACCTAATCAATCCCCAAAGACCCCCAACTTCTAACATCATCACCTTGGTGTTTAGGTTTTAACATACAAATTTTGGGGGAACACAAACATTCAGGCAAAGAATTGGTTTTGTGCCAGCACCATCACTTCCATTCAGGCAAACTGTGAAAGACAGAACTCAAGATGTGTAGTAATCACTGGTATCTTCAGGTTTCTTCCTCTCCCATCAATCACTATCAAAACCAACTTCAACACTCAGGTACAGAAAAATGATTAACCCCTTAAAATGTTACTTGACTTCTGTATAAAGTACAGTAGTGTAGCTCAATGGCTTCCACCATTTTGGCCCAAAGTAAAAGATGCATTTTACAATATGTACTTATAAGCACAGGTATGAAAACAGAAACAAAACTGATACTGAATTCTATTCAATTCTATTCTATTTCATCTCATCTCCTCTTATTCCATCCATTCCACTGCACTCTACTCCACTCTACTCCATTTCATTTCATTCTAATTTGTTCTACTTTATTTCATTAAAAAATTCTGGTCCCAACCTATGCATTGATGTCATGGATCACTAAAAGATTGAGATTGACAATTGGAAAAGCACAGACATATTGTGTCAGAGTTCAGGCTGTGTGTGCAGGTTATGAGTGCCTCCATGTGTGTCTATATTTAACATGTAAAAGTACCCCTTACTCTCTACTCCAGACATGTACACTTTGCTATCCTCAGTCCTATCATATGTAATATCCTTTTTATAACTAATAGGTTGAATCACTCCTTTACTCTTCTGGAAAAAGTCGATTGCTAATATAACACACAGTACTCACATAGTTTTTTTTTCTTTTTTCTTTTTTTTTTTTTAAAAAAACAGCATTTTAAAACTCTGGTACCACAAATCCAATGCGGAACATTTAACATTTCATGCAGTGAAATTTAGCAACATTAATACATCTTTAGTGATATAATTTCCCAAGCCAACATAGAAGAACAAGTTTACTAGTACACTTTTTGCTGTGTTTTGAAAAGTTTCTCACAGATAAACACTTCGAAACACATAGTTCCTGCAATTTAAATATTTTAGGGCACTTCTGAATTCTTTTTTTTTATTTTATTATTATTATATTTTAAGTTTTAGGGTACATGTGCACAATGTGCAGGTTAGTTACATATGTATACATGTGCCATGCTGGTGTACTGCACCCATTAACTCGTCATTTAGCATTAGGTATATCTCCTAATGTTATCCCTCCCCCCTCCCCCCACCCCACAACAGTCCCCAGAGTGTGATGTTCCCCTTCCTGTGTCCATGTGTTCTCATTGTTCAATTCCCACCTATGAGTGAGAACATGCAGTGTTTGGTTTTTTGTCCTTGCGATAGTTTACTGAGAATAGTGATTTCCAATTTCATCCATGTCCCTACAAAGGACATGAACTCTTCATTTTTTATGGCTGCATGGTATTCCACGGTGTATATGTGCCACATTTTCTTAATCCAGTCTATCATTGTTGGACATTTGGGTTGGTTCCAAGTCTTTGCTATTGTGAATAGTGCCGCAATAAACATACGTGTGCATGTGTCTTTAGAGCAGCATGATTTATAGTCCTTTGGGTTTATACTCAGTAATGGGATGGCTGGGCCAAATGGTATTTCTAGTTCTAGATCCCTGAGGAATCGCCACATTGACTTCCACAATGGTTGAACTAGTTTACAGTCCTACCAACAGCGTAAAAGTGTTCCTATTTCTCCACATCCTCTCCAGCACCTGTTGTTTCCTGACTTTTTAATGATTGCCATTTTAACTGGTGTGAGATGGTATCTCATTGTGGTTTTGATTTGCATTTCTCTGATGGCCAGTGATGGTGAGCATTTTTTCATGTGTCTGTTGGCTGCATAAATGTCTTCTTTTGAGAAGTGTCTGTTAATGTCCTTCGCCCACTTTTTGATGGGGTTGTTTGTTTTTTCTTGTAAATTTGTTTGAGTTCTTTGTAGATTCTGGATATTAGCCCTTTGTCAGATGAGTAGGTTGCGAAAATTTTCTCCCATTTTGTAGGTTGCCTGTTCATTCTGATGGTAGTTTCTTTTGCTGTGCAGAAGCTCCTTTGTTTAATTAGATCCCATTTGTCAATTTTGTCTTTTGTTGCCATTGCTTTTGGTGTTTCAGACATGAAGTCCTTGCCCATGCCTATGTCCTGAATGGTAATGCCTAGGTTTTCTTCTAGGGTTTTTATGGTTTTAGGTCTAACGTTTAAGTCTTTAATCCATCTTGAATTGATTTTTGTATAAGGTGTAAGGAAGGGATCCAGTTTCAGCTTTCTCCATATGGCTAGCCAGTTTTCCCAGCACCATTTATTAAATAGGGAATCCTTTCCCCATTGCTTGTTTTTGTCAGGTTTGTCAAAGATCAGATAGTTGTAGATATGTGGCATTATTTCTGAGGCTCTGTTCTGTTCCGTTGATCTATATCTCTGTTTTGGTACCAGCACCATGCTGTTTTGGTTACTGTAGCCTTGTAGTATAGTTTGAAGTCAGGTAGTGTGATGCTTCCAGCTTTGTTCTTTTGGCTTAGGATTGACTTGGCGACGCAGGCTCTTTTTTGGTTCCGTATGAACTTTAAAGTAGTTTTTTCCAATTCTGTGAAGAAAGTCATTGGTTAGCTTGATGGGGATGGCATTGAATCTGTAAATTACCTTGGGCAGTATGGCCATTTTCACGATATTGATTCTTCCTACCCATGAGCATGGAATGTTCTTCCATTTGTTTGTATCCTCTTTTATTTCCTTGAGCAGTGGTTTGTAGTTCTCCTTGAAGAGGTCCTTCACATCCCTTGTAAGTTGGATTCCTAGGTATTTTATTCTCTTTGAAGCAATTGTGAATGCGAGATCACTCATGATTTGGCTCTCTGTTTGTCTGTTGTTGGTGTATAAGAATGCTTGTGATTTTTGTACATTGATTTTGTATCCTGAGACTTTGCTGAAGTTGTTTATCAGCTTAAGGAGATTTTGGGCTGAGACAATGGGGTTTTCTAGATATACGATCATGTCATCTGCAAACAGGGACAATTCGACTTCCTCTTTTCCTAATTGAATGCCCTTTATTTCCTTCTCCTGCCTAATTGCCCTGTCCAGAACTTCCAACACTATGTTGAATAGGAGTGGTGAGAGAGGGCATCCCTGTCTTGTGCCAGTTTTCAAAGGGAATGCTTCCAGTTTTTGCCCATTCAGTATGATATTGGCTGTGGGTTTGTCATAGATAGCTCTTATTATTTTGAGATACGTCCCATCAATACCTAATTTATTGAGAGTTTTTAGCATGAAGGGTTGTTGAATTTTGTCAAAGGCCTTTTCTGCATCTATTGAGATAATCATGTGGTTTTTCTCTTTGGTTCTGTTTATATGCTGGATTACATTTATTGATTTGCATATATTGAACCAGCCTTGCATCCCAGGGATGAAGCCCACTTGATCATGGTGGATAAGCTTTTTGATGTGCTGCTGGATTTGGTTTGCCAGTATTTTATTGAGGATTTTTGCATCATTGTTCATCAAGGATATTGGTCTAAAATGCTCTTTTTTTGTTGTGTCTCTGCCAGGCTTTGGTATCAGGATGATGCTGGCCTCAAAAAATGAGTTAGGGAGGATTCCCTCTTTTTTTATTGATTGGAATAGTTTCAGAAGGAATGGTACCAGTTCCTCCTTGTACCTCTGGTAGAATTTGGCTGTGAATCCATCTGGTCCTGGACTCTTTTTCGTTGGTAAGCTATTGATTATTGCCACATTTTCAGCTCCTGTTATTGGTCTATTCAGAGATTCAACTTCTTCCTGGTTTAGTCTTGGGAGAGTGTATGTGTTGAGGAATTTATCCATTTCTCCTAGATTTTCTAGTTTATTTACATAGAGGTGTTTGTAGTATTCTCTGATGGTAGTTTGTATTTCTGCGGGATTTCTAAGATGCTTTGCTAGTGTGTCTTCAGTTTGACTTCACTAGAGAATATTGCTGAATGCCCTGAAAGGGTACACCAAGCCTGTCTTCAGGAGTAGAACTTGAAAGTGATGATTCAATAGAACAGGATTAAATTCATCAGGTAAATCGGTTTTTGCACAATGCTATTGCATGCTTTAACTTGAAAATAGATTTTGGATAAAATAAAGTGTTCCACTCTTAAGTGGGAATATTCATGAGTAGAAGCTTACTGAATTATCACAAAAATAAATTACCCATTAAGCCACTATCCATGTCTCAGGAAAATAGAACTTTATTTAAGTCTCAGGAACTTCCCTTGTGTTCTCTTCCACTGACTATTGCCTCTTTCCAAATATAGCTGGCACGTTGACTTATAAGACTATGTTGAATTTTTTTGAATTTTCTATTCATAGAATGTTATGGTTTGAATTATTTGTAATTGACTTATTTCACCTGTCATTATGTTTGTAAGATTCATTTAGATTATTGCACATAATATTAGTTCATTCTTTCTTCCTGCTGATGATAATCCATCATCATTATGAAATCCAAATAAATTTCCTAGTTCTACAATAGATGATCATTTCAGTTATTTACAGTCTGCCTTTTACAACTATAGCCTCTGTAAACATTTGTACATATTTCTTGATATTCTATTGGCAATACCCTGGGAGGAAAATCTCTGGCCATAGGCTATGTGTATATTCAACTTCAATGAATAATGTCAGAGTCTTTTAAAGTGAGTGTTCCAATTTACTCTCTAACCAACACCATATGCAAGTTCTATCCACACCAAAATATTTTATCAGTTACTGAGTGAAGTGTGTGAAAATCACCAACTATGACTGCAGATTTGCCTCTCTTTTTATTTCTGAAAGTTCTGAGTTTACATATTTTGTGACTATATTATTAGGAGCATGCAAATGTAGAATTATACATCTTTTAGTTGATTATTTTAGACTCATAAAAGTCCTTTTTGTCAATACTAATGTTTATTCTTTCAGGTATACTTTGTACCATATTAGTATAGCCATCCAAGGTTTCTTTTAAGTTAGCTTTTGCCTGATACATCTTTTTCCATCATTTTGTTTTCTACAGTGGATTTAAATGAACTCTTTACTATGGTTTTCTATTGACTACCTTTTGTGTTCCTTTTGCTCTCTTTCATGACCTTCTTTTAGATTTAGTACTTTTGATTTTTCCTTCCCTTCCCTCCACCTAGACATATGACTCTGAAGAACTCTTAGTATTTCAAGATTATACTTTCAGGGATCATTTCTATAGTTTGTTACTAGTATTTCTGTATGCGTTTGGGGTGCAAGTGTGTTTAAAATTTAATTTCCTTTAGCCCTTTAAAAGATGTTTTATGGCTAAAAGAAATATGTGAAGAGGTAATTTTTTGAAACTGGTAAAACATATTAAGTCACATATTTAAGAAGCATAAGATCCTTAAGCAACATAAATACCAAAAAAACTCATATATGTGTGTGTATATATACATATACACACACACACACATGTAAGTATGTGTATGTGTGTGTGAGTGAGTGTGTGTGTTCTATCTATCTACCTACCTACCTACCTAGAGAGATTTACTTTAATATTTACTTTAATGAATTGGCTCATGTGCTGTGACTCAGTGCAAAAGGTTAGCAAGTCTAAGTCTGAGATCTTCAGGGCAAATTAGCAGGCTAAAGACCTAGGAAAGAGCTGATGTTGCATCTTGAGTCTGGAGGCAGAATTTCCTCTTCCTCTGGGGACCTCAGTCTTTTTCTTTTACAGTCTTCAACTGATTGGATGATGCCCACCACATTATGGAAGGTAATCTTCTTTACTCCAAGTCTGCTGATTTAACTGTTTACTGTATCTAAAAAATATCTTCACGGCAATATCTAGACTGGTGGTGTTTGGCCAAATATATTGGTACTATAGCCTAGCCAAATTGACACATAAAATTAACCATCACATATGATATGGTGCAATTGCTCATAAATCAGGACAGAGCTATAGTTAAGAGAAGATACCCTGCTTCCCCAATAAATTATTAGATTTCTCTAAAGTATTGCAATGGATACTTGCTTATGCTTACGGATTTTTGATTTTTAATTTGTTTTAGTTTCAGGGGGTACATGTTCAGGTTTGAAATCTAGGTAAATTGCATGTCACTGGGGTTTGGTGTACTGATTATTTTGTCACTCAAGTAATAAGCATAGTACCCGACAGTTTTTAGATCCCTTCTCTTCTCCACCCTTTACCCTCAAGTAGGCCCCAATATCTATTGTTTCTTTATTTGTGTTCATGTGTATTCAATGTTTAGCTTCCAATTATAAGTGAGAACATGCATTATTTGGTTTTCTGTTGACTTGGGATAATGGCCTCCAGCTCCATGCATGCTGCTGCTGCAAGAAGCATGATCTCATACTTTTTTATGGGCACATAGTATTTCATGGTGTATATGACCAAATTTTCTTAATCCAGTCTACCCTTGATGGGCATTTAGGTTGATTCCATGTCTTTGCTGTTGTGAATAGTACTGTGATGAACATACACATGGATATATCTTTACGGTAGAGCAATAAGAGATCTTAAAGGGAGTGCTCAATATGAAAACAAAAGACTGTTACTGGCCACCACAAAAACACTTAACTACATAGACATTCTATGAAACTTAACTACACACTTCTATGAAAATATTATCAAACTATCTTAATCAAACCATTTACCTTAAATAAAGGTATAGGTGATAGAAATTTTTAGCCTGGCACAATAGACTTAGTACAGTAAGGGAAAGATGAAAGAACTGTATCAAGCACTGAAAAGCAAAGACAAGCCCTTATGCCTTCTGCATAATGTATTAACCAGAAATAACTTTACACAGAGAACTATAGCCAAGTCCCCCAAAACCAGCCAAGCTACCCAAGAACAGCTGAAAGAGCACACTCACCTATGTGGCAAGATAGTGGGAAGATTCATGAGTAGAAGTGACAAGGCTATGGAGCCTGGTGATAGCTGGTTGTCCAAGATAGACTCCTAGTTCAACTTTAAGCTTATACACAGAATTACTTAACCTCCCTGTAAGTTTAACTGTTAGTCTAAAGAGGGACAGCTCTTTAGACCCTAGGAAACAACCTTCCTACAGAAAATAAAAAATATTACCACCACAGTTGGCCCAAAAGCAGCCACCAATTAAGAACATGTTTAAGTTCAACATCTATCTTAAATTCTAATCACTCTACTGAACTCCTAACATCACACTGGACTAATCTATTACTTAATAGACACAATAATGTTAGTATAAGTAACATGAAGACATTCTCCATTGCATAAGCTTACATCAGACCAGAATAATCCACTGACAGTTAACAGCCTAATATTAATAAACAATATAATAAACACCCTATTATTTACACTGTTAACCCAACACAGGTATGCTCTAAGGAAAGATTACAAAAAGTAAAAGGAACTCGGCAAATCATACTCTGCCTGTTTACCAAAAACACACCTCTAGCATTACCAGTATTTGAGGCACTGCCTGCCCAGTGACATTTGTTCAACAGCCACAGTATCCTGACCATGCAAAAGTAGCATAATCACTTGTTCCCTAAATAGGGACTTGTATGAATGGCCACAGGAGGGTTCGGCTGCCTCTTACTTTTAATCAGGGAAATTGACCTATCCGTGAAGAGGCAGATATAAACAAATAAGATGAGAAGCTCCCTATGGAGCTTTAATTCATTAATGCAAATTAAAACTCAAACAAGCCTACAGGCTCTAGCCTACTATTCTTGCATTAAAAATTTTGGTTGGGGTGACCTTGGAGCATAATTCAACCTCTGAACAACCTACACTAAGACTGCACTAGTCTAAGTGAGTTAATACATATGGACCCAATAATTTGATCAACAGAGTAAGGTACCCTAGGGATAACAGCACAATCCATTCTACAGTTCATATTGACAATAGGGTTTATGACCTTGATGTTAGATCAGGACATCCTAATGGTGTAACCACTGTTAAGGATTCATTTATTCAATGATTAAAGTCAATTAATGTGATCTGAGTTCAGACTGGAGTAATCCAGGTTGGTTTCTATCTATTTAACATTTCTCCAAGTATGAAAGGACAAGAGAAATAGAGTCCCTTTCATAAAGTGCCCTCACTTCATAGAGGATGCTATCTCAATCTAAAAAATCATCACCACCCTACCCAAGAACAGGGTTTGTTAAGATGGCAGAGCCCAGCAATTGCATAAATCTTAAAACTTTGTAATCAGAGTTGAACTCCTCTTCTTAACTACATGCCTATAATTAACCTTCTCCTACTCATTATCCCCACTCTTATCACTATAGCATTCCTTATGCTCATGGAATGAGAAATCTTAGGCTATAAACAACTATGCAAGGGACCCAACATTGTAGGTCCCTATGGGCTGCTTCAACCTTTTGCTGATGCAATAAAACTTTTCAACAAAGAACCCTTACAGCCTCCAACATCTACTATTACCTTTTATATTATTGCTCCAACCATAGCCCTTTCTATTGCTCTCCTCTTATGAACTCCCCTCCCTATGCCAGATCATCTAATTAATTTTAATATAGGTCTTCTATTTATACTAGCCACATCAAGCTTAACCATCTACTCTATTCTATGATCAGGATGAGCATCTAATTCAAAATATGCACTAATCCATGCATTATGAGCTATGGCCCAGACAATTTCATATGAGGTCACCCTAGCCATTATCCTGTTATCAGTCCTACTGATAAGTGGCTCATTTAACTTGCATACACTCATCACATTTTGCAAGAATTCTTATGACTGCTCCTACCATTCATGGCCCCTAGCCATAATATGATTTATCTCCACACTTCTATGAAAATGCTTCTATGAAAGCTGTAAACACTGTAAAGGAGCTACACAATAAAGTCTGCTTAATAACCAGCTAACAACAAGATGACAGGATCAAATCCATACATATCAATATTAACCTTGAATGTAAATAAGCTAAATGCACCAATTAAAAGGCATAGAATGGCAAGCTGGATAAAGAAGCAAGAGCAAAATGTGTGCTGTCTTCAAGAGACCCATCTCACATGCAATTACACTTATTGGCTCAAAGTAAAGGATAAAGACAAGTCTACCAAGCAAATGGAAAACAAATAAAAGCAGGAGTTGCTATTCTAATTTCAGACAAAACAGACTTTAAACCAACAACAATCAAAAAAGATAAAGAACAGCATTATGTATGGTAAAGGGTTCAATTCAATAAGAATACTCAATTATCCCCAAAACTGGGTGTAGAAGGAACATACCTTAACATGGTAAAAGCAATATATGACAGACCCACAGGTAATATCATACTGAATGGGGAAAAACTAAAATCTTTCCTCTTAGATCTGGAGCACAACAAAGATGTCCACTTCCACCATTGTTATTTAACATAGTACTGAATGTCTAGCTGGAGCAATTAGACAGGAGGAGTAAATTAATGGAAAATATCTAATAATCTGATTTAAAAATGGGGAAAAAAGTTTGAACAGACATTTCTCAAAAGAAGATATACAAATGACAAACAGGCCTATGAAAAAGTGCTCACCATCATTGATCATCAGAGAAATGCAAATGAAAACTACATTGAGATATCACCTCATCACAATTAAGATGGCGTTTATCCAAAAGTCAGGCAATAGTAAATGCTGGCAAGGACAGGGAGAAAAGGTAACCCTTGTACATTGTTGAGGGTAATGTAAATTAGTACAAACACTTTGGAGAACAATTTGGAGGTTTATCAAAAATCTGAAAATAGAGGTACTTTATGATTCAGCCATTGCACTCCTAGGTATATATCCCAAAGAAAATAAATCAGTATATCAAAATGATAACTGCACTCCCATGTTTGTTGCAGCATTATTCACAATAGTCAAGATTTGGAAGCAACCCAAGTGTCCATGAACAGATGAATGGATAAAGAAAATGTGGTATGTATACACAATGGAGTACTACTTAGCCATAAAAAATTATGAGATTCTGTCATTTGCAACAACATGGATGGATGAAACTGTAGGTAATTATGTTAAGTGAAATAAGCCAGACACAGAAAGACAGACTTCACATGTTCTCGCTTATTTGTGGGAGCTAAAAATTAAAACGATTGAATTCATGGAGATAGAGAGTAGAAGGATGGTTACCAGAGGTTGGGAAGGGTGGGGAACAGGGTGACAGCAAGGTGGGATTGTTAATGGGTACAAAAAAATAGAAAGAATGAATAAGACCTAATACTTGATAGCATAAAAGGGAGACTTTAGTCAATAATAATTTAATCATACATTTAAAAATAACTAAGAGATATAACTGGATTGTTTGTAATACAAAGGATAAATGCTTGAGGGTTTGGATCTCCAATTTTCCATGATGTGATTATTATGCATTTCATGCCTGTACCAAAATAACTCATGTATCCCATCAATACATATGCCTACTATGTACTCACAACATTTAAAAAAACATATATATATATATGAAAATACATATATATGCACCCAACACAGGAGCACCCAGATTCATAAAACAAGTTCTTAGAGACCTACAAAGAGTCTTAGATAACCACACAATAATAGTGAGAGACTTCAGCATGTCACTGTGTTAGACAAAAGTGCCAAGTATTAGGCAGATCATCAAGGCAGAACACTAACAAAGATATTTGGGACCTGGATTAAACACTTGGCCAAATAGTTTCTTCTCTTCTGCATGTGGCGCATACTCTAGAATTGACTACACAATTGGCCATAAAACAATTCTCAGCAAATTTAAGAAAGCCATATCATAACAACTACACTCTGAGACCATAGCACAACAAAAATAAAAATCAATACTAAGAAGTTTACTCAAAACCATAAAATTAAGTG
The DNA here is from genome assembly GCF_000001405.40 of Homo sapiens. Classification (NCBI taxonomy): domain Eukaryota; kingdom Metazoa; phylum Chordata; class Mammalia; order Primates; family Hominidae; genus Homo; species Homo sapiens. The sequence goes on along the minus strand of NC_000010.11, from coordinate 37,598,760 downwards.
GAAATTAAACAATGTGCTTCTGAATAACTTCTGTGTAAACAATGAATGAAATTAAGGCAGAAACCAAGAATTCCTTGAAACTAAAGAAAACAAAGGTACAACATATCAGAGTACCTGGGACACAGTTAAAGCCACCTTAAAAGGAAAGTTTATAGTACTACACATGCAGGTCAAAAAGATAAAAAGATCTCCAGTTAACAACCTAGCATCACATTTAATTTTTAATTTTTATTTTTTAGGGGGACAGGAGGCAGAAGATGGTGCACACACACTAGTGCCTGGTCACATGCCCCCCTAACATCACATTTAGAGGAACTAGCAAAACAAGAGCAAATCAACTCCAAAGCTAGCGGAAGAAAAGAAATAACCAATTTAGAGCTGAACAGAATAAAATTGAGACACCAGAAACTAGACAGAAGATTGACAAAACCAGAGGTTTGTATTTTGAAGAATAAATAAGATTGATAGGCTGCTAGCTAGAATAATGATGCATATAGATCTTAAGGGCAGAAAGACTCATACTGAGTTTTGCTTATGATTATTTGTAATCTATATACATTTTAATATTGTATTAGCTAATATGGAAATATTGAAATGTATACAACAGTACACTATAGTGAATACCTGGTACTCTTCCAAAATTGCTTTTGAGGTCAGTGAACTCATTCCTCAGCTTGTAGAAATATTTGTTCCTGATGCTCACAGTTGTGTCTCTCATTGGAAAGTGTTCTCAACTTCCAAACTGCTTCACTCAAGCATGATCTTTCCTAAGTGACAACAATGGCCAGTCAGTGTCAATGGCCCCCTTACTACAAGTTAACAAAATTCTGAGGGTCAGTTCCAGCTATAGCTACAAAGTTCCCCACAGGAATCCCTAACGTTAGATTTGAAGCTGCCCCAGAAGTCAACCTTTTCCTTTGCTCAATCCTGCCTTCCTCAACTCCTTACACTTATATTTCTTCAGAGCACTTTCTAACAAATTTATTGCACTTGTCTTAGGCATGTAATCCTGGGAAGCAGGGATTTGTATGCAAAAGTTTTTATTGGTGAGTGTTCTCAGTAACAATACCTTTAGGGAAATAAGGGTGGAGGAAAATGTTGAACTCTGATGCAATTGCAATTAAAGCTTTATCTAATTCCAGGGAGTTCAGAGCTGGGATGGCCTTGTATAGTCTCACTGAATCAAGGCAAGGGATCTAGGCCCTTGTACCTTCACCTAAAGCACTCATAGAATGTAGGCTGCACCTGACAAAGGCCCATAGATTTGGGTGAGGCAGCTCTTTTCAGCAGAAGGAAAATCTTGGGAAAAGACTTCCCTTTGAGCCATCAGCAGGCAAAACTCTTGGCAACTAGGGCAACGAGTGCCTTGGTCTGTAAGCAAGGATCCAGGTAGCATACACAGTGTTCATTATAGCAAATTCTCTGTCTCAGATTCAGATTCCTGATTCCAGAAGTGGTCCTAAGTGGCAAACTCTGAAATGTAATTTTGGGCCTGGCTGCTGGACAATAAAGGCCCTTACTTTTAATAGATGGTGCATGGATAACTACTATTATGCAGAAGTGAAACTCTTTAGACTTTCACTGATGTAAACCTTCTCTGAGGGAGAATCCTAGTGAAAGGAGATGTGCTGTCTGTTGAAACATATCCAAAAGCAAATGATACATATAAGGATTTGGGAGGTTGGTAGCTATTACTAAGTACCAATGATTTGCTAAAAGAGATAATGTCAGATTGGGGAGGTTAATTACTAATTCAGACAAAATATGAAAGTCAGAGGATGTTCTTGATGTGAGTTTTGTATAGCTAAAATGCAAACAGGGCAGAACAGCAGGCTCAGGATTTAATTTGAGGAGTAATAAAGCTTCAGAGAAAGCCTGACCAGGTATCATATGCTAATGTGAGTGCCCAAATAGGGAAATGCTGAGATACTGAGACTTGAGACTGAAATACCTGGGTATATACAACTCGAAATCTTGAACTCCCTTAAACCTACTGGATCTGACAAAATCATCTACCTCCCTTTATCAAAGCATATACCTCCCTGGAAAGAAAAAAAACAAAGCCAAACATAGCACATCTTAGATATACATCATGCAAAAGTCTCAAATGAGGCAGATGCCTTCATGACAATTCCTGCCCCCATCTCAAGATCTACATTTAAAGCCTTGGATTCTGACAATGCTGGATTACATGGCACAGAATACAAAACTGGAGAAGGTAGAGTTCATGAATATAGAGCACTCTCCAATTTTACAAGATTTATTGCCCCAGGAAGAACCTAGGAGACATTATCAACACACTGGTGAGATGGAATGTGGAATATTGGAGAGAGTGACAGCCCACACAAAGTGAAGAAGAAATATCAGAAATGCCATGACACATGATGAATAAAACAATCAAAAGGTAGAAAAAATGGGTATGTCAGAATACAACAAATCAGGAAATTCCACCAGTTAACTATTTTCATGGGAAAGGCCAGAGGAAACTCCATTCTCCAAAACAATAAGAAATATGACAGTAAAAGAAACAAAAGTGTCACTGAAATGTTCAGTCGTGGTTTTCTACTGGAGGCCAGGGCTGCTGGGAGGCAATATTATCAAGAGTTGTGTACCTTGAGAGCAAAGGGGATGAAATAACAGATGCCAGGAATTGGTACTTAACTGTCAGAAAAAAAGTTTGGCAAAATCAATGGTAATGGATGGTGTCTTTGTCTGTTTTGTGTGGCTATAACAGAATACAACAGAATAGGTAATTTATAATAAACATAAATTTATTGGCTTATGGTTTATTGGCTTATGGTTCTGGAGTCTGGGAAGTCCAAGACTGAGGAACTGGCATCTGTAGAGGGCCTTCCTGCTGCATCTTCCCATGGCAGAAGTTAAAAGTGTGAAAGAGAGCCTGAAAGACAGGGAGCAAGAAGGGACCGAACTCATCTTCTTGTAAGGAAAGCACTCCCTAAATAACAAACCCACTCTGATGATAATAGAATCAATCAATTTATAAGGGCAGTGCACCCATGACCCAATCACCTCCCATTAGGCCCTACATTCCAACACTGCTGCATTGGGGATTACATTTCCAACACAGAAATGTTGGGGAGCATAACCAAACTATAGCAGATTGCAAGGTAGGGGCTGCAGCCAGAGGAGGCCAGGCCTAAGGAAACTATGGAGATAACTCAGTGAACTTACAGTCCTTAGGGGAAAGATAATGGGCATTCAAAAAAGATATTATTGTTCTTATGTGGTATATAAGCCTGGTAGTTGACATCCCATCCTAACAACATGTGAAAAACTGAACACAATGAAAAATCAACAACTCTTTTTAGATCTTTCAGAGAAGTGAGATCACAGGACCAATCTCTGCTTCTCAAATTGAAGAAACAGGTATATGAGCACGGAGAATCATAATCTACTGGGACAGAAATCCATGAGCAGGAACCACTGCAGGAATTAGTACAGGGGTAGGAAACCCTAAGCTGTAGTTGGCAAATTGCTGGAGGCTCAGAGTGAATAAGTTTGAGAGTTAAAAACTCCAAAAGTGTCCAGTCTAAGAAGGACCTTCATACTTTTGCAACTTTTATTTCCAGGAGCACTATCAGGGCCTCACAATGAATATCAGATAAAAATTTCCTTATGCTTTTGCCAGGGAAAGGATAAAAAAAAATCAGTATGAAATAAATCATGGTTTATTTTGTTATTATCAAGACCTGCCCTTAAGGTAAACTATTTTACCAAAGTCTAAATTATTGGGATTTTATCAGCGCCTAATCAACTTGGAGAAGGTAAATGCCCAATTCCAGCCTGCTCGAGCTTCCACATGACAGAAAGGAAATAGTTAGCTTCCACTCCTTTAGCCTTCCACACAGGAGAAGGGAAATACTCAATTCCAGTATCTCTGAGAGGAAATAACTAACCTTAGCCAACTCTAACCATGCTGTCCCACATAAGGTGGGGTGGGGAGAGCTGAGAGGCGCTAGCGAAGTTCCCTATGCTTCAATGTGGGCTCACTTCAAAGAACCATTGAAGTTTCCTCTGGGTGAGCTGAGGCCTCAGTTATAACCAAGTTGTTGGTCACTTTCTTCCTCTGCCCCATCCTGCCATCTTCACGTCTCCAAAGAGCCCTTCCTGGAAAACCTGTAAAGGCAACTTTGTGTTTCCAAGAAATTCAACCTAACACACACACACACACACACACACACACACACACGAAGGTATTAATTATCCACTTGTATCCATTTATCTCAGCTAATTTGGATATGGTGCTAAGGAAGGTAAAAGTTGATCATAGACTCTTCATTGGTAAAAGTAGAAGTGAGTATTGGAAGTAATGAACTATTAGGTTTCCGTCAACACAATACTAAGTCTAATATACTTCACTGACCTTAATGTTCATAAACTGATTAGTTTATAAACTTCTTTCTGATAGAAAATTTGATACAATGTAGAATATGGTTCCATAAGAAATGCATCTGCCCCAAGTGATTGATCTAAGATATATGTGTGTTTTATGGCACAGGAATTGGAGAAATATTTACAACTCAAAATAATTCTATAACAAACACTGAAGAGCACAGTAAATTTGATTCCCCACCATTAATGGGTCAGTAATGCCATTCAGCTAAAAGAATCACCTTTCCATTAATTACATTCCTTGGATCTCCATACTCACAGTTTTAACATATTCTGTAAACCTAATAGTTCATTACTTCACTACTTGTATTACTGATTCTCTTGTATTACTGATTACAGTGCATACCCCTTCAAATATAAATAAAAGTGTTTTCTCCCCTACTTTTCAGCTTATTTTCCTTTATTTATTTTGTTAAGGCTACTATCCAAGGATTTTTTCCCAATACTAAATATGCTATTCATGGTTTTCAAAACTGCCCTTTTCGGGAATGCTGAATTTTAAAAAGCAATTTATACTATTTCTCTGATTTTGCTGCCTTTTGCAACCATTCCCAAGTTAATGACTCCACTGTTTGTTAACATACTTGCTATTCTCTAATCCTGCCAGCAAACATGACTGTTGTGAATGCTGCACGTGCAGACCTCCAGCCATGCCATTATCTCGGTTTATGAGCACAACACTGCATGTTTAATACTGGTCAGTTTAACTACAGTCCATGCATCACTTAACAACAGATACCTTCTGAGAAATGTGTTGTTAGGAGCTTTTGTTCTTGTGCAAATATCCTAGAATGCATTTACACAAACCTAGATGGTATAGCCTCCTACACATCTAGGCTATATGGTATAGCCTATAGCTCCTAGGGTACACGCCTGTACAGCATGTTACTGTACTGAATACTGTTGGCAGTTGGAGTACAATGGTAAGTGTTTCTGTATCTAAACATAGGAAAGGTACAGTAAAAATACATTATAAAAGCTCTGGCTGGATGCAGTGGCTCACGCCTATAATCCCGGCACTTTGGGAGGCTGAGGCAGACGGATCACTTGAGTTCAAGACCAGCCTGGCCAACATGGTGAAACCCTGTCTCTACTAAAAATACAAAAATTAGGCAGGTGTGGTGGCATGCGCCTATAATCCCAGCTACTCCTTGGGCAACAGAGTGAGATTCTGTCTCAAAAAAAAAAAAAAAAAAGAAAGAAAAAAAAACTCCATTATAATCCTACAAGACTGCCATAGTGATGCAGTCCATCTCTGACTAAATATTAAATGTCATTATGTAGTGCATGACTATTGGCAAAATTCTGCAAATATTCATAAACCAAGTTTTGCAGAGAAGTATCCACTTGAAAAAGAATTATTATTGTTTACATAAAAGTTATGGGGCCCAACCAATCCCTGAAAATAAAAGGATATCCATACTTGGGGTGTTGATTTGCTAATGAAGAAATCCCATTCAAATGTGTAGTACAGTACTTGCTGATAATTTCCTGATTTTTTTTACAGTAAAATTGTAAAATCGCAAGTGGTAAAGTGGGAAAGATAGTTGAACATTGTATCAAAACAGGAAATTAATTTTTTAAATGCTGTATGATTAAAATTTTTTATGTAATAATATTTTCCATGTTGCCCAGAGATAGGAATTACTGGTTTGTTGTTTGTTTGTTTGTTTGGTTGGTTTGACATTTAAGGTAAGTGATAGATGTAATTGATAGCTATTAGAACATTCTATCATTCCTTGGAAAAGAATAGCTGTTAGAAAATAATATAATCATGAAGGTATAATATTTTGTTACTTAAAGATCAAAGATTACAGCATCCACTATTTATACAACCCTTTATTTGCTGTAACTTAGTAAAATATGAGTTACTGACAATAATAGGTTTATTAGATATGTACTGTTCCCTAACAAATTATCCCACAACAGTAGTCTTCATGTTACAGTTTAGTGGGTCAGGTGCCCAGGTGTAGGTTAGCCAGGTGCCTCTGAATCTCATGAGCCTGCAATCAACATTGTCAACCAGGTCTCTCATCATCTTAAGGCTGGACTAGGGGATGCTCAACTTCTAGCTTCCTCATGTGACCATTGATGGCCTCGGGTCTTCACTGACTGTTGGCTGGAGAGCTCCGGTCCTTGTCACATGGGGTCCTTGTCACTCTGCTCTGCACAAGATGGCTCAAAACATGGAAACTGGCTTTTCTCATAAGCCAGTGAGAAAGCAAGAGAGGGAAAGACAGACAGATATCACAATGTGTTCATAACCTAATCTCCAAAGTGACATCCTAGCACTCTTGCCATATTCGCTAGGTCCACCACACATTTAAGAAGAGGAATTACACAAGAGCACGAGTACCAGGAAGTGAGGATTATTTGGTGCCATCTCAGAGGCTGCCCATCACAGCAGGGCATTGCTGAAAGACATTTACTGACTCCTACATAAATCTCCTTATATATGAGAATATCACTTAAAGCAAATACATTTTTTTTCCTCAGGGAGAAACATGACTTTGAATTATAGCCTTAGTCTGAAATTATGCTTTTTTTAAAAAAATAATAAATAATCATAGGCTTTAAAGGTAATGTTGGATAAACTCTTTATCAGTGAGTATAATATATAAAATTTCAATGGCATGATAAATCTATAGTCAATGCCCTGGCAAGGTCCTCTTTAGGAAACTCTAAGGTAAAGTCCTGGTGCATTCAATCATTGTCTAAAATAATAATGATGATAATTAATGACTTTCACAGAAAAGTTGTATTTATTTCACAGATACCTGATTGTATTTTTAAAAGACAAACAAACAGAAACCATAAACATATTTTATTGTGTAGCTATAGTGTTAAGTTCCTTGCTTAACCATGGCAACTAGGTTAATCTCCATATTGTGTGGTTAATGAAAGAGAACAGGACTCTTGCTTGAACGCTCCATTCCTGTACTTGCTGTGGACAATCCTGGTCTAAGAGCATGCCATAGGACCACCCTAATAATTTCCCTCCCTGTCTCACTCACTCCCAGTGATATTGTTTTAGTTTAGATCTTTCCATTTCTGTCCAGCTCTGGTAACTAGTCTCCCTATCATGAGTCTCTAGAACATCCACAAATCTACCCAGTAGACCACAGCCACAATACTCAGGCTAGTCTCCTATTTAACACCCTTCATTAATTTTCTGATGGTTACAGATAAATGCCAAGGCTATTTTAATGATGTGCAGACCCTGCCTCTTTTTTTAAACTCATTGTTAATCCCTTTGTTAACCCAGATCTCCCTATGCTCAACTCCTGTTCAAGCCATACTACTGACTTTGCTGTCCAATCAGCAAATCCCATTCCTCTCTTTGGAGTTCATCCATGGTCTCCCCTATGAAATGTATCCTGATTCCAATTTTATGTCCAGTTAGACTCTATTCTGCTCTGTCTCTTAAATGTATTTCTATTATGAAACCTCAACAATAGGCCATGTGTGGTGGCTCATGCCTGTAATCCCAGCACTTTGGGAGGCCAAGACAGGTGGATCATCTGAGGTCAGGAGTTCAAGACCAGCCTGGCCAACATGGCAAAACCCCATCTCTACTAAAAATACAAAACTTAGCTGGGTGTGGTGGCGTGCCTGTAATTCTAGCTACTTGGGAGGCTGAGGCAGGAGAATCACTTGAACTTGGGAGGCAGAGGTTGCAGTGAACTGAGATTGCACCACTGCACTCCAGCCTGGGTGACACAGAGAGACTCTGTCTCAAAACAAAACAAAACAAAACAAAAAACAGAAAAAAAACCCTCAACAATAAATCACTCTGAGTATTTTGCTTTTGTCCTTCTGTAAACTTCCTAAGGACAGATACCCTGTGGTGCTCTCAGAGCCCAGAACATAGTAGGCACTTCATTTCTGAATCCATGAAGATGTTATCACATCTCTAAGCAGCTTTCTGTCCTGAATCAGGAGCATGTTAATTAGTCTGGAAAATTTTGTAGTTTTCTGAATTTGGAAAAATAACTAAAATTGTGGTGAGAATAACTTCCCTGTTTCTCTCATATTTTAGCTATAGAAATGTCCAAGAATTGCTATTGTTGGAGAATGTTTCCAAACTGCTATGGAATTCATTGAATTCAAATTCAAATCCCGTAATCTTTGAGACAGAGTCTTGCTCTGTCACTCAGGCTGGAGTGCAGTGGCGTGATCTCTTGACATTTTGTGGATGACATCAGTTTCCATAGATTCTAGAATCATTTGGCTAGGATTCATTTGGCTACCTATTTTCTCAGAGTTGGTCATAAAAATTATTTCAATGTAGAACAAATAGCCAACATCGTCATAAAAACAGGCTGAGAACTTTTTACTTTAGTCTGTGAAGGCTCACCTTGAAGACAGAGAAAATGACAGGGATGACATAGTAGTCAAAATACTAATTCTCAAACGCAAAACAATAACAACAAAATAGAAGCAGAATAATTAGTTTTACTCAGAGATCATAGGCAACTGCAAATCATTGCCTTCTAATAAGTCACTATCCTGATATCTTATGAAGAGAGCTGTTTACCTGGCCAAACGTAACTGGAGCAGTCACCCCATCTGCCTGGAAAAAAAGACCATCTCCAATATGCTGGGAAGCAGGATACCTGTGTGCTAGGAGAATTCTGACAAAGCCATTTTCTGTTTAGTTCCACATGCTCTGAAAGGTCAAAATCAGCTTGCCCATTCCTCCGTTAGCTTGATGTGGTGAAGGATACACTGAACAGGGAAAGATCTAAATGATCTATTACTGCCCTGGCTTCTCAACAAAACTGTCTCATTTAAATCGTAAAAAGACGTTAAAAGTGACTATGAACAGAATTGAGTATATGTTACAAAACTCTACATAAACATAATTGTTCAAATCCATTCATACAATATAGAATTTAAATATAATTAAGAAATATATTTATTTCCCTTTTTTCTTTCTGGTATATTTGAAAAGGAAAATAATCCATTATGTAAATTGTAATAGTTAATTTTCAGATAAAAAATGTCCTTGATGCTGCATGCAAAACCTTTAAATACTAAATTAAGTGATCATCTTAAATATGAAAATAGAAGTATACCAACCCAGGAAATGCAGGTGTTATATGTTACAATTGCTGATGGAGAAATCTGCCTGATGGGAAGAGACTTGTGATGTTTAAGAAAAATTCCTAGAATCTTCCTTTTTTGTTTTTTCTTTTTTTTGAGACAGATTTTTGCTCTTGTTGCCCAGGCTGAAGTGCAAAGGCATGATCTCGGCTCACTGCAACCTCTGCCCCCCGAGTTCAAGCAATTCTCTTACCTCAGCCTCCCAAGTAGTTGGCATTACAGGCATGTGCCACCATGCCCGGCCAATTTTTGTATTTTTAGTAGAGACAGGGTTTTCACCCTGTTGACCAGGCTGGTCTTGAACCCCTGACCTCACGTGATCTGCCTCCCTTGGCCTCCCAAAATGCTGGGATTACAGATGTGACCCACTGTGCTCAGCCGAATCTTCCCTCTTTTTTACCTTCCACATCCAGTAGAATTTAAAGTGCAGATTCATTTTACTCAATGGAACGTCTTCCCAACTCATTGCTAAAGCAGGACAGCATTTGTTTGATGCTGGACAGCAACTGCTATGGCCTCTGCCAGATGCACAGGAACCTGTGACCTGTAACCTGTCTGCCACTTGTCTGCTGATTATGACTACACAACACGAAAGCATCAAATATCCCTTTAATCTCTGCCTCCTGAAGTCAATTGTGAAATCAAAGCTACTGCTCTTCATTCCTTTCCCTGAAATCTGCTCTGATCCAATAGCTTTCCAAGGTCACAGGAGCCCTGAATACTCCGACTGTACCACAGCCCTGCGTCTACCTCTTCTGGGTAAGCACCCTCTTGTGCACTCTGCCGTAGAAGGAGGACAAGGACTATTTGCATTATTTTACTTGTCTCAAGAAACTCTCACTCACCAGATCTTGATAATGTTTCCCCAGAGATAAGGGGTTCAGGTGCCATGAAAACACGCTGTTACTTTAGTTAGAAAACGGGAGGCCAGGCATGGTGGCTCACTCCTGTAAACCCAGCACTTTGTGAGGCTGAGGTGGGAGGATTGCTTGAGGACAGGAGTTAGAGACCCTGGACAGCATAGCGAGACCTTGTCACAACTAAAAACAAAAAAGATTAGCTGGGCTTGGTGGCATGTGCCTGTAGTTGCAGCTGCTCTGGAGGCTGAGGCAGAAGGACAGCTTGAGCTGGGGAAGTCATGGCTGCAGTGAGTCTTGATCAGGCCACTGCATTCTAGCCTGGGCAACAGAGCAAGAACCTGTCTCAAAAAGAAATAGGTCTTGTTCCATCTCTTGCCAATATTTTCATGTTAACAGTCACTCTTCATAACTCCTCTCCATTGTATGTCTTTGATACTTTCCAAGACCACCTTTAATGTTGAAAAAGAGGAAAGTGTAAAGTTTCCAAGCAATATTCCAGATCAGAATTTTGGAACAATAAATATTGTTGGTTCTGTAAATTTCATGAAAATGACACACAAATATCATTCAGTTGAGCATTCTTTAGAAAAAGGGGAAAGGGATATTTAAATTACAATTTCTAATTAATAACCCCCATTCTTAGATACTCTTATAGGTAAATTCCTGATAATATTTTTAAAATAATGATCTGCTGGCAAATATCGATTACGGACCATCACACTGGCATGCCTCATTCTCATTGTAGAAAACCACTTGTTGATACCATTTGGAGCTCTGAGCAAATCAGAAAATATCTGGAAACAAAAATAACACTTCTGGAAAACAGGTTAACAGAAATACACACCAATGCCTAAGACATAGATTCTAACACATTCTAAGCAATACCTTTTCAGTGATCAGCATCAATATATTAGTGTTTTCTGTTGTTTGTCTTCAACGAGCATGTGAGAAAAAAGTGTTTCTGCAATTGCTCTTCAAATTCTGTTATTCTGGTTTGAGACCTGTAAGTAATAATTTTGGAAAGGTTTTACGTAAATATTTAAGTTGATTACTCTTATATGATTGGTGCAAAGCTTTTAAAAAGCAGCTGGCTGCCAAGTCAATAGTTCCAGTGAGTTCATCTTGAAAAACAGGGCATTCCAAACAGCATATTATAAGCATTAATGAAGTTACTCTGAACAAAAAGCTGTAATAATAGAAACAATCTAAATTATCCAGTAGAAGAAGATCTTAAAATAGCTGATCTCCCTTTGAAAATTAACCTGTTTGTAGAAAATCACAGCTTAAATAACAAAAAAATTATATTCATAGATTACTTATTAAAGTTACAGCATGCTAAGGCTGTGGGGAGAAAACTAAAATGTCTTTCATTCAAACAGTTTATAGGAAAGTGACAGAATATATAATTTAGTGGCATATATAATATGTATTTACTTGTATGTGATGACAAGTTTGGTTAGGAGTCAAATTTAAATATTAAGAAAACTAGATGATGAAATTATGTTAATCTTACTTGTTAAAACTCTTTTTTTTTTTTTTGAGACATTCTCACACTCGTTGCCCAGGCTGGAGGGCAATGGTGCAATCTCGGCTCACTGCAACCTCTGCTTCCCAGATTCAAGCGATTCTCCTGCCCCAGCCTCCTGCGTAGCTAGCTGGGATTACAAGCACCCACAACCACACGCAGCTAATTTTTTTTTTTTTTGAGACGGAGTCTCGCTCTGTCACCAGGCTGGAGTGCAATGGCGCAATCTCTGCTCACTGCAGTCTCTGCCTCCCTGGTTCAAGCAATTCTCCTGCCTCAGCCTCCCAAGTAGCTGGGACTATAGGCGCGTACCACCATGCCCAGCTAATGTTTTTTATTTTTAGTAGAGACGGGGTTCAGGATGGTCTTGATCTCTTGACCTTGTGATCCGCCCACCTCGGCCTCCCAAAGTGCTGGGATTACAGGCGTGAGCCACTGCACCTGGCCCCCAGCTAATTTTTTTGTATCTTTAGTAGCACGGGGTTTCACCATGTTGGTCAGGCTTGTTTCAAACTCCTGATCTCAGGTGATCCACCTGCTTCAGCCTTCTAAAGTGCTGGGATTACAGGTGTGAACCACCACACCTGGCCTAAGACTCTTTTTATTCCGAAACAACAGTTCCAAAAAATTGACATCACTTGAAGAAAGGGGGAAAAAACAGTATTGTTTCCTATTACAAGGCTTCTATTTCCATTATTAGAACTTGGTTTATCCAAGCATATTAATGGCACAAAACTTCCTTGAAGTCCTACTTCTTATAGATGAATGTGACATGTGTTAGCTTATTCAAATGTTCTGTTTCAAGAAATCTTGTGTCTCCTTAGCTGGTTCTTCTCCTAAGAATGCCCCTCAACGCTGGGGCTCCACAGACTTCTGTCCGGGCCTTTTCTCACCCACATCACTGACTTCAATGACCACTTTTATGGTCCTGCTTCCAGAATGTATCATCTCCACCCTAGGCATTGCTCTTGAGTTTTAGCAATATGGATTCATCTCCAACTCTTCAAATTTGCTACGTCCCAAACTGAGCTCATCAATTTCTGTGAACCTTCATGTTTTTCTGTATTCCTTATTGCCCCATTACCCCACAGACAAATAAAAAAGGCTTGCTTTCTTCCCACCCCATATTCTTATTTCACATCTAAACAATAATCAAGATTCAACCATTTACTTCCCAAATTATTTTTTGTAACATAATAGTTTTATTGAGATATAATTCACACACTGTATGATTCACCCATTTAAACTATGCAAGTCCTTTCTTAAAATATATTCACAAGTTGTGCCACTATCACCACAATCAACTTTCAAACATTTTCATCACTACAAAAAAGGAACACCGTACGTGAAAGCAGTCCCTCTCTATTTCTCCCCAAAGTGTCCAGCACCAGGCAACCACTGTTCTTTCTGTCTCTAAATGTTTCTATTCTGAAAGTTGTATATAAATGGAATAATACAATATATGGTCTTTTGTAATTGATTTCTTTCACTTAGCATAATATTTTTAAAGTCCATCCACGTTTTAGCGAGTATCAGTACTTTGGTACTTTTTATTGCTGAATAATATTCTACTGTATGGGCTGGGCATAGTGGCTCATGCTTGTAATCCCAGCACGTTGGGAGGCCGAGGTGGGCAGATTACTTGAGGTCAGGAGTTCAAGACCAGCCTAGCCAACATAGTGAAACCTGTCTCTATGAAAATACAAAAATTAGCCAGGCGTGGTGGCAGGCACCTGTAATCCCAGCTGCTTGGGAGGCTGAGGCAGGAGAATCGCTTGAACCTGGGAGATGGAGGTTGCAGTGAGCCGAGATCGTGCCATTGCACTCTAGCCTGGGAGACAAGAGCGAAACTCCATCTCAAAAAAAGAAAATAAAAACCACAATTCTACTGTGTGGATATTTATCCATTTATCAGCTGATAGAAATTTGAACTGTTTTCACATTTTGGCTATTAAGAATAATGCCAGACATTCTTGCACAGTTTGGGTGTGGACATATGTTTACATTTATCTTAAGTACATACCTAAACGAGGAAGTGCTGGGTCATGTTACCATTATCACTCTATTTTTAACCTTTTGAGAGATTGCCAGACTGTTTTCCAAAGTAACTGCACCATTTTACACATTTTCCAGCAGTCTACGAGTGTTCCAATTTCCCCACATCTTCACATACACGTGTGGTTGTCTGATTTTATTATACCCATCCTAGTAGGTATCAAATAGTAACTCATTATAGTTTTGGTTTGCATTTTTCTGATGGTTAACTATGTCTTGCATGTTTTCGGGTACGCATTGGTTGTTGTATATTTTCTTTGGTGAAATATCTATTCAGATCCTTTGACCATTTTTAAACTGTGTCTTTTGAATTTTTATTGTTAATTTGTAAGAGTTCTTTATATATTCTACCTACAAGTCACATATATATGTTTAGAAAATATTTCTTCCATTCTGTGGGTTGTCTTTTTACTTTCTTGATGGTAGCCTTTAAAACACACATTTTTAAAAACTGATGATCTAATGTATTTACTTTTTCTTTTGTTGCCTGTGTTTTTATTATCCTATCAAAGATGACTTTGCCTAGCCCAAGGTTATGAAGATTCACTACATTTGTTTTTGGAGTTGTAGATGTTTAAGCTCTTACACTGGGGCCTATGATCTACTTTGAGTTAATTTTTGTGCATAGAATGAGTCCCAACTACTTTTAAAATTTGTCTTCTCATTGCTAACCAAATGGTCACTTCTTTTGCCCAAGGCAATGTCCTTTCTGGCCTAGATTACCACATGAATCTTTTCATCGTTATCTTTGCTTTCCATCTGGGTCAGCTTCATTCTATGTTCTGAAACAATTAGTCTTTTTTTTTTTTTTGAGACAGAGTCTTGCTCTGTCGCCCAGGTTGGAGTGCAGTGGCACGATCTCGGCTCACTGCAAGCTCTACCTCCCAGGTTCACGCCATTCTCCCACCTCAGCCTCCCAAGTAGCTGGGACTACAGGCACCCACCACCAAGCCCAGCTAATTTTTTTGTATTTTTAGTAGAGACGGGGTTTCACTGTGTTAGCCAGGATGGTCTTGATATCCTGATCTCGTGATCCGCCCGCCTCGGCCTCCCAAAGTGCTGGGATTACAGGCATGAGCCACCGTACCCGGCCTAACAATTAGTCTTTCTAAAATACATACCTAAGTGTGTTACTCTCCATAGAGAAATCTATATTTATTTTCAAGACTGAGTCTTTCTATGTTGCCCTGCCTGAGCTCAAGTGATCTTCCTGCTTCCACCTCCTGAGTAGTTGGGAGTACAGGTGTGCACCAGCACATCCTGCTAGAGAAACATATTTTTAAAAATGCAGAGTATACCTTGGCTTTAGCCTTAGATATACAAACTCAAAAAGAAGAATTCTGTAATCAGATAGTCTCACATATCTGAGCGTTTGCTGTGTTCCTGCCTAAACAATTTGATTATAACTCTGGATGCTTGACTATTCTCTAAGATTTCAGAGTAACAAAGTGAAAATTCCACCCCAAATTATAAGAAAGGTGTAAAGAACTTTATTTTATTCTATTTATTTTTCTCTTGCATTTTTGTTGTCATTGTTTTTGACTAATATATATATCAAGAGGTTATACGAAAGGATTCTGACATCCATAAGTATTCATTTAAAACACAGGTATGTATAATTTTAAAAAATAACAAACAGGAATTTTTTATATTCTTAGATTTCAAATTATAAAATAAAGATATTAAGTAAATAATGAGAGATATATTTTGCCTTCAGAGTTGATCAACATCAACTTTGTACCCATGTGTCCAGTATTCAGTTTTGTAAACAGTGGGTCATAAATAAATTGGTTTCTAAGTGAATTAACAAAATGTGAGCTGCTAAGATAATATATTAAATTAGAACAAAATTATTAGTTATTGGAAATGCGAACTATTGTGGTATAGTTTAATTTCTCAATTAAAAATAAGTCTAAATTTAACCAGTGTATATATTAATAAATTCACTACTTATAAAAGTTTGAAAGATAATTTTGCAAAATCAGGAAGAATTACTGATCTATAGCTGTTTTAAATTGTTTCATATATCTTTAGCCTTTCATTAAAATATAATTTTAATGTTTTTGTATCCTAAAAAGGTTAAACTACATAATTCATGAATAAACTTAAATATTTATTTTAATAGCACTTAAATCTTGGTTTTCATCCAAGAAGTGATTGCAGACGGATTTACATGCTGACCTGACATATAAAACATTCTTATTGTAACTCACAGGCATCCAAGAAAGCTATGGGAAGTGAGAAAGAAATATTTTTATAAATTTTATTGGAACAAGCATAGCATTATGAACAATATGCAGTTTTCTCCTGGGAGCTTACCCATGAAACAGAAGCCTGTTCATTTTGCCCTCAATGCAGCAATGAAACTGTACAGGTGGTGAGGCAGTGACACATGCATGAATGGCCAGAGTGTTAGTGAGATCTGACCCAGAATGATCTTGCATATGAATCTGCCTTTCTCCAAAGAGAACCATGCAAGGCTTACAGCTGACATTTTACTTAATTCATGTTGTTGTCCACATTGGCCCTTTAGTACATATAAATTATTTTGTGAAATAATAGAAAAGGAAGAGCTGTGGATTAGTGGTCATAGCCAGGGAATTGAAAGTCAGAAGTGCATGCTCAGCTCTGACAATGGCTTTTTGTGTAGTAGTAAACAAGGTTCCTGACTTTAGCAATTAGGGTTACCATAGATTAACCGTGTACTATATTAATTTTCCTACCTTCTAATTTAGGGAAATTAAGTTCATTAAGTCATCAACATTTACTGAGCACTTACTATGTAGAAGACACAGACAAACTATGCTGAGGCATACGTTCTGGAAAGAAAATGTGTCTTGCGGCTTTGATATTCAAACATTTTGAGTGAAACAATTCGGCAATAAAATTTCTTTGGAATTTTAATAGGTCCAGCTTGGAAAGGCCCAATAATGGAATGATGGTTTGGCAGGAGCACCTCTCCAGCACTTTGTGAGTTTCCTGAATTCCACTAGTGCTTAGATTAGATTATGCAAAGCTGAGTTTGCAGCACTGGAGACCTGACATGGCATAAAAGGGTGTGGCAGATAACTTGGTCTAACCCCTCCTACAATCCCAACACGCTCAACAAAGTTGCTGGTATTGCCTCCTAAATGTCATAGGCAAATGGCACAGCGCATGGTGTGGGTCTGATCCCATCCTTACTATTCAAAGGCTACATGACCTCTGGCAAGTTAACCTGTGTCACAGTTTTCTCACCTATGAAAGGAACATCATAACAGTAATCTCACATGTTATTGTAAGAATTATATAAAATAACTGCCAGAATTTCAAAGGTTCAACAAATATTAGCCCCTTGGTGTCTTCCTCTGACCAGAAACATCTCAAAATGCTGCTGCTGCAATCATATAGTTACATGGAAATTACATTTTTCAGCCAATCCAGATCAGATTTAGTCCAATATCTATAGCTGAAAAAATGTAGGGAACTAAATATTAGAAAAGTCTGAGCTGAGAATCCTTGGCTCTTCCCTAGTTTTATTTGTGACTTTAGGAAATTAATTCAGTATCCTTTGGCTTCATGGAAGCCATACTTCCATGTGTGTCTAAGTGTGTTACTCTCCATAGAGAAATGTATATATTTATACATTGTTGGGATATAAAAATACTGGGGAGGAAAAGTTAGGGAATAAGGAAATCAATACTATTTCAATGCTTCTTGTATAGTTATTGGGTGAGTCAAATGAGTCATGGATATGGTTCAGAAAAAATAATGTGTTATTCATTTGCCATTTTAGTCTGAACAAAAATTAGAAAAAGGAGAGAGGAGAGAAAATCACGTTGAGTTGTATCCAATCATTCCCCGAAGAACAAATTTGCAAATTCATATTATGGGGAAGTTAGTTAAATATGTCCACCACCAATTTACACAGAAACAATCAGCACTTTGGGCATAAAACACAAGACTAGTTGTGCAAATCTCATCAGCCAGAACCTTCAGACTCAGAGCTGCCTATAAGAGTGAACAAGCATGGCATCTGCTTTCAAAGCTAAAAAAAATAAAAAAATAATAAATAATAATATATGAAACTTTGGATTTTTTTTTTTGAAACGGAGTTTCCCTCTTGTTGCCAAGGCTAGAGTGCAGTGGTGTGATCTTGGCTCACCGAAACCTTTGTTTCCCGGGTTCAAGCGATTCTCCTGCCTCAGCTTCCTGAGTAGCTGGGATTACAGGCGCACCGAGTAGCTGGGATTACAGGCGCACCACTACGCCCGGCTAATTTGTTGTATTTTTAGTAGGGACGGGGTTTCACCATGTTGGACAGTCTGGTCCCCAGAAGATCTACCGGCCTCGGCCTCCCAAAGTGCTGATTGCAGGCGGGAACCACCATGCCCAGCCCCTTTAGGGTATTAATAGTAAAATAAGGATCTGATGAGATAATTGGAAAAAAGCCAATCCCATGTTTCCACCGCACCCATGACATTTCAGAAGAGGTGTTTAACCTTATGAAACCTCTTGTTACCGTGGGGATTCCTTTCACACAACTCAGTATTTTTAAAGTCAGTTACTGCAATGTTTTCCACAAGCACTACTAAAAATATGTTTTTTTCTCCTTCTCCAGTAAAAAAACACCCCAGAGGATTTTCTTATACCACCGTTTCTGCAAGAATGAGAAGAGAACAGTCGGGGAGTGGGAAGCTTCACTAAAAGCGGCAGCAGGCCCCAGGGAAGAGAGCGCATGGCAGCCCTTGGCCCCTCACAGGTGGCATGGAGACAGCTCTCCCAACCTAAAAGGATGCGTGTGTACCACATAATATGAAGGAGAAAAAAACTCAGAAAATCAGAAAGAAAACATTAAAATAATCTCCATTCCACAGGAAACATCACATTTTATTTTATTATTTTAATTTTTTTGAGACGGAGTCTCGCTCTGTTGCCCAGGCTGTAGTGCAATGGCATGATCTCAGCTCACTGCGAGCTCCGCCTCCTGGGTTCACGCCATTCTCCTGCCTCAGCCTCCTGAGTAGCAGGGATTACAGGCGCCCACCACCACGACCGGCTAATTTTTTGTATTTTTTTTTTTTTTTTAGTAAAGACAGGGTTTCACCATGTTAGCCAGGATGGTCTCGATCTCCTGACCTCAGGATCCGCCTGCTTCGGCCTCCTAAAGTGCTGGGATTACAGGCGTGAGCCACCTTGCCCAGTCCATCACATTTTAAAAGTTTAAAGTGTTGTCATATATATAACAAAATTTATATTATATATATATAATTTATAATTTATATATAATACTATATATAGTATATTATATATAATTTATATATGTATAAAATTTATTATGTATAAAATCTTCAATTTTATGTGTAAAAGTTCATAAGCAAAATGGTTTTCTCAACATGGAGGATTATCAGAAAACAATTTTTTTAAATTTATGTGAGACTAGAATTATTCTTACTCTAAACCATTGTGATATTATTAGATGTGAGAATGCCATTTAGAGTCCAAGAAAAGTCCAGATTCCTTCCAGCTTAGTTAAAAAAAATGACAAATAGGTTCCATGCTGGCCAATAACAATTAAACATACCATTCAAGAAAGAGTAGCAAATAATACCCAGGTATTCAGACTTCCATCTTTGCAGATACTCAAAGGCAAAGCACTTCACCCGTTGTTATAATTGAACACCATGTAAGCAGAGCATATACTTTAGTTTATAATAAAAAACATAGGAAGAATGTAAATTGGTTTTGATTTTGAACTGCATGTGTGCATAGACATGTGCAGAAAGACATTCAAATACATGATATCTGTACAAATCTATATACCTGATTTAAAAGCAGTTTAAGATTGTATTTGTTCCCTGTGAAAACCAAAGAGCATCATCAAAAATACATAAGGGCTCTTATTTTCTTTCCCTTTTTCATTTTAAGCCCTGCATATAGTATCTGACCTGACAGGTTTTTGTTTGTAAATGAAGTGAATAAACAAACATACTTGGCAGCATCACTTAAGGGATTCTGAAGATTCTGTGATTCTGTGCAGGCATCAGGTCATGACATCATCACTGCTCTTGCTTGAAAGCACAGAAAAATGACTTGGATAAAACATGGCAGGAGTTTGGTGTCATTTTCTTCATTTATAGAAGCTGAATATATAAAGGCATTAAGTTCTTTTACTACAATACCACAAATGACCTCTTTTTTTTTTTTTTTTTTTGAGACGGAGTCTCACTCTGTTGCCCAGGCTGGAGTGCAGTGGCGCCATCTCGGCTCACTGCAAGCTCCGCCTCTGGGGTTCACACCATTCTCCTGCCTCAGCCTCCAGAGTAGCTGGGACTAGAGGTGTCTGCTACCACGGCTAGCTAATTTTTTGTATAAAGGTAGAGACAGGGTTTCACCGTGTTAGCCAGGATGGTCTCGATCTCCTGACCTCGTGATTTGCATGGCTAGGCCTCCCAAAGTGCTGGGATTACAGGTGTGAGCCACCGCACCTGGCCACAAATGACCATTTCTTAAAGAAAATTGTTGGGATATAGAAATACTGGGGAGGAAAAGTTAGGGAAATCATATGTGCTTGAGAATCACATTGCCAGGCTCCAATCGGGTCAACATCATCTAAACATGATCTAGAACCAGTGACTAAACATCTTTAAGCCTGTTTCCTCTTGTGTAAAATTGGGATAATAAAGGTACATGCTTCATAGGGTGGTGAAGATGAAGGGATGTAATGCCATCAGTAAATAGTCAATGAATGTCACTATTTTTTACTCTTTTTAAGACAGGAAGGAATATTTATGAGCTAACTGAACAATGACCTCTAATAACTTGGATGGTGCCTTAGATATGTTTGAGTCCCTCATTCTTCTACAGTCCTGACACAGTGTTGTAAACTGTTAGAGCCAACGAAGGTAATGATGTTCACAGTGGCAGACAAGAACAAGGCAACATCTAGAGACCTAAACCAATAGATCTCATTTTTGTGAAACATTAAGCCTATCCTAACATTAGTCTGCAGTTGCCCTATTTATAACTAAATTGGAAAATTAATCTCTAATAAAAACAGGTAGCCCTGCATTGAGTTAGCTTCATTTCTGGATAAATTATAGACAAGAAGAGAATAGGTTTATAACCATTACCATTCCCAGTCTTCATCATCCAAGCCAGAAACCAGAAAAACATCATTAACTTCAGAAATCTAAAACTTTCCATACCACTTTACTGCTTAAATCATTTTAATCATCTCTATTACTTAAAACTTTTTTAAGTAAAATTGATGTACAATAAATCATACATATTTAAGTCATGCAGTTTGATGAATTTTGCTAGAAGTGTACACCCAAGAAGCTATCACTGCAATGAAGATAATGAACATACCCATTAATACCAGAGGTTTCCTTGTGCCCTGTAGGGTCCTTCCCATTCCCTTACCTCACATCTCTCATCTGCCTGTTCAGAGATAATCACAGATCTACTTTCTGAACCTATAGATTTTTCTACAACTTTATGTATATGGAGCCATATAGTATGTTATCTTTTTTGTTTAGCTCATTTAACTCAACAAAAGTATTTTTAGTCTCACTGAAGTCATTGAATGTTTCAACAGATAATTCCTTTTCAGGCTGAATAGTATTCCACTGCACAGACATAACACAATGGTTTATCCATTCACCTGATGATGGACATTTGGGTTATTTCCAGTTTTCAGCCATTATGAATAAAGCACATATCAACTTTCATGCACAAATTTCTAAAGAGTTTATGTTTGGACATAAACATTTGTGTTTGGGTTTCTGCTTGTGTATGATTATCCTTTACCCTTCTATTTCTAATAAACCACAGTTGTGTAACTCACAGCTTCTCACTGTATCCCCTTGCCAGGCAAAACCCCTTTTTATATCTCAAACTCAGGCATCCTTTCACCAGAGACGCATATTGTTACACCTTCACTTCTACTGAATGCTCTCTCTAGACCAGTCAGGAGAGGTGCTCCTCTTCTCTGTAGGCTAAGATCATCATACAGGACCCCAGTTTCCCACCACAGTAATTAGAACTATCTATTTAGATGTTCACACCCCACATGAGACTTTGAACTCCTACATGTCATGATCAAGGTAGTTTTCATCTTAACTCTCCAGATCCTAGAAAATAAATATTTGTTGAACTGGGTGTTGCAGGTGCAATGGAATAAGCATAATTATATATTTAAACTACATATATGCTCAAAAATCACATTTATAATTGGTGGATTTGTAAATGTGCAATCTCTAATGTTTCAAAACACTCACTACCACCTCAAGGTTTCCAACCTAATTTATGCATGTTTTACAGTCACAGGTGAAACTGTGTTTTAAAATATGTCATATTCCACAATTCTGCAGGGGTATGTCCATATTTATTCAAAGTATTAGTATTTAATAAATCTATGCAACTCACATGTGTTTCATAAAGTAGCATGGGTACTTAATGAGTCAGCAAGCCACAGGGTTGCCCTTGCTGTGCTGGATCAGGTATTTTACATTCTTTTGTTGTTAAAGCTTATTTTCTTGCAAAGTTATACTAAGAAATTATGGTTCTGAAAAATTCTAAAATTACAATCCCTCTTTGGTGATGAATGGTTTCTAAATACTTCATTGTGCATTGACACCGTAATCTACACTGTGAACATTCCTTCCTCCTCCGAATGAAGCTCCACATCCTGGTCCCACCCAACGAGGGAGCCTCTCAGCTCAGGATTTTCTACGACTGTACATAAAAGACAGTTTTTCACCAAATTAGTTCTTTTTGTACTGGGGAATCGGGCAATTTTTAATATTTTAATTTATAACTTAAACATTTGTATAGCATGGTCTTGTTTCTATTATCTTAGTTAAATCTTCCCATCACAACTTCATAACTTTCACTTTCCAGTTGAGGAAACTCTGGTTTTACAAAATGTGTCCAGGCCTACGGACTCCAGACTCAGAAATGGATCTTCAGACTCCAAACCCTTTGTACTACACCCAATTGGCTCCCTGTCAATGCAGCCTAATTAAACCATTAAAAATCAAAGCAAACTTTTTCCTTTGAGATTCTGAACATTTATCATATTTTATTGGTCCAGGTTTTTGCCTAATGTCTTTTTTTTTTTTTTTTTTTTTTTTTGAGACGGAGTCTCGCTCTGTTGCCCAGGCTGGAATGGAGTGGCGCGATCTTGGCTCACTGCAAGCTCCTCCTCCCATGTTCACACCATTCTCCTGCTACAGCCTCTGGCGTAGCTGGGACTACAGGCACCCGCCACCACGCCCGGCTAATTTTTTTTGTATTTTTAGTAGAGACGGGGTTTCACCATTTTAGCCAGGTTGGTCTCGATCTCCTGACCTCGTGATCCGCCCACCTCAGCCTCCCAAAGTGCTGGTATTACAGGCGAGAGCCACCGTTCCCAGCCTGCCTAATGTCTTAAGAATGAAATTGAACTTTTAGTTTCTTTGTGAAAAGATGTCAGCATTTGAAAGTAAAGATTATATAATATAGTTGTAGCCACAAAACCCAGTGACATCCGACTGATGTTATCTAAGCTAGGGGTTGATTGCAAAAGTAGAATCCAAGACTGAGAAAAATAACAATCAACAAAACCGTGACATAGCTTCAGTACTCGATGGTCATGGCATGCAAGATGCGATTTAAAGATGCAAGGAGGAAATCTAATGAATAATATTGTTCAAATAGTACGAGATTTTTGCTTCTAAATCAGAAAGTGAGTTTTTTACTTTCTTAACTTCCATCGTCAATGTTTTACAGAGAGTTTACAAAACCCATGGAGAGGAAATTGGACCTGAACAATGGGATCCAGTGCATTTGTTTTTCATGCACAACATACTTATGAAAAGAATTAACCAAATATTTTCTCTTTCAATTTATTACTTACTAAGTTGTTTTCCCTACACACTGTTATAGTTGTATTAGCTAAATACATGTGTTTAAGTCCATTTGGGTTTCTATAACAAAATATTTGAGCCTGGGTAATTTACAAACAGCAGACATTTTTCACTGATAGTTCCGGAGTCTTGGAAGTCCAAGATCAACGTGCTGGCAGATTCATTGATTGGTGAGAGCTTAGTTTGTCACAGAGGCACTTTCTGTGTGTCCCAACATGGCAGAAGGAGTGAACAAGTTCCCTTAGATCTCATATATGAGGACACTAATCCCAGTCACAAGGGAGGAGCCCTCATGTTTTAATCATCTCTTACTAGGTTTCAATATAGGAGTTTTGGGGGTGAAACCAATGTTCAGACCATAGCATTCCACTCCTGGCTTCCCAAAATTTATGTCCTTCTCACATGCAAAATGCATTCATTCCATCTCAATAGCCAGTATCAACTCAAAAGTCTAAAGAAGTCCAGAGTCTCATCTAAATGTCATCTAAATCAGATATAGATAAGACTCAAGAAATGATCCATTCTGAGGCAAATTTATCTCAAGCTGTGAGCTTATGAAATCAAACAAGTTATGTGCTTCCAAAATACAACAGTGAAATAGGTACAGGATGGACATTCCCATTCTAAAAGGGATACATAGGAAAGAAGAAAGGGGTAACTATTAATAGTCCCAAGTAAGTTCAAAACCCTGTTGGGTGAACAACATTAAATATTAAGGCTTGAGAATAAACTTATTTGACTCCATGTCTCATGTTCTGAGAGAATTGGCCCAGGGTTTTGACCCCCAAAACTCTGAATGGCCCCATCCCCATGGCATTTAGACACAGCCCATAAGGTGTCCACCAGTGGCCCCACAAATCAAGGAGGTAACCCTGGGCCCATAGCTCCACCACACATTGCTGTAGTTGGGGCTCTTTGAGGTGGTTCTGTCCCCAAAACACCACTGTAAATTGCCCTAGTTGGGTTCTCTGCCATGGCTCCACCCCTACAACAGTTCTCTGCCTGGGCCCAAGGCTCTCTGGGGTGGCTAAAAAGCTAAGTCATAATAGCTCCATAATGTGAAGTTTCAAAATGCTTAGTAGACTTTCAAAATGCTTAGTAGGTCTTCCAGGAGGACACTCTAAGAACAATAATTAGCGTTGAATGAAAAGTGATACCACATGATCTCACTTATATGTGAAATCTAAAAAAGTTGAATTCACAGAAGTGGCAAGTAGCAAGTGGTTACCAGATGCTGGAAGTGGGAGGTAGATGGAGGAAGGGGAGATGTTGTTCAATGGGTACAAAGCTACAGTTAGTTGGAGGAAGAAATTCTGGTGTTCTCTTGCAGAAGAAGGTGACTATATTTGATAAGAATGTATTGTACATTTATAGTGAAAACAGATCATTTTAAATGTTCTCATTACAAAGAAAACACAAATATTTGAGGTTATAGATATGCTAATTACCCTATTTGATCATTCTACTATGCATGCATGTATCAAAATATCAATTTGTACTCTATAAATATATGCAATTACTATTTGTCAATTAAAAGTAAAATAAAACTTAAAAAAAAAGAAAATCTCCAGTTGTTTATTTCCTGCAGGCTTTGCTGATATGGACACAGCTAGATGGTCTGACTCTAGAGGAGCCCCTTTTAAGGAGATAGAAATAGTAGAACCATTGGTGGCTAGAATTGACAAAATTAGAGATTTGAGGGGCTTTAAACTCCCCGCAGGCATCTCCTTTAAGGCATTTGCCACATTCTGAAGCTGTTCATGGAGGAAGACTATAGACCTAAAAACAAAAAACAAACAAAAAAAAATTCCTCAACTCTAAGGCCACACAATAATTACATAAGTCGTATGTTCTAGAATCAATGAGTTGGACTAACTTCAAATGGGCAGTTTTCAGAGTCTCCCCTGACAGGTAGTTGACCAAGGGGTGTGTGATTTCTCTGAGAATCAAAGCCAAAGGTCCAGATTTCTGGGTACTGAGGAGCCGAAATCATCATGATTTCAAATAAACCCTTGAAATCCATATTCTTGGGGACAGGAACTAACCAGAGATAGACAAAGTTTTAATGAAACTTTAACCCAGCCTTGATCCAGCTAAGTTCATAACTAACAAGATAATAAGCCTCTAGTCTTTGATTAGCAAAGTGTTGATACAATATCTCTTGTAGATATTGTAATCTGAAGCTTCTAATTTTTTACAATAAACCATGTCTAGCACACAACTGAAATGTAATGAATATATTTAAAGTATCAGTTTTATATTGTCACAATAATTCTATGTACCAAAAAAAACCGACTCAGCTTTAAGGCCATACAATAATTACATAAGTCATGAGTTCTGGAGTCAATGAGTTGGACTAACCTCAAATGGGCAGTTTTCAGAGTCTCTCCTGACTGACAGTTGGCCAAGAGATGTCTGACTTGGCTGAAAAAAAATTGTGGTTTTGGCTCTGCTCCTTGTGCCTCGTTCCCCAGCAAGCTCATGTGTCCCTATTCTTGTGACAAGGACAGAGGAGCAAATGGGCAAGATGATACACACAGGCACTTTTCCAAGCCTTTGCTTGTGCCATTTTGCTAACATGGCCCAAACCAGCCCTGTGGCTACGCCTAGATTCAAGTGGCAGAACGCTCTGCCCAATGGAAGGACACTGGGAAGTTAAAAGGAGAAATGTGAGGACAGAGGAAGGGGTAAAACTCAGGATCCTGAGTGCAATAAATCCACCACATCAAGAATAAGATGCCATAAACGATAAGTAACAGGGAAGAACACAAGAGCAACTTGTGATCAAACTACTGTATTAATTGATGATGAATTTAAAGTAACTGTTGGATACATTCAGAAAACAGAAGAATGTAAAAATATATAAAAATTCAGAGAATTTTCAACAAAGAACCAGAACTTACTAAAAGTAATTGAAAGGATATTATAAACTAAAAAATAAAATATATGATATTAAGAACTCATTAAGACCTTGTAGATATGAGTAAGGTAGCAAAATAGGAGGTCACCCCCTCCTTTCCCCGATGACAACAAGAATTCTGCACCCTCCACAAGCAAAAATCTCTTTATGGGAGCCTTGTGTTTCAGGCAGGAGGTTGTGAAATCCTAGAGTAGCTGAGAACCTAGGAGTGTCACTTTGAGAGTGCAGATATGCACCCACATGGCAGATGCATTCACCATGCTCCAAGGTTTAGATTCAGAAATGTCTCTGTTCTTTAAAGGGTTTGACTCCAGCCCTATTTGGCCTTGACCCTGCTACTGAAACTATTTGCTAATGGGCCTAGGAGGAATCATGCACACTAGTGTCTGGGCAGACAGGCCTGCCAACATTGGTCCCAGCATTGAACCCAAAAGATATTTTGTAACTCAGCTCCAACACCCCCTCAGCTGTACTCCTAGCTTAGTACTGCTTGGAAATCTCAGGAGATGCACCTGGACAGGCTTGCCAGCCTCCATCCTCTAACAGTTCCCAAATGGGTTCTGAATCTCAGCTCCAGCCCCATCTTAGCTGTGGTCTGGGAACAATTCTGTCTGATTAGGGAACTGGCCAGGAATATCATCCACCGATGCCACCAAGTCAGCCTTGCCAGCATCAATCTTACAGCATATTGTGAATTAGCCCTGAAGCCTGAATTCATTAGCCTCTCCCAGCTGTGGTCTGGAAGCAGTTCTGCCCAACTAGGATTCCACTGGGAGGCATGCCCACCTGAATTTCCATGGTAGGCTTCCCAAAGTTTGTCCCAAAGTTGATCCTCAAATGGCCCTAGATCTTATGCCCCTTTTGTGTAGAGATTGAGAACAGTTCTGCTTGCCTGGGGACCCAGAGGGAGACAGGTCCAGTGGTGCCCCTATAGGTAATGCCCTGACTTTGGTCCCATTATAGATCTTGAATAATCCTTAAAAATGGGCTCCAGTCTTTCTCAACTACAGTCTAAAAGTAGGACTGCTAACCCAGGAACCCACCAGGAGACATGCCTATTTATGATCCTGGAGACTGGTCTGAGGTTCTCAGTCTCAGGTGTGGGCCCTGAAACAACCTTGTATCTTAATTCCAGCCATTTCAATCATGGACCAGGGCAGTACAACCACCCCAGGGCAGATAATCCAACCAGTGATCCAACAGGAGCTCTCTCAGAGACTCAGAAGAAGCCACACTCATCAGCATACTAGGTAAATTCTGAAGCAGAACATCATCTCAACACCAGCTCCACATACCAAGATCTTAGAGATGGTCCAGTTCACCCAGGGACCAGATAGAACCCATGCCCATGAGAACCTCTGGAAAGAGGCCTGTTGATTATAGTGTCTACTGTCGACCCAACATCAGCCACATGACCTGGATCCAATCCCACTCTACTGCCTACCACAATCCCAGAGGCAATCTCTTTAACCCAAGACCTAATAGGAGAGGATTTTAAGTTGGCACATACTATCTGTAAAGCCTGAGAGATGAATTTGCTCCTTTCAATGCATAGACATCAATGCAAAGCTACACAGATAACAAATCATCACACAAACATTATACCACCAAAGGAAACTAATAGAACTTCAATAATTGACTCCAAAGAAATGGAGATGTGTGGATTGTCTGAAAAATAATTCAAAACAATTATCCTAAAGAAGTTCAATGAGATGCAAGAAAATACACATAGACAACTAAAATTATAAAAATATTAAATGAACAAAAAAAGAAGTTTAATATGGAAATAGAAAACATAAAGAACTCAGCAGAAGCCCTAGAACAGATGAATAATACAACAGAACTGAAAAACTTAGTTCTAACAGTGGACTTGATCATGCAGAAGAAAGAATTAGTGAGCCCAAAAGTAGGTCACTTGAAATTAACCAATTAGAGCAATAAAAATATATTGAAAAGAGTGAAGAAAGCATAGGAACCTATGGGAAACCAACAAATATATGAATATAGTTATCCCTTGGTATCCACAGGAAATTGGTTCCAGAACCCCTCATGAATATCAAAATCTGCTAATACTCAAGTCTCATATATAAAATGGCATAGTATTTTTATATAACCTATGCATACCCTCACAATAGGCTTTAAATAATCTCTCCATTACTTACAGTACTTAATACAATATAAAAGTTATATAAATAGTTATTATACTGTGTTGTTTTCTAGTATTATTTTTATTGTTGTATTGTTATTTTTATTGTTTTTAAAAAATATTTTCCATCAGTGGTAGGTTGAATCCATGGATGCAGAACAAGCAAATATGAAAGACCAACTGTATACAAACTACTAGAATACCATAAAGAGAAGAGACAAAGAGGTAGAACATTTACTTAAAGAAATACTGTCTGAAAACTTCCCAAATCTTGGAAGCAATATGAATATACGGTTTCAGGAAGCTCAAAGCTTTCCTAGCAAGATCAATTTTAAAAAAGAAATATTCTGAAACACATTATAATCAAATTGTCAAAAATCAGGAAAGAGAGAAAAGAGACTCTTGAATAAAGGAAGAGAGAAGAAACTTGTCATATAGAAAGGATATTCTATAAGGCTATCAGTAGACTTCTCAACAGAAAGTTTGCAAGCAAGGAGAGAGTAAAGTGACATACACAAAATTCTAAAAGAAAACAAATCAGGAATATTTTGCCCAGCAAAGCTGTCCTCCATAAATGAAGTAAAGACAAAGAAATTCCAAGACAAATAAGGTGAGGGAGTTCATCACCAGGAGACCGACCTTACAAGAATGCTTAAGAGAATTATTTGGATTGAAATAGAAAGATAATAAGTAACTATGTGAAAACATATTAAGGTACAAAATTCACTGGTAAAGGTAAATATATAGTCAAATTCAGCATACTCTAATACTGTGAAGGTGGTATGTAAATCACTCTTAATTTTAGTATAAGAATTAAAAAACAAAACTATTGAAAACAACTATAAACAGTCAACAGATACACAATATAAATAGATGTAAAGAATGCATCAATAGCATAAAATTTCAGGAGAGAAATAAAAGTGTAGACTCTTTGTATGCAATAGAAGTTAAGATACTATTAGCTTAAATTAGGGCATTATAACTTTAAGATGTTTTAATCCAAACTTTATGGTAACCACAAAGAAAAAAATCTCTAGTAGATACACAAAAGAGAAAGGAATCAAAGCATATCACCACAGAAATAGAACAAATCACACAAAAAGGCAGCAAGGCTGGAAGAGTGAAACAAAAGAACTACAAAACTAAAAAAAAAAAAATTAGCAAGATGGCAGTAGTAAGTTCTTACCTGTCAATAACTACTTCAAATGTAAATGGATTAAAACCTGTAATCAAAAGACATAGAGTAGCTGAATGGATAAAAAGACAAGATTGAATAATATGCTCCCTACAAGAGATTCACTTTAGACTTAAGGGCACACATAAACTGAGAGGAAAGAAATAATTAAAAAAAGGTATCCCAGCCAAATGATAACCACAAGAAAATAGAAGTGACTATACTCATATCAGACAAAATAAAATTAAGTCAAAAACTGTAAGAAGAGACAAAGAAGGTCATTATATGATGATAAAGACGTTAACTCATCAAGAGGACATAAGAATTTTAAGTATGTACGCACCCAACACTGGCGCACCTAACTATGTAAAGCAAATATTAATAGATCTGAAGTATGAGATACACTGCAAGACAATAATGATAGATGAATTCAAGACACTCATGTTCAACAATGGATAAATTATCTAGACAGAAAATCCGTAGGGAAACAATGGATTTGGACAACACTTTAGACCAAATAGACCTAATAGACAAATACAGAAAATTTAATCCAGCAGCAGTAAGATACACATTCTTCTAAAGTTCACATGAAACATTCTCCAGGAGAATGTTAGGCCACAAACAAGTATAAACAAATTTAGGAAGCTTGAAATCATATCAGCTATCTTTTCTGTTCACAAATGAATAAAAGTAGAAATCAGTAACATGAAAAGTTTTGGAAAATTCATGAATACATGGAACTTAACCAACATGCTCACCAACAACAAATGGGTCAAAGATAAAAATTAAAAGTAAAATTTAAAAATATCTTAAGACAAATGAAAATGGAAACACAGGATAACAAAACTTATGGGATGCAGCAAAAGTAGTTCTAAATTTGAAGTTTATAGGATTAAATGCCTACATCAAAAAAGAAACATCTCAAATAAATAATATTACACATCAAAAAACTAGAAAAAGAACAAACTAAGTCTAAAGTCAGTAGAAGTATGGAAATAAGAAATATCAGAGGAGAAATAAATGAAATAGAGACAATAAAGACAATAAAACAGATGAATTAAACTACAAGTGGTTCTTTGAAAAGATAAACAAAATTGACAAACTTTTAGCAAGACTAAAGACAAAAGAAAAAAGACTCAAATAAATAAAATCAGAAATGAAAGAGAAGATGTTACAAATATTACCACCAAAATACAAAATATCATGAGACTACTGTGAACAATTAGAGTTCCACATCAAGTTCGATAATCCAGAAAAAATAAGTAAGTTCTTAGACATACACAATCTACCAAGACTGAGTAAAAAAAGAAATGGAAAATTCAAACGTTAAATAAGGAATAAGGAGACTGAATCAATAATAATAATAATGATAACAAAATCTCCCACCAAAGAAAAGCTCTGGAACAGATGGCTTCATAGCAGAATTCTACCAACATTTATAGAAGAACTAATACTAATCCTTCTCAAACTATTTCAAAAAATTGAAGTACATCTAAACTCATTTTACAAAGCCAGCATCAAAACATCACATTGTACCCCATAAATATACACAATTCTTATGCATCAATTAAACAGAAATTTTAAAAATTCATTAAGAACCCATTGGGATGGGTTTAAAAGTTATTTGGACACGTTGAAATACAAGATTAGTGAGTTAAAGATTGCTAAATTTAAAACATAAAAATTCAGATAAAAAGAATAGAATGTGAGATGTTATATATATACATACTATCAGGGGAATTTTACCCCGATATTTCACATAGGTTCTTTTCTATTTTCCCTAAGTGTCGGCCAGTCTGAGAAATAAAGGGACGGAGTACAAAAGAGAGAAATTTTAAAGCTGGGTGCCCGGGGGAGACATCACACGTCAGCAGGTTCCATGATGCCCCCTGAGCCGTAAAACCAGCAAGTTTTTATTAGCAATTTTCAAAGGGGAGGGAGTGCACGAATAGGGTGTGGGTCACAGAGATCACATGCTTCAAGGGCAACAAAAGATGACAAGGCAGAAGGTTAGGGCAAAACTAGAATCACTAATAAACTTCCATGTCCAGCTGTGCACGCATTGTCATTGATAAACAAGGTTCAAGAGCAGAGAGCCGGTCTGACTAGAATTTCCTAATCGTAGCAAGCCTGGGGGCACTACAGGAGACTAGGGTGTGTTTCATCCCTATCTACATCTGCATAAGGCAGACACCCTCAGAGCAGCCATTTCAGTGGCCTCCTCTGGGAATGCATTCTTTTCCCAGGGCCGTTAATTATTAATATTTCTTACTGGGAAAAGAATTCAGCGACATTTATCTTACCCATTTTCAGTAATGAGAGAAATATGACTCTGTCCTGCCTGCCCACAGGCAGCCAGACTTCAAGGTTATCTCCTTTGTTCCCTGAAAATCGCTGTTATCCTGTTCTTAAGGTGCCCAGATTTCATATTTTTCAAATACTCATGCTCTACAAACAATTCGTGCAGTTAACGCAATCATCACAGGGTCCTGAGGCGACATTCATCCTCAGCTTACAAAGATGTCAGGATTAAGAGATTAAAGTAAAGACAGGCATAGGAAATCACAAGAGTATTGACTGGGGAAGGGATAAATGTCCATGAAATCTTCACAATTTATGTTCAGAGATTGCAGTAAAGACAGATGTAAGAAATTACAAAAGTATCAATTTGGGGAACTAATAAATGTCCATGAAATCTTCATAATTTATGTTCTTCTGCCGTGGCTTCAGCTGGTCCCTCCATGTGGGGTCCCTGACTTCCCGCAATGCATACATATATAATATATGTATATATAATGCACATATATAATGTCTCACATTCTAGTCTATTTTATTATCTGAATTAAAAAGTGTAGGGATACATACACACACACACACACACACATATATATATATATATATATATATATATATGATTGCCACACTGCCTACCACTCCTTAAGTACTAACATCAGATCAACTTCAGTCATTTGGAGGCCTATTCGCTTACAAATATGCAACCAGTGTTTTATAAGGGCTTTTGTCTACATCACCTCCATGAACCTTCACAAAAATCTTGTGATGTAGATAGGGATGAGAGTGATTTTTTAGTTGTTATTTTTGAGATGGAGTCTCGCTGTGTTGCCTAGGCTGGGGTGCAGTAGCACAATCATAACTCACTACAGCCTCAAACTTCTGGGCTCAAGAAATCCACCAACCTCAACCTCTTGAGTAGCTATAGCTAGGACTACAGGTGTGTGCCACCACCCCTGGCTGATTTTTGTATTTTTAGTAGAAACGGGGTTTCACCATGTTGGCCAGGCTGGTCTCAAACTCCTGACCTCAAGTGATCCACGTGCTTTGGCCTCTCAAAGTGCTGGGATTACAGGCATGAGACACCATGCCCAGCCATGAGTGCATTTAACACTCATTTTTCCAAGATAACTCAGAGAAACTTTCCCCAAGTTAGTCTCCCAAAGTTAGTAAGTTGTAGAATCAAGACTCTAATTTAGTCTTATGATTGCAAAGCATGATTTCCCCTCTTGACTACTAGTTCTCACATAATGTGGGGAATATCCATAACTTGGAGCTAAGTTACATTCACAATTTAATTTTTACAAAAGAAAACAATAAAATCCTTCAAAGTCACTTGTAACAGAATCTAAATTGATTTAGAATATAAAGTTGAAGTGTATGGGTTAGATATATATCCAAACGTAAAAAGACTACATACCTGAAAGACCACCTGCCTGTGCCTATATTTCTTTCTTAT
Source organism: Homo sapiens (assembly GCF_000001405.40). Classification (NCBI taxonomy): domain Eukaryota; kingdom Metazoa; phylum Chordata; class Mammalia; order Primates; family Hominidae; genus Homo; species Homo sapiens. The sequence continues at coordinate 37,564,920 of NC_000010.11, read as the reverse complement.
TTATTTATTTATTTATTTATTTATTTATTTATTTATTGAGATGGAGTCTTGCTCTGTTGCCAGACTGGAGTGCAGTGGTGTGATGATCTCGGCTCACTACAACCTCCATCTCCTGGGTTCAAGTGATTCTCCTCCCTCAGCCTCACAAGTAGCTGGGGCTACAGGTGCGCACCACCATGCCCAGCTAATTTTTGTATTTCTCCTAGAGACAGGTTTTCACCATATTGGCCAGGATGGTCTGGATCTCTTGACCTTGTGATCTGCCTGCCTCGGTCTCCCAAAGTGCTGGGATTACAGATGTGAGCCACTGCACCCGGCTACCTATATCTATTTCTACACCTATACACACTCATATACATGTGAAAACATTCCGTTTAAAAAATAGAAAAGATAGACTTTTATGTTATGAAAATATGCTGCTACTGAAAGAAAACTGAAGTCTTAAAACTTACAATAATGTGAGCAATTACATCATTATATTGAAACTCTACATAAACTCACCCAATAAATTAATGCCTTCATTTATAATGAGCTGTCCATGATGCAAGTAGTTCAAAATGGTTTCAAATTATTCAAGGCTTCAGTCAATTAAGAAAGCTCCTCTATGATCTTGCTTATTTCTCCAGACACTTGTGCTATCATTATAATAAGGAAAAGTCCCCCATAACAAAAAATAAAGTTAGAAATATATGAGAAAAAAATTGCTTAATATACCAGTAATTTTTACTCTTAAAACTTGACATTAATAAGTACAGAAGGTCAGGAGTTAAAAAGTCAGTACAGTTACAAAACAGATAAGATGAAATATGAAAACAATGTGTTACACTAACTTCTGTCCTTAAACGTGTGGGACAGCATACTGTCAAGGTTCTTTATTCACTTAAGTGTGCCTAAGAATCCAGGAGAAAAAACAGATTTCTCCATTTGTCTTTATAAACAAACATATTTAAGTCAAGAGTATACTCAATCCCAGCCGCTCTCTCAAAAACATGCTACAACCTGGTATGAGTAATGCTGGGAAACAAAAGCATACAGTAAGTTGCCTCTTACGAAGTCTCTTCTAATCAGCCACTTCCTTTGATTTAAATACTGCTTTAGTTTCCTTTCCTTTAAATATTTGTCTATCCTGTTAGCAAACTATTTCATAATAATATTCTTGATCTCCTAAATTTACATTTTTCTGCCCTTTAATAAAAGCAGCTGTGGTCTCTACAAATTTCAGTAGTGTTTTAATTTTTACTTATATTGTGTGTTTATTACTCAATATCTAAAAAGCATGTTTTAAAAGACTGAATTCATGCCTTTATACTTCCTCTGGAATGAACCAGGTTGCCTTTGTGGCATTCAACTTGGATTATTTTCCCAGCATCTTATCAGTATGGGGCTTTGTCCTTGGAAGGGAGTTTTGGCATTTGGTTTTGAGAGTTTATTTCCAGCCCTATCAGATCTTACTGCAGACTATTTGCCAATTGAATTGCTTCTGTCCTTTGTAACCCAGAGTTCCATCTAATGCTCCAAATCTAATTGACTTTTTAAAAATCCACATTTGGGGGCCACATGCAGTGCCTCATACCTGTAATACCAGTATTTTGTGTGGCTGATGCAGGAGGATCACTTGAGCCCAGGAAGTCAGGGCTGCAGTGAGCCGTGATTGCATCATTGCACTCCAGCCTGGGTGACAGAGTGAGACCCTGTCTCCAATTAAAAAAAAAAATCCACATTTTCTTACTTATTATACTACTGTAATTTTAAATTATAAGTAAGTTCCATTTTAAAGATCCATGATTTGTAATAGAATTTCTACCACTTTTGGAGCCAATGAAATAATTTTGCTTACAAATACGTTGATATTTAAAATTTTCTAAACATTTGGCCCTAACCATTGAACAATGAGTCTCTAGTCATAAAATAGCATAGGCAGGCAGAGAAGTGTAAGATGTGGCACAAGGATATAATCTCACCATTTGTTTGATACATTCATGTTCTTTAAGTTCATTATTCAAAACGAACATTCTGCCATAATGCTCTTAATCTGGCTGCTTCTGCTTTAGCCAATCCTACTAGATAATCTGGAGTTTTGTTTACATGATTCATGGGTCATCCTTTCCCCACTTTGCCTGTCATTTAACTTGCTAATTGATCACAGGGCTCTTACCACCTGAGTCAGTCTCCAGATCTCAATATAGCTTTCCAAGCAGCTCTGTTGGCCAGAGCCAGTAAATGAAACCTACTTGCCCTCCTCAACTAGGCAGTTTCAATGCTGCCTTGCATAAAAGATCCCTAATAGAATTCATTTGTGCATTTTTAAATTTATTCAAAAAAATATTTTTTGAGACCAGGCACAGTGGCCATGCCTGTAATCCCAGCACTTTGGGAGGCTAGGCTGGAGGATTGTGTGAAGTCAGGAGTTCAAGACCAGCCTGGGCAATATAGCAAGACCCCATCTCTACAGGGCAGGATCGCTTGAGCTCAGCAGTTTGAGGCTGCAGTGAGCTATGACCGCACCACTGATCTCTAACTTGGGTGACAGAGATCTTGTTTCTAAAATGGAATGCCTTTTTCAAGGCAAGCCTTATTCTATGTGATCAGGATGTAGTGGTGAAGAAAACTGTCTCTGCCTTGTGGAGCTTATGTAAATAAGGAAACAGATAGGCAACATAGGTGTGGTAAGTATTAGAAATAAAAGTGCAGCAAGGAGAGAATAACAGAGAGATCAGAGATGCATTTAAAATGTGGAGGTTAAAAAAGAACTCCCCTGAGGAGGTGACATTTGAGCAGAGACCTGAATGAGGTTAAGGAGTGAACCATGCACAGATCGAGGGGAGGCAGTTTCTATGTAAAGGGAACACAAGCCAGAAGGCCTGTTTAGCACTGCATTCCACATGGTCAAGGAACAGCAAGAAGACTTTTGTTGCTGGAGCAAAGTACACAAGGGGAAATGTGTATGAGTTAAGGTCAGAAACGTGGACAGGGCCTCATTATGTGGGGACATGGTAGGACTCATACATTTCACATCTGCCACCATGAGCATTTCCTAACTGAGACAGTGCATTGAGATTAAGAGTTTGGTTCTTTTGTTAGTTTGTTTTTAACCTTTTCCAACCACATTCAAAAGTAGAGTTGGTTTTATGGTGACTAGTCACCCTCCCACCTGTGCCCCTGCCATTCATTCATTGTCCCACCTCACCCTTGAGAGCTTCTTGTGTTGCCTTCCAGAGATATTTTGTGCATCTGTAAAAACATTCTGGCCAGGCACAGAGGCTTATGCCTGTAATCCCAGTACTTTGGGGGCCGGTGTGGGAGGATCACTTGAGCCCAAGAATTGGAGACCAGCCTGGGCAACATGGCACAACCCCATCTCTATTAAAAAATAACAATAAAATAAAAAAGAACGTTCCAGTACATTTTTTACCACACATTTTAAACAAACATTAACATACTGTATACATAGTTAAAAAAACAAAAAGAGACAAACAAAAATATACTATATACATCATAATTTACCTCGTAAGGAAATTTTGGAAAACTCAGCTCAGGATTCATCAGCAATTGAATAAACATGGCAGAACACACATATACTTTAGCCTCACTCTCCTACCTCCCAGTTAATGTCTGAAAATATACTAAAGATGTGGAAATACTGTACTACTGATTTTAAAAGGTAGCCTAGTCAGCATTTGGATTCAAAAGATTTGTTAAATCTGAATTTAGTCTCAAAGTATATTTATAAACATATTAGGCTAATTCTGAAGAGTCAATGACATTCTTGCTTTGGAATGATAGAAATGGCAACTGGGAAACTAGAGTTTAGGTTCTTCTGTCTTTGTCACTAACTTTCTGCATAACCTTCGGCAAGCCACTTCACAATGTGAAGGAAGGAAGGGAGGGAAGGAAGCAGGGAGGAAAGGAAAGGAGGGAGAAAGGGATAAAGAGAGGGAGAGAAGAGAAGAAGAAAGGAAGGGAGGAAGGAAGAGAGAGGAAGGGAAGGGGAGGGGAGGGGATGGGGAAGGGAGGGGGAAGGGGCGAGGGAAGGGGAAGAGAAGGTCGGTTTGGACTTGCTTAGCCTTTCCTGAGAGTGGAAATCTGTGTATCTGTGTGTGTGGGCACACATGTGTGTTTGCACATGTATGCATGTCTGTGTATGTACATGTGTCTGTATATGTGTGCATGAGTGTGCACACACAGTAATAAACAAAACAGACAAACCTAAGCCTTTATGAAGCTTCCATTCTAGGAGAAAAGAAACAAATAACATGAATAATTAAAAGATACAGTATATTAAATAATAATAAATGCTATGGAGGAAAAAAAAGAGGGGGTAGGAGGAGAAGAGAAAGTGAAGTTTTAGAAAGGGTGGCCAGGAAATGTCCAATTGAGAAGGTGACTTTTGAATAGAGATCTGGAGGTCTGGGAGTTAGAGGCAGAGAGAACAGCAAGTGCACAGGCCAGGGCAATAACAGCCACATGCTAATGATGGTGGAAGACCAGAGAGAAGAATCAGAGAAGGTGCCTACAACATTGATACTGTGCAAAGCTGCTGCGGAAGCTCTAAACTGCTTCCTGGGCTTTAATTTAAGTCACAAAATAAACCCCTATTTGGCTACGTCATTGTGGATGAGTTGTTGTTATATGCAGCTGAACAGAATCCTTAGTTAATTCATTCAGTTATTTTAAAATAATTTTAAGAAGGTTTGATTTGGTTTGGCTATATCTCCACCTAAATCTCATCTTGAATTGTAGCTCCCATAATCCCTACATGTTGTGGGAGGTAACTGAATCATGGGGGCAGGTCTTTCCCATGTTGTTCTTGTGATAGCGAATAAGTCTCACTAGATCTGATGCTTTTATAAAGGGCAGTTCCCCTGCACATGCCCTCTTTGCCTGCCACCATGTAAGATGTGCCTTTGCTCCTCTTTGCCCTCCACCATGATTGTGAGGCCTCTCCAGCCATGTGGTACTGTGAGTCCATTAAACCTCTTTCCTTTATAAATTACCCAGTCTCTGGTATGTCTTTATTAGCAGCGTGAGAACAGAATAAAACAAGGCTATTTTGGTACCAGTTGTTATATTCTTTGGGAAAGTAGTTTTCAAGAGCCTTACAATATTTTTTATCATTTGATCCAGTGATTCCCACTCTGAGAATCTGTGCAAAGAAAATGATCTGAAACCCAAGTGAGAAAAAATTAAACATAATGTGTTATGGGGCTGAATTATGCCTCCCCCTAACCCCCAATTCATATATTGAAAACCTAACCCCAGTACCTCAAAATGTGACTGTATTTGGAAACAGGGCCTTTATAGAGATGATTAAATTAAAAAGAGCCTATTAGAATGGGCCCTAATTCAATCTGAGCAGTGTTTATATAAGAAGAGGACATTTGAACACACAAAGAAACACCAGGGATGCCCAAATATAGAGGAAAGACAGTGTGGACACAGGGAGAAGGTGACTAATGGCAAGCTGAGGAGAGGGGCCTCAGCAGAAACTAATCCTGCTCACACCCTGATCTTTCACTTCCAGCCTCCAGACAGTGAGAAAATAAATTTCTGTTGCCTAAGCAACCTAGATCTGTTGTATTTTGTTATGGCAGCCCTAGCAAACTAATAGACAATGATTTTTTAAATCATTATATATATTTAAAATAGAGAAAAATTAGAAATGGCCTAAATGTTCAATAATTGGGAAAAGAATATCATACAGTCATCAAAAAGCTGAGGCTGTATGGAAGAAACTGCTTACAAGATAAGGTTTAGCCAAAAAAAGCAAGATGCCAAACACAGTGCCTCTCACTTGCAGTCCCATTTACTTGAGAGGCTGAGGGGAGCGGATCACGTGAGGCCATGGGTTCAAGACCAGCCTGGGCAACACAGCAAGACCTCACCTCTAAAACAAAAAACATCATATGTACCCCATAAGTATGTACCACTATGAAGTACCCGTAATCATTAATAAAAATAAAATAATTTTTAAAGATTATATCTTGTCTTCTGGGTTATTTTTTTAAACCAAGATATATATATATACACACACATATATACACACACACACACCCATATATATATACACACACATGAATATATATATTTTTTGCCTCATAAACTTCTCTCCCTTGCATTTCCTGTTTCTCTATATATACTTTTGACTATGCTTCATAAAGCCTGTGGTCAGGGGGAGAAAACTAGAAGGAAGAAAAGCCCATTGTAGTATTGTTTTAGATAATTTTTATTGTTATTTATATTCTCCTTTCTCCATTAAAGAGTTGAACCTATTGTTATTTGAAATACACTTTACTTACATAAACAGACAAAATAGGGAACTCTATAAGTGGACCTGTATGAATGTACTCTCAGAGAGTAGACTTCTGAAAGGAAACTGTATTGTTTGGACTGTGGAGGTGGTTCCTGGTCTCAAGAGCACCTACTATATTGATAAAATTCCTGCTCACATGTTCAGTGCAGCAGGTTAAAAGCTGTTATGCATGTCATGCCTTCTCTCATTTTCTTTTTTTGAGACAAGATCTTATTCTGTTGCCCAGGCTGGAGTGCAGTGGTATAATCACAGCCCACTGCAGCCTCTACCTCCCAGGCTTAAGCAATCCTCCCACCTTAGCCTCCCGAGTAGTAGCTGGGACTGCAGGTGCATGCTACCATGCCTGGCTATATATATATTTTTTTTTTTGAGGTGGAGTCTTGCTCTGTTTCCCAGGCTAGAGTGCAGTGGCACGATCTCGGATCACTGCAAGCTCCACCTCCTGGGTTCACACCATTCTCCTGCCTCAGCCTCCTGAGTAGCTGGGACTACAGGCGTCCACCACCATGGCCGGCTAATTTTTTGTATTTTTAGTAGAGATGGGGTTTCACTATGTTGGCCAGGATGGTCTCAAACTCCTGGCCTCAAGTAATCTGCCCATCTAGGCCACCCAAAGTGCTGGGATTACAGGTGGGAGCCACTGCACCAGCTAGAAGTCTGGATTTTATCTTAAGCTATTGAAAAGTTGTTAATCAGGAGGGTGACCTCTCTCCCTGGCCCTCTCTATCACTTCAATCCTTCCTCAAGATGGCTCCAAGGTTGATATTTCAAGGACAAGTATCTGATTATATCTCTCTGGATTTAAAAACTTTCCAGTGGCTCCTGTTTGTCTTCTGATAACACCTAAACTTCTTAGCCTGGCCTACAAGGCCCTAAATGTTCTTGCACCATGTTTCACTCCATACTTACTTTTCTCTGTGTCTCTTTGTCCCCTTTGCCTGGCCATGCCAAGCGATTTCCAGGTTGCCTCATGGGTTCTGCCATGACTTTTCTCAGGATGCATCTCTCTAGGCACAGTATTCCCTACAACATCATCAAAAGAAAATCTATGTATCCTGCAAGACAAAGGTCAAACGTCAAGTCACCTTTCCTAATTAGTGCCCCCCCAGATAAAAGAGACTGTTCCCACTGCACATGGTGGCTCATGTCTGTAATCCTAGTTACTTGGCAGGCTGAGGGAGGAGGATCGCTTGAGCCTGAGAGTTGGAGACCAGCCTGGGCAACACAGCAAGTCCCCACCACTAGAAAAGGAATTTTAAAAAAATAGATGATTTCTTCCTCTGCATCCTTAATGTTTGATAGCACACCTCTGTTTACATGCATCTTTCCCTGTTCACACATGACCCTTTCTTACTCATATTGTATTCCCTACCAATGAGCACGGAGCTCGGAGTAGTTTATTGTGTAAAAAGAATGGATTTCCCCCATTTTGCATGTTTAGATTACACATGATAATTCTCCAAGGGAGCAGGAAATCAGACGCTTGAAGCTCAGTGAGAATTTTAATGAAAATGTCAGTTGAGACTTATAGCAAATCTACCTTTGAGCTGCCAGTATTCCCAACATTAGTGACATCATCATGTTGAGCCCCGTTGGTAAGGAGGTAACTGGGAAGGAGTTTGAACAAGTAAAAATATCTATGGGCACAAGCTATTTTGAAGCCTATTTACTTGTTAGCCACCTCTCATTATTCTATGGTTGCCACACCATTTCCACAGTCCTCATCCAATCACAGATAGTACAAGGGGATTCATTAGCTGCTTGAAGCAGGACTGTCAGAGACAGAACTTGTCACATCATAATTCCTGCTAAAGCTGGACATGGTTGCTTACACCTGTAATCTCAGCACTTTGCGAGGCTATAGTAGGAGAAATGTTTGAGGACAAGAGTTCAAGACAAGCCTGGGCAATATAGCGAGACCACATCTCTACAAAAGATTTTAAAAATTAGCTGGGTGTGGTGGCATGCCTGCAGTCCCAGCTACTCATGGGGCTGAGGTGGGAGGATTGCTTGAACCCAGGAGGTTGGGGTTGCAGTGAGCTCTGATTATGCCACTACATTCCAGTATGGGCGACAGAGTGAGACCCTGTTTGAGAACTTTAAATAATTTCCTGGTAAGTGCTCTGCGCTGTGGAGTGTAGGTGGGGGAAAATAAAAAAGTAAAAAACTTGTTCCCTATATTTGGGGAAGGGAGATCATGAATGTGTCCACAAAAGGCACCAATTGATGTTTGTCAATTGACGGGCAAGATATAATTAGAAGATAAACTAGGGCTATATTATGAAGCACTGGATGCTGTTTTACAGGCAGCAAAAGCTGCAGGTGTTTTTCAAGGTCTCTTGACCTTGATGTTGAAGGTCTCCTTGATGTTGAAGGAGTACATGGGTCCTACTAGCTTGTGTCTGCTTATCATAGTCCAGGCCACAAATGAGGATGAAGCAAAAGAGAATCCAAAAATTACCAGATGTTAATGGCTACAGAAAGAAAGAAAAAGAATCAGAAAATGACCCTGCCAAGTGCTCAAAGTTCTCTACTGCCTATCAAAGGGCTTGCCGTATGCTGAGAAACACCTTCAGAACGAGTGTCCATCCTGTCTTTTTAGCAGCTTCTGCTCAGAAGGTGGGGCAGAAGTGGCCTGGAGGAGTGAAGAAGTGACCAGGGAAATATATCTGGGACCAGTCTGTGCACTTCTGCTCTCCAGGTTTGAGAACTGCTGTCACTGATTACTGTTGCGTGAGTCCTTACTGAAAAAAGTCATGATGGGGACACCACAGGCAGATGTGTGCCCATGCCAAAGACCAATGGTGCCAAGTTCTCTTGCTCCCCAGACATGGCTGATTCAGAAGCTTTGTCAAGTGGACGTCATTGCCTGCACCCACATCATAAGCAGCACAACTTAGGAGCGGGCAGCTGGCTGCAGCTCTGATGAGATGTAACCATGACCAATTTCTGAAGAAAGACATGAAAACTTTAAATCAAGCTATAAACGGTGATGGCCCTTCCTTCCATGAATTCTATTTGTGGTGATTTCATTTGGTCTTAAGCATCAAGCAAATGGCAACTTAAAAAAATAATAATTTTACTTTTTGTAGAGATAGGGTCTCACTATGTTACCCAGGCTGGTTTCAAACTCCTGGCCTCAAGCGATCCTCCCTCCTCAGCCTCTTAAGCTGGGAGGATTACAGGTGTGAGCCACAGCACCTGGCCCAAAATGCAGTTTCTTGGTGAAGTTTAAGTCTGGGTATCTCCTTATTTACTGGTCAAAATTTTCAGCTGAATTTTTTGTTTTGTTTTTAGCTTTCCACACATTTATGTCTTGGCTCACTAGTCTAATTTAATACGCAGGCCATGGTGTTTCCAGAGCAGGGGCCCATGTAGTTCACTGTACATAACAAACGTGTGCAAAACATCTGTAGCTGGACTGACTTAGCAAGTTTTTAGCCTTTTAGATCGTAGCAAGACATGAATATTTATTAACTATCATCTCATATAGAAGCCATCTTCACATAGCTCCAATTGCACACAAAAAGTCCTTTACAGCTATGTTTAGCTAGCTTTCGATCTCTGAATCTCTCAAGGGTTTCTTACATTCCCATTTGTTTGGCCAGAATCTTCTTTCACCTTTTATGCCGAGGTAGAACCTGTGTCTCCAAAGACAAATAAGGAATTTAATTCTGTGGCTTTTTTTTTTTCCTAGTGATGAGAAATGGCACTATTTGTCAGATCTACTGTCCACCAAAGCCCATGCCCTTCTCCAACACGGGGACCCAGGGAGAAGCAGGGAAGGTGAATCCTTGCTCTGAATACCAACTGTAAACACAAATTCACCCTGGAACTCAGAACCTAAACCTTGGTTTTATCTTTATCTTTTTTTTTTTTTTTTTTTTTGAGATAAGGTCTCACTCTGTTGCCCAGGCTGGAATGCAGTGGTGCAATCATAGTTAACTGTAATCTCAGCTAGTTGGGAGGACAGGGCCAGGAGTTCAAGACCAGCCTGAGTGAAATAGTGAGACTCTGTGTCTTAATTTTTATTTTTAGACAAAGTAAAACAAAGATGTTAGTAGCATCTGATGTTAATAATATTTGTGACCACATCCAATTAGCTAATTTGTTTCTGATTAGCTGCTTACATTAGCCATGTCACCTTAAATAACTTAGGTTTTTACCTCTTTCTAACATAAGCTTAGCAGCAGTATACCTTTAGATAAGTCACTTACAGTTTCACTTGAAAGGGCTCAAAAGTATAATTGAAGATGGAATTAGACACACCGGGTCCAAAAAATTATGTACCCAACAGTCAGCTTTTGTGAGTTGGTGCCTCCCCAGCCCTGTCATCCATATTTTAAAATGTCGACTGTGTGCACCAGGTTCATCATCCAAGCTGCTCTGGAAGTTGTCTCTGCTGGTGACAGTAAAGTCGACCCACCCTGTCCTCCCCACTGCCTGGTGAAAATGCAGACTATCAGTTCTGTGGCACTGTCACCAGCACATTGCGGCCTTCTTTATTTAGGTGCAATGCTGGTAAGCAAAGTGCATCCCTCGATCACATTTCCCCACTGCTTTTATCTGCCTGCAACACCTAAATGTTCATGGCCAAAAAGAGAGTGAAGACTTGAAGTTCCCTGGGGTCCTCAGAACCCAGAGAACAGGCACCTCCAACAGATTATCACTTGGCTTTATTGGTCCACGTATCCAAAAAGGTTAGATATTAAACTATTTCCCAGCATTATCAATGCAGGAGCCTTGCTCTCTCTTCCTGCTTAACAGAGATATAACAACAGATTCAGAAATGTCTGGTGGGGCCAGCTCTTGGGTTTATTTTTTTAAAAAGATTTTGGGGCAGATCTGTGCTCTGAGGATAAAGCTAACTACACTAAAAACAAGTCCTTCTCGGGATTGCCTGTGTCCCTTCCCTTCTCCACACCTTCCAGAGACTTTCACGTTCAGAAAGAAAGTCAGGCTTTTTTAAACAAACAAACAAACAAACAGTAGATGTTTCAAGCTAGCCCTACACCGTTCCAGCTCTCTCCCCACTGTCCTTTTTATCCCCCGACTCCTGGCTCCTAGTCAATGACAAAAGCTCTCCAGGTGTATTTATGATGGGTTATCTATTGTTGAACTTATAATTGCACTAATCCCTTGGCTAGGGGCTGCTCTGCTCTGATGATCACAAAGGTGACTGGGTAGGAGTAGGGAGGACAGTGCCTCATCCAGGAACAGTATATTTATTTATAGAATAGGCCTTTTCCTCTCCTTCCTAGAGTCATCTGTTAATGCAGCAGTTGCCATATCCTCAAACACTCCCTTTGGGAGATATGATGGGGGCCCAGGGCTCCACAGTTAAAGGTCAAAGTTCTCAGAGTCAGGGCACCAAAAGACTCCTCTCCCCATCTCCACAGGACAAACCCTGGTCCAGGGCTTGGGCAAGGAGTGAAAATGAAGGCAATTTGCATAAAGCTGGAAGAGCACTCTTGAATCCACAAGGCCTGCTTAAGCTCAGAACTATTTGGCCCATGATTATATGCTGCTCTGTGTAACTGATTATTTCTTGTGTTCAAGTTCTGACTCAGCCAGATAGCAATTCAGTTGTGAGTACAGAGCTGGGTACAAAATTAATTCTCAGAAAGCCCTTGTGGATTCTCAGATGTGGATTCTTATAAGTGACTATTATTAGTATTAACATATGTTTTTTGAAGACGGTGGTGATTGATGATAATGATGATGATGATTGATGATGATGATGACTGGTGATGGTGGCCGAATCCTATTGGAGGAAGAAACCTTGTGTCTTTTTTATTTATTTTCTCCCTCTTCCCAGAAAGTACAGTGCAAATAGATTTATAAAAACCATTTGCTAGATTATCAAATAAAACATAATTATAACCATTCCATGTCTGTCACATGAAACCTTTTTTTGTTGTTTGAGACAGGGTCTAGCTCTGTTGCCCAGGCTGGAGTGCCATGGCATGATCTCAGCTCGCTGCAACCCCCACCTGTTCCTGGGTTCAAGCAATCCTCCCACCTTAGCCTCCTAAATAACTAAGACTACAGGCATGCACCACCATGCCTGGCTAAATTTTTTATTTTTTGTAGAGATGGGGCTTCACCATGTTGCCCAGGCTGGTCTTGAACTCCTGGGCTCAAGCAATCCACCTACCTCAGCCTCACAAAATGCTAGGATTTCAGGTGTGAGCCACTGCACTCAGCCTCTCACATGAACATCTAAGTTGCTTGTTGGTGACTTTGATTAGGCTTGATGCTTTTCTCTTTCTTAAACAAAACAAAAATAAAATATTAGGAGCCTGGTGATCAGTTCTCCATATAGCTCATCCGAGTTTGTGCTACCACAAGGTAGTGGTTCTCAAACTATAAGTACCTGGGTGGTTACAATAAATCCCCGAGTACCTGGGATTACAGGCATGTGCAACCATACCTGGCTAATTGTTTGTATTTTTAGTAGAGATGGGGTTTCTCCATGTTGGTCAGGCTGGTCTTGAACTCCCGACCTCAGGTGATTGCCCACCTTGGCCTCCCAAAGTGCTGTGATTACAGGCATGAGCCACCACGCTTGGCTGTGGAGCTAGCTAGGTTCGGGCAAACTGGCTCACACGTGTAATCTCAGCACTTTGGGGGGCCGAGGTGGGAGGATCACTCAAGGCCAGGAGTTTGAGACCAGCCTGGGCAATATAGTGAGATCCCATCTCTGCAAAGTGAGAGCCTGTCACTATGCTGGGTATGGTGGTGCCCCTGTGGTCCCAGATACTTGGGAGGCTGAAGTAGGAGGATAACTTGAGCCCAAGAGCTGGAGGCCAGAGTGAGCCATGATCACACTACTGCACTCCAGCCTGGGCAACAGAGTGAGATCCTGCCTCTAAAACAACAACAACAAAAAACCCACTATAGCTGGGCCTTAGTGTTTCTGGTCCTAGTTTTCAAGAAGATGAGACCTTAAAGTTCTCACGCAATGCTGCTGCTCCTAGTGATCTGGAGCCACACTTGGAGAACCGCTGCCCCAGGGTGTGTTAGCAATGTCTCAGGTTCTCCTACCTGGAACTTTATTTGTGGGTTTAAGAAAAGTCCAGGAAATGGACTCACAACTCTGTGTAAAGAGACCTGTAGGGAGGCCCCTCAGATAATTCTTCTCAGAGGATTGCTGCCCCCATCTCAGCAAGGGCCCACTTTCTCTAGAATTTAGAGATTGTGTGAGACAAAGGTTGCTGAGAGATTTTAATTTGGGGCAACCAAACGTGGGGATCCTGTTCTGATTTGTTTAGACTCACCTCTCCACTCATCTATTCTCCTCCCTCCAGTCCCAGGTGATTTTTCTAAATCAGAAACCAGATCATCCCAGTCTCCTGTTCAGATGCCTGTGATGGCTCATGGTTACTCTACAGCTTGACCCCTGCCTGGCTCTTCGAATTTACCTCCTGTTACTCCCGACCTCCCAGCATTCCCTCCCTCGCCTCACTCCTCTGCACGTGGTTTCCTTGGATGTAGAGTGTCTTTCCTGTTCCCTCTCACCCGCATCCTATCCACAGGGCTGTCTTCCCACAGATCTCCAAGGAAAGTATACCTTCCTTGTCTCCCCTCTGCTGGCTGCCATGGCCACAGCCTGAACCCCCGACAACCCTCACGACCAGAGATGTTGTGGCATTGGTGGTTTGCTGTCAGACTACCCTGCTGGGCTATGGAGGGACGGGGACTGGTCTATTGAATTCCTGATATTCAGCATGCTGCTGGGACTGCAGAAGGAGCTTGGTAAAGGTTTACTCAATAAATGGAAACTGCTGAAGACTCAGTGGTAACCAACCACACACTTCATCAGTCATTACTCATGTTATCAGAAAGAAGTCCTGATCTAGACCCCAAGAGAGGGTTTTTGGGTCTTGTGCATGAAAGAGTTCAAGGAGAATCCCATAGAGTAAAGTGAATGCAAATTTATTAAGAAAGTAAACGAATAAAGAATGGCTACTCCATACGCAGAGCAGCCCTCAGGGCTGCTGGTTGCCCATTTTCATGGTTATTTCTTGATTATATGCTAAACTAGGGATGGATTATTCATTCCTCCCCTTTTTAGACCATATAGGCTAACTTCCTGATGTTGCCATGGTATTTGTAAACTGTCATGGAACTGGTGGGAGTGTAGTAGTGAGGATGACCAGAGATTACTTTTGCCATCATCTTGGTTTTGGTGGGTTTTAGCCAGCTTCTTTACTGCAACCTGTTTTATCAGCAAGGTCTTTAAGACCTGTATCATATGCTGACCTCCTATCTCATCCTGTGACTAAGAATGCCTAAACCTCCTGGGAATGCAGCCCAGCAGGTCTCAGCCTTATTTTACCAAGCCCCTATTCAAGATGGAGTTGCTCGGGTTCAAACACCTCTGACACTTGGGAGATTTTGGACACAAAACAACAGGGAAAAAGTTGCATAGGAGTGTGTTGCAAGTAAAGATGAGAGGCAGGGATGGAGAGGGGGTGGGTGGGATGACCAGTGTTCCCGTTAAGTCACCTGCAGTAAATGAACTCCCTTGGCTTTTGTTGTCCTAAAGCAGTGGTCTCCAACCCCTGAGTGGCAGACTGGCCTGTTAGGAACCAGGCTGCACAGCAGGAGGTAAGCAGCAGGTGAGCAAGCATTACTGCCTGAGCTCCACCTCCTGTCAAATCAGCGTCTGTATCAGATTCTCACTGAAGCATAAACTATATTATGAACTGCTCCTGAAAGGGATCTAGGTTGTGCACTGCGTATGAGAATCTAATGCCCAATGATCTGAGGTAGAACAGTTTCATCCCAAAACCATTCCCCCTGTATCCCCCAGTCTGTGGGAAAATTGTCTTCCATGGAACTGGTCCCTGGTGCCAAAAAGGTTGGGGACTGCTATACTAAAGTGCAGTGACAAAGGTGTGCCCAGGAGCAAACAAAGGAAGCTCTAGAGGTAGAATTTGAGGCACTGGCTTTGGGGGAGGGGGAGAAAGTTGAAGGTTTTGCAGAAAGAAAGAATCTTCCGAAATGACAGTATCTTTAAGAGTTGCCTACCTGCCAGCTCCTTAGTCCCTAGGTCCTCAGGTCCCCAAGTCCCCTCTTCTCTCCTAACTAGGTAGGAGCACCTTTCTTGTTCCCTTTTGATTTGATGGCCTTAGACAGTGACAAGTTGCTTAGAGTTCCAGATTTTGCATGATGCCTAGGAAAACAAGGCATCTTATTCTGCACTTCATATGTAAATCAACTTCAATTCTGGAGCTATTTTTATATTTATGAAGTTGACTTTCAGACCATAGCATCAAGCTTATAATAAAAGCACTGGACTGGGAATCAGGAACATGCTGGTTCCCCTTTCTTGCGGTGACCAGCTAGCTGCTTGCAGTTGGGCAGCTGCATTTTCAATTACCTTAACAGCTCAGGCAGCACACTTATTAAAACTGCCCACTCAAAGTTTATTTATGACTCTTGCAAACCAACTTGCAGAATTGTTTTCCATTCCAAAGATAGTGCCTTAGAAAATCTGGACCTGCTATCAAAGATCTTCCAGGGATATCACTCCCTGCAAACTTCAATAGCCAGGAAATCAGGATAAACAAAAGCAAACCTAGTGGAAAGTTCTCAAGTTCCAAATGGTTGATCTTAAAATCTGGTTGAATTTATCAGCTGAAACAACCACTGATGGAGTATTTCTGGTTGACCTCTCTGCCCTCTTCCCAGTTGCCACCCCTATTCTGAAAGGTGAGCTTCTCGGCCTTTCTATCTGCATCTGCATCCTCCCCTGGGATAAGGGCCTGTGTTCTTCTGGAAACCAATTTAAACCCAAAAGGGCCTTTCAAAACACATTAAATAGTTGGAAAGGATCCCTCTCTTTTTAACCTCTGAGCTCATTCTCTCTGGGAATCAAGTGACATTTTGATTCCAGTGTGTAAGCTGTTTTTTCGTTAGATCAGTTTTTGCATAAACATGCCTCTGCAAAATTATTTTCGTATTTTAAGGAAACTTCTTTCAAGTGTCCAGTCAGACACTTCTGTTCCCTTCACAAACCCCCAACTCAATGCCCTCTCACCCACCAACTTCCCATTTCTTAACAACTTATATTCAAACTGATTCTACTGTTTGTTAAAGGATTTCTCTGAGCAGGCATGGTGGCTCATGCCAGTAGTCCCAACACTTTGGGAGGCCAAGGCAGGTGGATTCCTTGAGCCTAGGGGTTCAAGACCAGCCTGGGCCACAAAGCAAGAACGTGTTGCTACAAAAAATTAAAAAATTAGCCACGTGTGGTGGCATGCACCTGTGGTCCCAGCTACTCAGGAGGTTGAGGCGGAAGGATGGCTTAAGCCTGGGGGATGGAGGCTGCAGTGAGCTATGATCATGCCACTGTCCTCCAGCCTGGGCAATAGAGCAAGACCCTGCCTCCCACAAAAAAGATTTGCCCAACATTCTGAAATTCCCACTTCTTAAAGTTATGTTCCCTGGGCTATAGCCAAGGCAAGGCCGACTAGGCTGGATGAAGCCCATCTGGAGTCATCATTGTTCCCAGGAGCCATTGGCAGGGAGGTTGGTCAGCCCTGACAAGGGGGACTTGGGACCAGCAAGTCAGGTGCAGAGTGGGGCAGAGGACCAGCATCCAGGCCAAACAAAGATGAAAGCAGCTTTCTCACTGCATGGCTGACAGGAGCCTGGCAGCCATGGTCAGAAAAGCAGGCCAAGGAAGTTCTCTTCCGCCACTGAGAGCTCAAGTGTTCTTTCTAATAGGTTTGCAAGAGTAAGGCATAGCCCTTCTATTTGCATCTGCAAAGATGCCTTTTTTTCTGACATTGTTATTGAAAGCTTTGTCTAATTTGGTTTGGTTTTCCTTAAACAGACTCTTTGTCTCTCCATTGTAAAACACGTCCTGTCACCAGGGCTCTCATGAGCAGCCACGTGGGCAAGTCAGGGCACAACTCTAGGGGGTGCCATTTACATAGACTCCAATATACTTATCAAGATAATGAGCAGCCTCTCTCCTTTTTAAAACTTAGGGATATAATTTTTATTTTTATTAATTAATTTAGTTTTTTTTAGAGACAGGCCGTCTCTATGTCACCCTGGCTGGAGTGCAGTGGTGAGATCATAGCTCATTGCAGCCTTCACCTCCTGGGCTGAAGAGATCCTCCCAGCCAGCTCAGTCTCCCAAGTAACTGGGATTACAGGCATGTTTCACCATGCCCAGTTAATTTTCGTATTTTTTGCAGAGAAGGTGTCTCCCTATGTTGCCCAGGCAGGCCTCGAACTCCTTGACTCATGTAATCCTCCCACTTCAGCCACCTTTATTTTTCTTACAGGCTTCAAGAAAGGTAAAGTGCCTGGGTGGAAAGAATCCTTAAGTAACAGCTGGGCACGGTGGCTCATGCCTGTAATTTCAGCACTTTGGGAGCCCAAGGCAGGCAGATCACTTGAAGTCAGGAGTTTGAGACCAGCCTGACCAACATGGGGAAACCTCTTCTCTACTAAAAATATACAAATTATCCAGGAGTGGTGGTGCACACGTGTAGTCCCAGCTACTTTGGAGGCTGAGACACCAGAATTACATGAATCTGGGAGGCAGTGGTTACAGTGAGCTGAGATTGCACCACTTCACTGCAGCCTGGGTGACAGAGAAAGACTCCTCTAAAAAAAAAAAAAAAAAGAGAGAGAGAATCCCTAACTAACAATCCTACCACTTCACTGCCACCAAGTTACTGTGTAGCTTTAGATGGTCACTTTGCTATTCAAGTCTTTTATCCATAAAATCACAGAGAAGAACTAGATAATCTCTAAGGTTCTTGCCCTTTGGAAATAGTATCTTCTGGTCAGCAGAAAGTGGCATTGCTTTGACCCATAAGTATCATGATGGGGAGCTTCAGGTAGTCATTGTCTTCCATCAATACTGGAGGGAAGGTTGGTTTTTCCTCCCCACTTCTGGTATCTCCAGCTGGGACTGACATCACACAGAGTGACAGGAGAAAAGAACGCAGATTGACAGGTGCATGGGAGCCCTCACAAGAAAAATGAAGGCATAGAGAAGCAGCTTACACAGAGGGCTGAAGGCTTCTGTACTAACTTAAACAAAGAGTAGTAAATTGTGGACAAGTAACCAGAAAGATAAGGGTTACTCTTACAAAGTTTGTTTATATTAGGAATATAAACCTCAACATTTCATGTTTGTACACATTTGGAAAAGTGTACTCTCAGCCACACAGGATGCTGGGGTGTAGACACCAAGATAAAGGTGAGTAGAACATCTCCCAGAAATTCCAAGTGGTATTTTCAGCCTCCGTGAACTTTACCTTGGTCCAGGGTCTAGCTCTCAGCTCTGCAGGCCAAGACCCTGACTGTGACAGAGCCATCTGACTGGCAGGTATTCACCCTAACCAAGGCCGTGTAATCACAGCTGATGCCAGGCCACCAGTTTTATTTAGGATGATAATGAAACTGCCACAAATCAGAGCATTGGAACTTGGCATGAGCAGCATATTCTCTTTCTATAGAGATTTTTGACAGTTTCATAAAAATGGAGTTAGAAGGAGGGGGCTCACATAATGCCCTGAGCTGGCTACATCTAGCTATAGCATTCATCATCACAGGTAGAGTCTTGCTTGTCAGTCCAGAATCTAGACTCATATTTGGGATGCTCTTGCTAACTGGAAGGAAACACTCTAAATTCATTGCCTCAAGCTCCATTTGCCCTGGGCAGGGGCTTGGATGGGCAACCGGGGCTTGGATGGGCAGCCACAGCTCTCAGCTTACTGTACTTCCCTGGCTGAGCCTCTCTCTTCTAATTGGAAGATTTGTTATATTTATTGGGATCTCAAGAACCTAGAAGGTACTCTGTCTGCTTCAGGTAACCAGGCATCTCTTTACTTTGATCCATTAGATGGTCATCTCGCAGTTTAACTCCCAGGAAAAAGATAAAGTCATTTTCCTTATTTACAAGATTTTGGCCAGTCACAGTGGTGCATGCCTGTTGTCCCAGCCACTTGGGTGGCTGAGGTAGGAGGATCTCTTGAGCCTAGGAGTTCAAGGCTGCAATGAGCTATAATTGTGCCACTGCACTTCAGCCTGGGTGACAGAGTGAGATCTTGTCTCTTAAAAAAAAAAATAAATAAATAAATAAATAAAAATAAAGATTTTGGTATGCCTCCTTACCACTACTCCCAAGTTTTGAAAATAGGACTAGCTGACATCTTTCATTAACAACTTGATGCTATTTTATAAAGCTTTAAAAGACCTATAGCTGAGGGGCTTAACCACTTTCAGCATACTGTAAAAATAAAATTGCTACACCTTCCTTTAAGAACAGGTGTAATTGTCAAGAAACACACAAACCAAACTTACTAAATACAGCACAGAAATATAACAGGAGAGGGTGGTAACTGATTAATGGTACACAACAGGGTCTTTCATATTTTTTCAGATAACCAAGGAAGGCCTAGCAGTGACCTATTTTGAATGAAGGCTGTTCAAGAAACTCAATACAGGAATCAGAGAGTTGAACTGTTTAGTCAAAGAATAGATGAAAGTAGGAAACAACCGTGTGTGACTACAAAAACATTTAAAAATGTTTAGGCATGAGCATATATCCTCTGTAAAATAAAAGCACTGATTTAGTTACATATGTGAACAAAGCTGGCAAATTTAGACATTTAAAATATCAGGGCTGAAAGATAAAGAAAGGTACAAAATTCTCAAGAATATTTCAGATTGTAAACATTTTTCCCTGGACACCAGAATGTCAGGACTCCAGCACCAATGCCACAGGGAACCCTTTTTACAACCTAAACAAGCTGCAGGAAATAAGAACTTCCAGCCTGGGATAACTTGAGCCAGAAGAGATGCAATCTACCTGCTGGTACATGGGCCTTACAAAGAAATGGAGTGATAAGCAGACTAAACAGGAGAGTTTTACCCCTTCTCTCATTAATGTGAGCATGGTTGTCTTATCTGAGTCGCTGAGGCAGATCCCATCCGGGGGCTCTCACCTCCACAGGACACCAACACAGGGGCCTTCTCTGCAGAGGACTCCAGCAGCCCCTGTGGGGAAAAGGATTACATTGAATACATCAGTCTTCAGCTTCTTAACCCCAGATATCCTTCAACAACTTCCTCATTACTAAACTAATCACCCCCTTTAAAACAATGCAGGGGGAAAAATCAGCAGGGGGAAGCCTTTTAAAAAACAAATCTAATTACAGAAGTGTCTAAAGAGAAACTGTTATAATGAATATAGAGTGGTCTTATCTTCTGTTGAACAAACAACCTGGAAAAGTTTTCTTCTGATCTAAAAGGGGAAAAGTGTACTTATAATAGTGGTCACTCACCAAGAACCACATGGGTAAAAGAGAAACACACCCATGATTAAGTTTCTCATGATGATAAGCTCAATGTAAATGGAACTTTCTTTTTTTAAAACGCAAAAACAAAAACAAGTGACAGCTGCTCCCGTTACATGTTGATCCTTTGTATGTGTTTTATTTAGCTACTACAGGTGGAAATGTTTCTTTTTTTTCTTTTATTATTATTATACTTTAAGTTTTAGGGTACATGTGCACAATGTACAGGTTTCTTACATATGTATACATGTGCCATGTTGGTGTGCTGTACCCATTAACTCATCATTTAGCATTAGGTGTCTCTCCTAATGCTATCCCTCCCCACTACCCCCACCCCACAACAGTCCCCGGTGTGTGATGTTCCCCTTCCTGTGTCCATGTGTTCTCATTGTTCAATTCCCACCTGTGAGTGAGAACATGCAGTGTTTGGTTTTTTGTCCTTGTGATAGTTTGCTGAGAATGATGGTTTCCAGCTTCATCCATGTCCCTACAAAGGACATGAACCCATCATTCATTTTTTTATGGCTGCATAGTGTTCCATGGTGTATATGTGCCACATTTTCTTAATCCAGTCTATCATTGTTGGACATTTGGGTTGGTTCCAAGTCTTTGCTATTGTGAATAGTGTCGCAATAAACATACATGTGCATGTGTCTTTAGAGCAGCATGATTTATAATCCTTTGGGTATATACCCAGTAATGGGATGGCTGGGTCAAATGATATTTCTAGTTCTAGATCCCTGAGGAATCGCCACACTGACTTCCACAATGGTTGAACTAGTTTACACTCCCACCAACAGTGTAAAACTGTTCCTATTTCTCCACATCCTCTCCAGCACCTGTTGTTTCCTGACTTTTTAATGATTGCCATTCTAACTGGTGTGAGATGGTATCTCATTGTGGTTTTGATTTGCATTTCTCTGATGGCCAGTGATGATGAGCATTTTTTCATGTGTTTTTTGGCTGCATAAATGTATTCTTTTGAGAAGTGTCTGTTCATATCCTTTGCCCACTTGTTGATGGGGTTGTTTGTTTTTATCTCGTAAATTTGTTTGAGTTCTTTGTAGATTCTGGATATTAGCCGTTTGTCAGATGAGTAGATTGCAAAAATTTTCTCCCATTCTGTAGGCTGCCTGTTCACTCTGATGGTAGTTTCTTTTGCTGTGCAGAAGCTCTTTAGTTTAATTAGATCCCATTTGTCAATTTTGGCTTTTGTTGCCATTGCTTTTGGTGTTTTAGACATGAAGTCCTTGCCCATTCCTATGTCCTGAATGGTATTGCCTAGGTTTTCTTCTAGGGTTTTTATGGTTTTAGGTCTAACATTTAAGTCTTTAATCCATCTTGAATTAATTTTTGTATAAGGTGTAAGGAAGGGATCCAGTTTCAGCTTTCTACATATGGCTAGCCAGTTTTCCTAGCATCATTTATTAAATAGGGAATTGTTTCCCCATTGCTTGTTTTTGTCAGGTTTGTCAAAGATCAGATGGTTGTAGATATGCGGCATTATTTCTGAGGGCTCTGTTCTGTTCCATTGGTCTATATCTCTGTTTGGATACCAGTACCATGCTGTTTTGGTTACTGTAGCCTTGTAGTATTGTTTGAAGTCAGGTAGCATGATGCCTCTGGGTTTGTTCTTTTGGCTTAGGATTGACTTGGCAATGTGGGCTCTTTTTTGGTTCCATATGAACTTTAAAGTAGTTTTTTCCAACTCTGTGGAGAAAGTCATTGGTAGATTGATGGGGATGGCATTGAATCTGTAAATTACCTTGGGCAGTATGGCCATTTTCACAATATTGATTCTTCCTACCCATGAGCATGGAATGTTCTTCCATTTGTTTGTATCCTCTTTTATTTCATTGAGCAGTGGTTTGTAGTTCTCCTTGAAGGGGTCCTTCACATCCCTTATAAGTTGGATTCCTAGGTATTTTATTCTCTTTGAAGCAATTGTGAATGGGAGTTCACTCATGATTTGGCTCTCTGTTTGTCTCTTATTGGTGTATAAGAATGCTTGTGATTTTTGCACATTGATTTTGTATCCTGAGACTTTGCTGAAGTTGCTTATCAGCTTAAGGAGATTTTGGGCTGAGACGATGGGGTTTTCTAGATATACAATCATGTCATCTGCAAACAGAGACAATTTGACTTCCTGTTTTCCTAATGAATGCTCTTTATTTCCTTCTCCTGCCTGATTGCCCTGGCCAGAACTTCCAACACTATGTTGAATACGAGTGGTGAGAGAGGGCATCCCTGTCTTGTGCCAGTTTTCAAAGGGAATGCTTCCACTTTTTATCCATTCAGTATGATATTGGCTGTGGGTTTGTCATAGATAGCTCTTATTATTTTGAGATACGTCCCATCAATACCTAATTTATTGAGAGTTTTTAGCATGAAGGGTTGTTGAATTTTGTCAAAGGCCTTTTCTGCATCTATTGAGATAATCATGTGGTTTTTGTGGGTGGTTCTGTTAATATGCTGGATTACGTTTATTGATTTGCGTATGTTGAACCAGCCTTGCATCACAGGGATGAAGCCCACTTGATCATGGTGGATAAGCTTTTTGATGTGTTGCTGGATTCGGTTTGCCAGTATTTTACTGAGGATTTTTGCATTAATGTTCATCAAGGATATTGGTCTAAAATTCTCTTATTTTGTTGTATCTCTGCCAGGCTTTGGTATCAGGAGCCTTATAAAATGGGTTAGGGAGGATTCCCTCTGTTTCTATTGATTGGAATAGTTTCAGAAGGAATGGTACCAGCTCCTCTTTGTACCTCTGGTAGAATTTGGCTGTGAATCCATCTGGTCCTGGACTTTTTTTTGGTTGCTAAGTTATTAATTATTGCCTCAATTTCAGAGCCTGTTATTGGTCTATTCAGAGATTCAACTTCTTCGTGGTTTAGTCTTGGGAGAGTGTATGTGTCCAGGAATTTATCCATTTCTTCTAGATTTTCTAGTTTATTTGCATAGAGGTGTTGGTACAGTATTCTCTGATGGTAGTTTGTATTTCTGTGGGATCAGTGGTGATATCCCCTTTGTCATTATTTATTGCGTCTATTTGATTCTTCTGTCTTTTCTTCTTTATTAGTCTTGCTGGCGGTCTATCAACTTTGTTGATCTTTTCAAAAAACCAGCTCCTGGATTCATTGATTTTTTGAAGGGTTTTTTGTGTCTCTATTTCCTTCAGTTCTGCTCCAATCTTAGTTATTTCTTGCCTTCTGCTAGCTTTTGAATGTGTTTGCTCTTGCTTCTCTAGTTCTTTTAATTGTGATGTTAGGGTGTCAATTTTAGATCTTTCCTGCTTTCTCTTGTGGGCATTTAGTGCTATAAATTTCCCTCTATACACTGCTTTGAATGTGTCCCAGAGATTCTGGTATGTTGTGTCTTTGTTCTCGTTGGTTTCAAAGAACATCTTTATCTCTGCCTTCATTTTGTTATGTACCCAGTAGTCATTCAGGAGCAGGTTGTTCAGTTTCCATGTAGTTGAGTGGTTTTCAGTGAGTTTCTTAATCCTGAGTTCTAGTTTCATTGCACTGTGGTCTGAGAGATAGTTTGTTATAATTTCTGTTCTTTTACATTTGCTGAGGAGTGCTTTACTTCCAACTATGTGGTCAATTTTGCAATAGGTGTAGTGTGGTGCTGAAAAGAATGTATATTCTGTTGATTTGGGGTGGAGAGTTCTGTAGATATCTATTAGGTCAGCTTGGTGCAGAGCTGAGTTCAATTCCTGGATATCTTTGTTAACTTTCTGTCTCATTGATCTGTCTAATGTTGACAGTGGGGTGTTAAAGTCTCCCATTATTATTGTGTGGGAGTCTAAGTCTCTTTGTAGGTCACTCAGGACTTGCTTTATGAATCTGGGTGCTCCTGTATTGGGTGCATATATATTTAAGACAGTTAGTTCTTCTTGTTGAATTGATCCCTTTACCATTATGTAATGGCCTTCTTTGCCTCTTTTGATCTTTGTTGGTTTAAAGTCTGTTTTATCCGAGACTAGGATTGCAACCCCTGCTTTTTTTTGTTTTCCATTTGCTTGGTAGATCTTCCTCCATCCCTTTATTTTGAGTCTATGTGTGTCTCTGCACGTGAGATGGGTTTTCTGAATACAGCACACTGATGGGTCTTGACTCTTTATCCAATTTGCCAGTCTGTGCCTTTTAATTGGAGCATTTAGCCTGTTTACATTTAAGGTTAGTATTGTTATGTGTGAATTTGATCCTGTCATTATGATGTTAGCTGGTTATTTTGCTCGTTAGTTGATGCAGTTTCTTCCTAGTCTCGATGGTCTTTACATTTTGGCATGATTTTGCAGTGGCTAGTACCGGTTGTTCCTTTCCATGTTTAGTGCTTCCTTCAGGAGCTCTTTTAGGGCAGGTCCGGTGTTAATTAAATCTCTCAGCATTTGCTTGTCTGTAAAGGATTTTATTTCTCCTTCACTTATGAAGCTTAGTTTGGCTGGATATGAAATTCCGGGTTGAAAATTCTTTTCTTTAAAAATGTTGAATATTGGCCCCCACTCTCTTCTGGCTTGTAGAGTTTCTGCTGAGAGATCAGCTGTTAGTCTGATGGGCTTCCCTTTGTGGGTAACCTGACCTTTCTCTCTGGCTGCCCTTAACATTTTTTCCTTCATTTCAACTGTAGTGAATCTGACAATTATGTGTCTTGGAGTTGCCCTTCTCAAGGAGTATCTTTGTGGTGTTCTCTGTATTTCCTGAATTTGAATGTTGGCCTGCCTTGCTAGATAGGGAAGTTCTCCTGGATAATATCCTGCAGAGTGTTTTCCAACTTGGTCCCATTCTCCCCATCACTTTCAGGTACACCAGTCAGACGTAGATTTGGTCTTTTCACATAGTCCCATGTTTCTTGAGGCTTTGATTGTTTCTTTTTATTCTTTTTTCTCTAAACTTCTCTTCATGCTTCATTTCATTCATTTCATCTTCCATTGCTGTTACCCTTTATTCCCGTTGATGGCATCAGTTACTGAGGCTTGTGCATTCGTCACGTAGTTCTTGTGCCATGGTTTTCAGCTCCATCAGGTCCTTTAAGGACTTCTCTGCATTGGTTATTCTAGTTATCCATTCATGTAATATTTTTTCAAAGTTTTTAACTTCTTTGCCATTGGTTCGAACTTTCTCCTTTAGCTTGGAGTAGTTTGATATTCTGAAGTCATTCTCCATCCAGCTTTGTTCCATTGCTGGTGAGGAGCTGCGTTCCTTTGGAGGAGGAGAGGTGCTCTGATTTTTAGAGTTTCCGGTTTTTCTGCTCTGTTTTTTCCCCATTTTTGTGGTTTTATCTACCTTTGGTCTTTGATGATGTTGATTTACAGATGGGTTTTTGGTGTGGATATCCTTTCTGTGTGTTAGTTTTCCTTCTAACAGTCAGGACCCTCAGCTGCAGGTCTGTTGGAGTTTGCTGGAGGTCCACTCCAGACCCTGTTTGCCTGGGTATCAGCAGTGGTGGCTGTGGAATAGCGGATATTGGTGAACTGCAAATGCTGCTGCCTGATCGTTCCCCTGGAAGTTTTGTCCCAGAGGAGTACACGGCCATGTGAGGTGTCAGTCCACCCCTACTGGGGGGTGCCTCCTGGTTAGGCTACTCGGGACTCAGGGACCCACTTGAGGAGGCAGTCTGCCCGTTCTCAGATCTGCAGCTGCATGCTGGGAGAACCACTACTCTCTTCAAAGCTGTCAGATAGGGACATTTAAGTCTGCAGAGGTTATTGCTGTCTTTTGTTTGTGCCCTGCCCCCAGAGGTGGAGCCTGTAGAGGCAGGCAGGCCTCCTTGAGCTGTGTGGGCTCCACCCAGTTTGAGCTTCCCAGCTGCTTTGTTTACCTACTCAAGCTTGGGCAATGGCGGGCGCCCCTTTCCCAGCCTCGCTGCCACCTTGCAGTTTGATCTCAGACTGCTGTGCTACCAATGAGTGAGGCTCCGTGGGCGTAGGACCCTCCAAGCCATGTGCGGGATATAATCTCCTGGTGTGCCGTTTTTTGAGCCCATTGGAAAAGTGCAGTATTAGGGTGGGAGTGACCTGATTTTCCAGGTGCCGTCTGTCACCCCTTTCTTCGACTAGGAAAGGGAATTCCCTGACCCCTTGCACTTCCCAGGTGAGGGGATGCCTCTCCCTGTTTTGGCTCACACACGGTGCACTGCACCCACTGTCCTGCCCCCACTGTCCGGCACTCCCCATTGAGATGAACCCAGTACCTCAGTTGGAAATGCAGAAATCACCCATCTTCTGCATCGCTCATGCTGGGAGCTGTAGACTGGAGCTGTTCCTATTTGGCCATCTTGGCTCCACCCCCTGCAGGTGGAAATGTTTCTAAAATACTAACTTTCAGGACTAAGGAGGCAGAAATAGCAGATATATTTGAACTCCGAACCACTCTTCCACCCAGATGATTCAGGATCATAATGAACTTCCACTGCTCCATAGCGACCTCCGGCCATAACCCAGCTTGCTGGGTGTCCGCCATTGTTGGTTGTATGCAAAACGGCCATATATAAGTCAAGGTCCATGCCTGTGTGTTGGTTATTCCTTGCTACTAAGTTTTTCACTCCCTTCCGGGCAGCACTTTGCCTTCTGAGGTGGTGGCTCCCTTCTATTATAAACCCAGGTTCCAGAAGGTTCCAGAGCCAAACACTGGCAAGTGTTGTTTTTTGTTTGTTTGTTTGTTTGTTTTTTCACAAGAACTTGGACTTTGTAGTATTTTTCCTTCCCAAAAGGATTTTTTGCTGGCTATTCCTCCCACCTACAGAAGTAAACTTTTTATATAAATGAGTCATTTAATACTTTGGGAAATCCAAAATGCCAAAGTGACCTGGAATAATCTTAATCTTAAATGTGGGCATAACTGATCAATTATTGATTATAATCAATCAGTTATATCTTGTGTGAACAAATACTAAACAGAAAGTCTAAGGTGAACTTAGACCAGTGGCTTTTAAATTTTTCAGTCATTATAGTTTTACCCTTTCTCTAGGAAACACTCAGAAACAGAATTTTAGCATGTGTTACAGAGCAGTAGATAGCTGATACACTCCTAGACATATGCACCATCTCATTAACCTCCTGTGCCTTATTTCTTATCAAGAAACTGTAACTTGCCTAAAGGGAGGTATTACAGGAAGTCAAGTTGACACTTGATTCACCTTGCTGTTACACTTCCAAGTCTAAATTAATAGCATTTCGTTGGTCAGTCTCTTGTGAGTTCTTAGTTTAAGCCAGACTCCCCAGGTTAAGTCAACTTTAGGAAACAGACTCTCAGGGCTTCCCATGGCTACAAGGTTCATGAGAATTTGGGAAATAAGCCTCCTAAAAATCTTCTTAGCCAGGAAAACATCAATGTCCATTACAGAGTTTGGCATCTCAGTCATTTCTTGAGGGGGCAAATGCATTCAGTCTATCTGCTTAACAACTTAATGCTAACACATGTGGGGTCAGAACAGGCAGCATACTGAGCTGGAGGTGGGAGATCAGACTTTGGATGGTTTTTGATGTCTCCAGGCAAGTGGACTCTTCAGCTTGGCAGCTCTCCCCGGCCACTCTTCTCTTGGCCTGGCCACATCTACAAGCCTCACTACTCAAAATGCAACAGCTCTCACAGGTGTAAGGGCAGGAATGTATGACACGGCCTACTTTAGCCATCTTTTCCAGTCTCCTAGGATTTAACTTTTTATATTCCTTAGTCCTTGAAGTTGCTTACCAAAAAGTGCAGAATAGCTAACAGGAGTATCCGAGGGAGAGAATACAGTCATGGATTCTTAGTTGTTGTTTCTGGTTGGGACAGTAAAGCTCCTTCCTCATCCGTCTTTTCTGCTTATCACTAGAGACAGAAACTAAAAACCATGGCTTCAGGCTGATAAAAGCCTAAAACAAAACAAAACAGAACAACAACAACAAAATTAAGCAAGCTGGACAACCTTATTATAGAAGCTACCATCACACAGAATTGACCAGAAGATCTCTTTCAGGCCTGGGCCATCCAGTGTGTCTTTAATTAACATGCTAAATCAATCAATCATATCCTTCCAAAAGGGCCTCATTTCATGTTTGCCAAATGCTTCTCCCAGTCCCTCAAAACGTTCACAATTGAAGACCAACAAAGACCAGTGTATAGACAATAGAACTCAATGGACTCCCGGTTGCAAATCTATAGTGAGCACAGATGCCACAGATTCCTGTGGCTATGTCCTCATGGCAGGAGAATTTGCATCACTGATCTGTGGCCATATGCTGACTGTGCTCATCCTGTCATTTGTCCTCAATCACAATGGAGCAGTACCAGCCCCTGCTGTACTCTAACAGTGACACTCCCAGAAAAGCCAAATGAACTCAGCTCTTAAGAAATTTAAAACTTAAAAAGAAAAGTTAACTTCCTACATCAAAAATGCTGCAGAACAACAGCTGAAAAGCAAGGTGAGACTGACTCCCCACCACTGACTGTACTCTGGCCTTAGTCCCAGCCACCACCTACTGCTGGGCACAAACTGCATAGGAATGGACTTCAGAGTGACACAGAGAAACTTAAAAAGTAAATGCTGGATTAAACAGATTTCTTCATTCCATGTTTTGCTTGCTGAAATTTCTTTATACAATGTTTATTCAGTGCTTTAAGGATGTAGAAATTAATTTATGTTGGGAAGTTCAAAGGGAGTTGCTCTTAAAAGGTCACAGCATATAAGTTACTCACCAGCTGGCTCCAGAGACAGTGTTTGTCATTCTTCCTTTTCACTCTTTTCTTTTTCACTGTCTTTTTTCACACTCTTTCCCACGTATTTCCTATCAACATTACACCAGTGTATTCTAGCACACCACTAGTGTATTCTAGCACTTTACAGCTTAAATCTTTCACACTGTCATTTCATCTTATCCTCACAACTACTCTGAAGAGGCAGATGGGTGCTGCTCATTTTATGGGTGAATAAGTTGGGAATCAGGAAGTTTAAAGTTTGTTTCAAGAACTGAGTAAACCAGCCAGGTGTGGTGGCTCATGCCTGTGATCCCAGCACTTTGGGAGGCCAAGGTGGGCAGATCACTTGAGCTCAGGAGTTTGGGACCAGCCTAGGCAACATGGCAAGACCCCATCTCTACAAAAAATACAAAAATTAGCAGGTATAGTGCCATGCTCATGTTGTCCCAGCTAGTTGGGATGCTGCAGTGGGAGGATCACTTGAGCCCAGGAGGTGGAGGTTGCAGTTAGCTGAGATTGCACCACGGCACTCTAGCCTGGGTGACAGAGTGAGACTGTCTCTAATAATAATAATAATAATAATATACCTTAGTTAACCCAATATATCCAAAATATTATGTCAACATGTAGTTAATATAAAATATTGAGACATTTTATGCTTCTTTTTGTACTGAGTCTTCAAAAAATGGTTGCACATTACACATACCGGATATCTCAATTCTGACTAGCTATGGTTCAAGTGCTCAACAGCTACCTGCAGCTAGGGCTACTGTACAGAACACTGCAGAGACTACATGTTCCTCAAGTGAAGAAACTGTGTCTTATTTGTATTTTATCCTCATCACCTAACACTGACCAGAGTTTAACAAATTCACATGGGCTTCAAAACAAATACTGAAAGAAACCCGAGCCCCACCTGGCCCTCCACATTCAGGAACTTACAAGCATGGTGGACACGTCTTCTTCCACCTTTTGGCACGTCTCCTTCTCTATGCCTAAGACAGAAAGTCATTTTTATAGTTATCCCAATAAGTTGGTTGCTTTTCCCCCTAGTGAAAGGCTCTTGGAAACCCCAGTGCAGGCCAAGAATGACAGTGAACACATAAACAGCATTCCAAAATTTTATTTAAAAGGAGCGCTGGCATTCTGCTGAGCGCTGTGCAGTTCAGCATTACAAGTCCATGACATTCAGAAGAAGAGCACAGGTTAGTCAGCCACAAACAGGTCATCAACCTTCAGGCAGAAAGAACAGCAAGCCTGCACCCTTGTGTCCATTACAATTTTGGCTAATGCACTGGACTAACCATGGCATTACGGCAGAAAGTGAACACACTGTAACACTG
This sequence comes from Homo sapiens, assembly GCF_000001405.40. Classification (NCBI taxonomy): domain Eukaryota; kingdom Metazoa; phylum Chordata; class Mammalia; order Primates; family Hominidae; genus Homo; species Homo sapiens. The sequence goes on along the minus strand of NC_000010.11, from coordinate 37,534,250 downwards.
ATTTTTTTTTTTATCATCAAGTCTGAATGAACTTAAATTCCAGCCCAGAAGAGTGGCCTTGATCTAATTAATGCAGCAGATAAGATAATAAGCTTTAAAATTTAAGCCAGCAAATCTAAACTCATTCTTCCTCCATACCCTTCAAATGGGCTTCCTCATCTCAGGTCTATCCTCTACTCTACTAGGGTGGAGGGTGACATTTAAAATAACCAGAAGATGCACTCATTGAAGTAAACATAAAAATACAGAAAAGCATACAAAACTTTAAAGCTACAATCCTCCACATGGCAATCACTAACTACTATTGTTGTCAGTTAATTATTTAAAACACAAATGTGACCCTCACTCCCTTGTTCAAAAACCTTCAACCTCCCCACTCCCTACCAAAGGCTCAAGCCCAGATTCCATGGTATGACCTTGTTTCCCACTTGCCATGTACTCAGAGAAAGAAACTGGGCATTTTACCAACATGGCGGCTTCCTCCCCATGGCTGTGTGAGGGTCTCATTTCCCAGAAAACATCTAGGTAAGTAGCCATCAGGACCCAACTCCAAGTGGACACTCCCCAGGACATGGTCTGGATTCACCTAACAGGGCCTGTAGCCACCCCCACACCAGTACAGCAGCCTCCACTTGCCTGTGATGTGGCTGATCAGTTACAGTGTAGCCGGTTCTTTAAATCTCTTCCCCCTTTTTAAATCTGGTTCCCAATAAGGAACCAACTTATTGGGATAACTATAAAAATGACTTTCTGTCTTAGGCATAGAGAAGGAGACGTGCCAAAGGATGGAAGAAGACGTGTCCGCCATGCTTTATAAGTTCCTGAACGTGGAGGGACAGGTTGGGCTCAGGTTTCTTTCAGTATGAAGATAGCATACAGTACTATCTTCAAAGTTAGCAAACAGTAGGGGGAAGAGATGTAAACAAGTGTCCCAGCTGTCTGTATAAATTTTCGTTGAAGGAATTTCCTCGGGTGAGGAAGAATATAATTCAATAAATGTTTACCATGTACTGTGTCAAAGGTGACTCGAAAATGACCGTCTCCTAGTCTCTAACCTCAGTAAGTTTATAATATTACTTTCCTGTAATTGACACACTGCACTAGGTGCTGTGGAACAGGAAGGGGAATAGGAAATGTCATGGGAGCATAAAGCATGCAGGAGAGACCTGAAGGGATGTGCAGATCTGTGTAGGAGGCAGCAAAGGAAAACACTTCAGATGGACGAAATGAAGGCAGGTGCAAGAATACTCAGGATTAACCCAGAGAAACCGGCAGAATGGTGAACACGGTCTTTGGGAAAGATGTCAGGGCAGAAGGCAGTGTTGGACAAAATCAGGAACAATGCTTGGCCCAATATTTTATAGAAGAGAGACTGGGATCTGAGATGGGAAGGAGACCAGGGGGAATAAATTGCTCCAAGTCCTGACTTTCCATCTGCTTCCCTGGCTTAATGGCAGATCATGACTTTTAAAATTCTGTGCATAAAATGCCACAAATAAAATTATGTTGTTTAAGAAGATCTAAGTTTTTAATAATGTTTAATGTAGTCAGGAACATGTTTCTAAACTTTTCATAAGTAAAGTTTAAAGCCATCCATCTAACTTGGTACCCAGGAGAGGGGCTTAGCTCTAGAATGATCTGAAAAGTCCATCAGTAAGAGGCTTCAGCCCTGCTTAGTCCAACTTCCTCATTAGCACTTTAAGAAAGATTTTACAGTGCACTGGTCAGTTTCAACCTAACACACTGTACCAGGAAAATTTACAGTAGCCTAGGGTCATTAAGATAATCTCTTCACACTTTGACATTGTGGCTAAACGATCATGGAACCAGACTGCTTAGAGTCAAATGTAGTTCTACCATTTACTACTGACAAGGTTCAGAACACACTTCACCAAAATCTGGTGCCTTCGCACCTGAGGACACAGCAGAAGCAGGAAGGTCTCTTGGCACCTCTCCTGCCCTCTCCCCTGAAGCAGGCCATAAAGGAATCCCTCAGACCTTCCCATGAAAATAGGTCATAAGACCTAATAACAGAGGGGTCCTCCCTACACCCAGAGAAAAACAAAGTCCTTATCCTGAAAGACACAGACACTAAGAGGAATTGAAATAAACAGGATTGACTAAGTTCCCCTAGTTTATTACCATTAGATCACACCCTTCTGTCCTCCAATTGTACTTCTGCACAACTCTCCATAAAAGTACAGTTTTCCCTGTTTGGGTCTTCATTTCTGGAGGCTCTAATGTCATGTAAAACTTATATTAAATATATTTGTATGCTTTTGTCTTGTTGATCTGTCTTCTGTTAGAGATGTCTCAGCCATGAACCTTGTGATGAGTGAGGAAAGATACCACTTTTCTTTCCTACACTTGCCAAGAGACTTTAGTCAAGTTACTTAACTTTTTGCCTTCTTTGTTTCTCTGAAAAAAGGAGAAAAGAGTAACACCTTGCTATGAATAAGTATATGCAAGGCACTTAGAACAATGCCTGCACATGATAAGGCACCATATGTATTAGTTATTATTTCTGTAAGTTAAACAATGAACATAAAAATCATAAAAAGTCAGACATATGACATATTTATTTTATTTATTTTTTGTTTTACTTTAAGTTCTGGGATACTTGTGCAGAATGTGCAGGTTTGTTACATAGGTATATATCTGCCATGGTGGTTTACTGCACCTATCAGCTTGTCATCTAGTTTTTAAGCCCAGCACGCATTAGGTATTTGTGTTTATGCTCCCCCTCCCATTTTCCCCCACCCCCCTGACAGACCCTGGTGTGTGATTCTCCCCTTCCTGTGTCTATGTGTTCTCATTGTTCAACTCTAACTTAAGAGTAAGAACATGTGGTGTTTGGTCCTCTGTTCCTCTGTTACTTTGCTGAGAATGATGGCTTCCAGCTTCATCCATGTCCCTGCAAAGGACATGAACCCATTTTTTTTATGGCTGCATAATGTATGACATATTTATAGGCCATCTGATATAGTTTGAATATTTATCCCCTCTGAATCTCATGTTGACACTTAATCCCAATGGTGGAGGTGAGTGAGGCCTAATGGGAGGTGTTTGGGTCATAGGGGCGTATCCCGCATGAATAGCTTGGTGCCTTCCTTGTGGTAATGAGTGACTTCTTGGTCTCTTAGTTTCTGCAAGATATGTCTCTTAAAAACAGCTTGGCATCTTCCTACCCCTCTCTCTTCCTCCTTCCCTCTCGCCATGTGACCACTTGCTCCCCTTTGCCTTCTGCCATTATTGGAAGCTTCCTGAGTCCCTCACCAGAAGCAGACACTGGTGCCATGCTTCTTCTACAGCCTGAAGAAAAATGAACCAAATAAACCTCTTTTTCTTATAAATCATCCAGTCTCAGGTATTCCTTTACAGCAACGCAAATGAACTAACACACCACTACAAGATATGGCCATATTGACAGAAAATTATAAAGAAATTCAAGCAGTCTCACACACATCAGCGTCTCCTATACAACTTGCCACAAGTATCCCTATGTTCCTAGTACTTCAATAAGCACTTTTGTTAGTGTCCACTTTCTCGATAAAGAAGCAAAAGCATAGGTCAATAATCCTAAATCTATCCTTCCAGTGACCCAATTCTTTAAGCTCTGTAAGGTGCCTCCTGCTTCATTAGGCTTTCAGGCATTTCTATGCATATATACATTAGAAAGATGAAGATATGCTTCCATACCTGCTTCTGAGGATGAAAACGCATGATTTATGGTAGACATGGGAGCACTGGAACATTCAAAGTACTCCAGGTCTCCCTCTGGTCACCTTTCACCTTGCCCGCACCTGATTTCTGACCACATGACGTGGATGTCAGTTTCTCCTCATTGGTAGCGTGGACATCCCTATTAGAAATGTCTGAAATCTGGTAGATCACTGCCCCTTCATCCTGAGAAACACAACAAAGAAGATGTTACCCTTTAGGAGGGCAAGCAATGGGGAAAAGTGACATCTCATGAATGGAACCAAGTGGATACAACTCCATAAAGATATCTGAGGGAGTTAGCCACAGATCTGGGTACAAAGCAAGGAGGAAGCTGGAACTTTCAATTGTGACATGCTGTTTTATAGAACCTAGGTTCTGTAATTTGAGTCTGAGGTTTTAAAAAATGAGCTTCTCTAGGCTAAGTTTATCAGCAAGCAGTTTAAGTGGTCTAAGACAGTGGTTTTCAATTTTTTTTGATCAGATACCTCCTAATTTTTTTAAATCTATGTACCCCATTTCATTTTCAAATGACATCTAAACACTTTTCAGCATAAGTTTAAATAATTGCAAAGAATGTAATATCTGCCTTATTCTAAATATTGAATTTGCTTAATGCTATCTAGTTACCTTTGTGATATGATACCATATGATCCATTTTAAATTTACACAAACAAGTTCCTGAATAAGTCAGAAATTTACGTTATTCATTTTCCATTACGTTATTCATTCCACTTCCATCAAGAAATTATCCCAATGAAAAACATCTGCATGACTGAAAGTCTTTTAAAGGTCTCTATCCAATGCCTCTGTTACATTTTTTTCTTTGACTATAAGTCTTGAGGTGTTAAATTTTTTTTTCTGCTGATGAGTTATTGTTACATTTACTAATGCACAACTTATTTTCAAAATATTGCAAGTTTTGATAAGTATTAGACACAAAAGTAAATTTTTATATCATCTACAAAATGTTTTATTGCACTAATTCTTAAAAACTTTTACAGTACAAAAATATGTGGGTTTGGGTTTTTCTTTAAAGAAAACAAAAGATAAATTTCTCATAGTTCTTGTTGCCTACATTAGCAAAATTTGAGGGAGAATCTTTTACACATTTGTAACAGATGAAAAATAACTCAGATTGCAAATTTCCCCCCACTGCACCCCTTTTTTTACATCTTACACCATATACCAAATTTCTGGTCCAAATTGTACAGAATAAGTTATGTTAAAATTGAATTCTATTAGCCAATATGAATGTATTTCTAAAATCATAAGCATACTGACATAAAGTTTTAAAAAGAACAAAAGGATCTCGTTGCAATCAGATGGGCTTGGGTTTTGGTTTATGTGTGTTTTGCAATTAGTTCATATGGTCATGGATGCATACTGTTTATTGCTAGAATGTAACAGAGGTCAATGTCAATTTTATTCATGATTTCTATTTTTATAATTATAATTATTAAGAAACCTTATTTATATAAACGATAGATGAAACAGAAGGTAGTTCTGTAACAGAAGGACTTTCAATTCTTTGAACCCCTTTCCAAGTCATGTGCCCAAAAATTCTATCATCAAAGATTATTTTTAGATCTATCAGCTAACAACTCAGGTCTTCTTATTTTGTCGAAACCAATGAATTGGGAAACCATCTGACTTAAGAAAAATATCTTTCAGTTATTAGAGTCAATTATCTTCTTAGAACCTATACCAATATTTCAGATCTTCCCTTTGGTGCCCTGGAGACTTTCACACCCTGTGGTGATGCATCTTTGTAGCTTTTAGTGAGAGTTTTACAAAAAAAAAAAAATGGAGACAAAGAGAGAGAGAGAGTCATTGTGAAAGGGTTCCCTTTTCTTCAGGCGCCTTTTCTTCAGGGACAGTGAGGATCTGGAAATTGGTTTCTCAGGCACTCATTGGAAAGTCCTTATGATCCACTCCCGCTGGGGGACCCCTGGTCTAAGAGACATTCTGGGGATGAGCACAGACTCACCTGAGAACATGCACCCAGGCAAGAGACTGAGTTTCATGCTTCTTCACCTTAAAGCCACTCCTGGCAAGAGAAGAAACATAAAAAAGCTAATTTGGAACCACACTGACAACTGTCAAGGTATGAAATGGGACAGAGAGCAGTGTGTGCAGATAGAAGCCAAAGCGTACAGCACCACACACACCATACATCTACCTGTGAGAGAGGCAGGGACACCTTTTATGCCTCTGAGTTTTCTCTGGAGAGAAGAGGTAAGCAAAGACCTAGAGCGGGGCTCATTCTCTGAAAAGACCCCCTTGCTTGCTTCTGTGAGTTTTCAAACACTAGCACTCTGATGTCTATGGTTTTTAATTACACACCACCAAAAGCTTTTCAGACAGTAGAGCCTTAGCAGCTGGAGACATTCAGTTCCTCTGAGCCTCCCTTGCTTGGCTTTGACATTCATTAGAAAAATCATCACGCTGGACTGGTTTCTTTAAAAATTCTTTATTTCACCAAAAGCCACAGAAGTCTCATAAAACAGTTCCAGTTAGACTTGTGTGTTCACAGACAAGAACTGTGGTCAATAAAAAGTGTAAAAATAAAAATATGTGAGTAAACGGTTACCATTCCTATTAAGTAGTAAGATGGAAGATGAATGCCACATATTACACCAAGCCTGAAGCTGGGGAAAGCTTGAACCACCTGTTATTTGTAGACTAGCACAAAATTTGTGATTACAGGACTAATTGAGATTCTGTTCTGTTTTAATAAACTTAGAATTTTCAGTAAAAACACCGTGACCAAAAAAAGAAAAAAAATTTGCAACTTCTTTCTTTTGCAAGAAAAAATAAAAAGACAACCACATAAGTTACCAGAATGTGCATAATCATTACTTCATGATCTTCTTTCCCTAGTTTTCCTACTGAGTGCCACCCTCTGCCACCAAACTCAAGTTGAGCTGACTCAGTAAAATTAACTGTTCCAAGCCAGTAGCTTTATCTTACCAAAAGTCAATGATTTCCAATATTAAATAGCAGAACAGTCCCTCAAACCACTGCTTGAGGCCAAGCCAGCTCTTGGTATTGTCAAAGCACCACGTGACACTTGCCAGGCTAGGGAGTGCAAGTTCTCACACCTAAGGTGTAAAGGCCAAGCCCCACTCCCTGAGGTGCGGACACCTACAAAGCTTAGCTAACTCATGAAGTGGCCAGTGAAATACAAAAAATCATCAAAAGATCAAACTCAGAAGCAAACCATGCTATGGAGAGATGGCTCAGGGAGGATGGGAGAGAAAACTGCCAATGGTCCCAGGGACAAACAGAAACAGCAGGAGTACTTACAACAGAAAACAGAGAAATTTCACTTGTTTAATAATCCCGATGCACCAACAAAATTAAGAGACAGGAAAGACACAGAGGGAGAAAAAAATCATGTAAAGACTGGAATATTCAACTCCAGTCTTGCAGATGTAAAAGCTGCACAATTCTTTCTATGAGGTGAGATACTAATTTAAAATGTCATATTCATGAATGTTATCACTAGTGAGTGAATGATTAACAGACCTCAACCATAAGAGAGACTGGTAGAAACACTCAGAAATGCCGCAAATTCAAATTTGTAGATGAAAAGTAAACTTCCAAGAGGTCTAGCACTGCTTTCTTGTATAAAGAACAAGAAAACAAGATTTTTGGTTGCATAAGGACCTTTAAAAAAACCTATTAAGTGTATTAGATCAAGAAGTTCATTTGACAAAAACAGAATAGGGGAAAAAGGCTACCTACCAGGTGAGGGTGGTAGGACTCGAAAGATGGTATTTCTTGCTACTGATTATAAAGTGTAGAATGAATTACCCTCTCTTTGGCCCAGATTTCATCTTATTTGACATGAATGCACTGCTTGCATGCAACTGAAAGGCTCACAAACGACTCCTTATCGACTTCAGTAGGCTGAAACATCTCACATTTAGAGGAGGAAGTAACTAGGCAGTGATGTGCCCAGTACATACCCCAACTACTGTCTAGAGAGAACTAAATAACCTTAAAAGCCACAAAAGAGGGCACCAAGTCAATAATATTTTTCAACAACCATTTAACTGCTGATATATAATCAAAGAACAGATCCAGAGTTACTAATGACATTTCACTCCCCTTAGACGTTCTGGGGCTGCTGAAGAACTGACTCCTACATCGCTCTATTTTCTTGGTACTTTAGTCCATCCTTCTGCTCTTTAAACTTCTGGGTGTCTTCCTTTCTGCTGTAACTCACCATGGCATCTGGAGTTTTTCTTTAAGTCATAGCAACACTGAGAAGCATTTCCCCAACTGATCTATAGTGACAACTACAAACACAGTGCTTCTTGCACTCCTTTTCCATACTTCATGCTGCAACTCCTTGGTCCTTCTTTATATCTACATTTTACTGAAACGTTTTAGCAAAATGTCACAGGGCCGCAAAAGGAAGTACAGTCATGTGCCACGTAATAAACTTTCGGTCATGTGGTGGTCCCGTAGGGTTATAATGGAGCAGAAAAACTATTGCCTAGTGATGTCCTGACAATCCTGACCCTGTGTAAGCCTAGGCAATTTGTGTGTCTGTGCCTTAGTTTTTAACAAAAAAGTTTAAAAAGTAAACAAATAAGTAATTTTAAACAAAGAAAACTTATGAACTAGGGATATAAAGAAATAAAATATTGTGTATAGCTGTTCCATGTGTTTGTTTTTTAAGCTAATTACTATTACAAAAGAGTCAAAGCTTCTTTAAAAGTTCAAAAGTTGATAAAGTAAAAGAGTAAATTTAATTTACTATAGAAGGAAGAGTTTTTAAAAATAAATTTAGTGTACCTGAAGGATACAGTGTTTATACAAGCTACAGTAGTGTACAGGAATGTCCTAGGCCTTCACATTCACTCACCACTCACTCATTGACTCACTCAGAGCAACTTCCAGTCCTGCAAGTTCCATTCATGGTAAGCGCCCTCTACAGGTGTATTATTTTTTATCTTTTATACCATATTTTTACTGTACCTTTTCTATGCTTAGATATGTTTAGATACACAAATGCTTACGACTGTGTTACAATTGCCCACAGTAGTTTGTTTTCTTGTTTTTTTGTTTGTTTGTTTGTTTTGTTTTGTTTGTTTTTAGACAGGGTTTTGTTCTGCCAGCCAGGCTGCAGTACAATGGCAAAATCATGGGTCACTGCAGACTCAACCTCTTAGGCTCAAGCAATCCTCCTGCCTCAGCCTCCTGAGTAGCTGGGACTACAGGCATGCACCACCACTCCCAGCTATTTTTTTTAAAAAACTTAAGAGACAGGAGGTGTGTTTTGGCAGCGGGGGGCATCTCACTATGTTGACCAGGCTGGTCTCAAACTCCTGGCCTCAAGGGATCCTCCCACCTTAGCCTCCCAAAATGTTGGTATTATAAGTGTGAGGCATCACACCTAACACCTATAGTATTCAGTACAATAATGTGATGTACAGGTTTGTAGCCCAGGAGCAATAGGTTGTACCATTTAGCCTAGGTGTGTAATAGTCTACATCACCTAAGTTTGTGTAAGTTGACTTTATGATGTTCACACAAAAAAATCACCTAAGGATGCATTTCTCAGAACTACCCTGTGGCTAAGCGATGTATGACTGTATTATAATGTACTCAACTAAAGTTTTGTGATAAACTAATCCTGTAGCAAAGTTAAACTGAAACTTGATATAGAATGTGACCTTAAGTGATTACGCTGAAAACTCCAAGGACCTTGCAAAAGTCAGATGATTTCCCAGGAGAGATGAGAGATGGGGGGACTGATTAAACCAACTAATTTACTCAGTTTTATCTGATCATTTAAAATATTCTTGATTCTAATTGGAAATTTACCTCCTTGCTGATGAGTTAGAAACTACATATGGAAACAAGAATGCTCACCAAATTTTAGTGGTAGATTTGTTTCCAACAAAAGATCACAGTTTTCTGTTTATGTAAAAAGACTTTCTACAAGACCCTTTTGAGCCATTTTCTACACGTTATTGATACTACATAGGTAATTTATAGGACTGGAATTTCTGTTTTTTCCATAAAGAATCTGAAGACAGTGGCCAGCACTGACATTTGAATTCTGTCTATAATGTGACTCCTGACAGCCTCGCCAGGATTTCTGAAAACCGTCGAATCTCTACCTACCTATCTTATGCCACTCTTTATTTTTTTTAAACATAAAGACGTCTCCAGGCCCAGGGAAAGGAGCTTACCTCATTAAGCTGAGGATTCAGAAACAAGACAACAATCTGAAAAGGAAACGTCTGGTATTTCTTTTCTTTTTTTTTTTTTTAATACTCTAAGTTTTAGGGTGCAGCACACCAACATGGCACATGGTATTTCTGATTCTACACAAGTTAGGCCAAATAGGGAAGACTATAGGATAATGTTATAAGCTTTGTATCAACCTTGGTGGACCTCAAAGGTAAATTCAGTTCACCAAAGCCAAAAGTAGCCATCTGACAAACTCACAGAGAAGACACAGAGCGTGACACCCAGCACCCACTGTCACTCATTATTCAATGTGACTTTGCCTTCTTGGGTGATTCTAATATTTCTTTAACATGATTTCCAGTGGGAGAACAAAAGTCACTGCTTGTTAAGGTCACAGTTGGTTTAAAGGGATCCATGGATTTATCAAAGTTATTTGGGTCAAAGTGGTAGAAGCCCTCAGAAGACAGGGTTGGGGAGTTCTGCAGAATGGAGTGGCTCCCAAAGGGGTTGAAGCTGGGCTTATCCCACTGACTAGGATCTAGCTTGGAAGACACTTGGGAGAGAGGCCCATCTTATGCCACTGTGTCTGTAGGCTTTTCGACACCTGCTTACTTACTGATACCATCTTTTTGTATCTTGTGAGTCAGTTTGCTACCCGGTTTCTTGCCAAGTTTCCTTGGAAGGGCTTTCGTAGTGCTGGGAGTTTCTTTAAGGTCAGGAGGAGACTTCTGGAACCCGGCACTTCCTAACAAAGAAGGACTTGTGTTCTCATCCACCTCTTCAGGACTGAAGTGGTAGGATGCCTTGGGGAGAGGTGTGCCTTCCACAGCAGTGCCGGCATCTGAGAACTCTCCTTCAATTGCTTTCTTCCTCAGAGGGACAGGCTTGGGCTTTCTCAGCTTGCTTCTTCTGCTGGGCACAGGCTCTAGACAGGAGTTTCCAACTTTTAGATCAGCTTCTGTGGAAGCCTCTAGGGTGACTCCCATGTCACCTTCTGTCATTGCCTTGTCCTGGAGGGCGTCTGGAGGGCTAGAAGGCAGGCCTTGCCTGAGACTGCAGTTACACAGCCATGAGCTGGTTTTGTTCTGACGGCTGCCAGGATACCCGTGGAATCCTTCGCTTCTATTGAAAATGGCCTCACGATGGAAATGTTGCTAAAATCATATTCAGGTTCTTTGAAATCCTTGACTGAGAAAGAGTCAATGGCCTTCTGTGGTGCCTCATTTTCTGACAGTTTAGAACAAGTCTCAGATGAACATTTTTCAACCACTTCTGCTACCAGCTTTCCTCATCAGCTTCCTGTGATTCTAAAATGAAACACAAAACCGTCCATTAAAGAATTGTCTTTCTGGCATTGGTAAATATTCTCTCCTACCTGAGTTCACATAAGCAAACAGCAAGTTCTTCCCTCTTTGCTTTTATTAAGCATCTCTAAAGTTCAGCAAGGACGGCAGCACAGCCTAAAAGAGAACAGCTGGCACAGCACCCTAAAATGAATTCTTGATCCCAAATTGTGTATGCGCATTATCCAAGTGATATGAATAACAAGTACACCAAAAGAGCTATTTAGAAAAATGATAGAGCAAGAGTCTATATGCTGCAATGCATATTATGTGATGTTAACATTCTATAGGTTAAAACTGGTCTGAACGAATTTTTAGAAACCAACAGCTTCAGTGCAGGGAGGCATATTGGCACTGAGACAGTTCCTAGGCACAGCCTGACAGCTTCAGGGTCAGAACTTTATGGAGTGAACAGATTTGAATCTTTGGATGTTAAAACCACAAGTATTCACAGAACAGAATTTATATAGACTGTTTCAAAAATAAATTAAAAAATAAATTAAGAAACCTACTGTGACCAGCTCAAAATCATCTCTCTGTAGACCTGAAAACTAAAAGAACCAAGAAAGCTAATTTGAAAAACCAGATACGGAAATGGTTTTAAAACAAATAGCCCTTATTTTACTAAGACACAAATTATAAAACAATGAAGTTATTTTTTCTTTAGAACCACTGTCTCTAAGCCAGGCCAGGAATTCTCTAAATCACTTGTGAAAAATAAAAATCATTTTTGACTGGGGTCATACTGGGATAAGAGCTGCAAATATTAGGAAGCTGTAAATGAGGTAATTTTGTTAAACTAAAGTGATTTCCTGACGTAGATACCTGAAACAAGGGTGGTAGAGAAAACTCAGTAAATAGGTGTACATAATATCTCATTATTTTAAAGGAAAATAAGAGATAACCCTCCAAATCCTATTTCATAATCCTAATCCAGGATCAGAGTCCAGTACCAGAAATATCACTAGAATAGCTTGTTGTTTGTTGTTGTTGTTGTTGTTGTTGTTGTTGCTTTTTTTTTTTTTCTTGAGACAGTGCCTCTGTTACCCAGGCTAGAGTGCAGTGGCGTGATAATGGCTTACTGCAGCCTTGACCTCTCAGGCTCGAGTGATACTACCACCTCAGTCTCCTAAGAACTGGAACCACAGGCATGATCCACCATGCTTGGCTATTTTTTATTTTTTATTTTTATTTTTAATGTAGAGATGTGATTTTGCCATGATGCCCCAGCTGATCTCGCTGGCTTAAGCAGTCTGCCTGCCTCTGCCTCCCAAAGTGCTAGGATTACAGGTATGAACCACTGTGTCCAGCCTGTTTTTATTTTATTTTATTTTATTTGAGATGGAGTCTCGCTCTGTCGCCCAGGCTGGAGTGCAGTGGCGTGATCTTGGCTCACTGCAACCTCTGCCTCCCGGGCTCAAGCAATTCTCCTGCCTCAGCCTCCTGAGTAGCTGGGATTACAAGTGCCTGTCACCACGCCTAGCTAATTTTTGTATTTTTAGTAGAGATGGGGTTTCACCATGTTGGTCAGGCTGGTCTTGAACCCCTGACCTCGTGATCCACCCACCTCCACTTCCTAAAGTGCTGGGATTACAGGCATGAACCCCCGCGCCCGGCCTGTTTTTATTTTTTTAAGGGGTCTCTCACTTTTGCTCAGGCTGGAGTGCAGTGGTGTGATCATAGCTCACTGCAGCCTCAAACTCCCGGGTTCAAGCAATCTTCTCACCTCATTTGTCTGAGTAACTGGGATTTGGAAGTTTTTTAAAGCACTCACACACCTTTCTCATGAATATTTTATGATTATTATTGGGTAGTGGTTTATAAATTATACTCCACAGAGTTGCTTCAGATATTCTGCAAATGTCCAGTTTAAATTTTTAAAATATATGTTTAAATATTATTAATACCATAATGTGTTAAAACTTCTCAATGCTTTATAACTAGAATTTGGTTTAAAATATTTCAGGAGGATTTTTAAAAATAGAGATAGTAAGTATGGCAAAATCTTGGTAACTGTTGTCCAGGGATAGGTATACGGGAGTTTCCATTGTACTATGTTCTCTGTCCTACAGTCATGAAATTTTGGTAATTAAAAAAATTTAAAAACTCAACTGCACTACACACAAAATTTTAACAACAACAATTTAAAGTGTACTAACAATTTCACTTACGTGTGCAGATTCCATTATCCCTCTCCATGTATTTGAACTGTCATAAATGTGTTATTGTTTCTTTGTGCTGATGAGGGGGAGGTAGACAACTAAAAATAAACCATCAACACCCTAGGGCTATAAATATCCATGTGTGTCCATGTGCAACGGGCTCAGTTAAAAGGCAGGCCAGTTGTGTAACACTGAATCCTGATTATATCAAGGTTTAGATAGTTATCACTCCTTTTAAGTTTTGATGTTTATTGTCAGCTTTTTAGATTCAACACAGGTGGTATAAAAATATATACATATATATAGATCTATATAGATCTCTCTATATACAGAGAGATCTCTATATAAGTAAAGATCACTCTTGATCTCTATCTCTCTCTCTTAACATCTTTGAAGACATAATTGCTTAAGTCAAGATGAGGGGATTAGGATGAGCCATAATCCAACATCCTTGCATAAGGATGGTGTCCTTATATAAAGGAAACATTTTGACACAGAGACAGATATGCAGAAAGAAAAATGATGCAGAGGAACACAGGGAGAATATGGCCCTCTATAAGCCAAGAAGAGAGCCTTGGAACAGATTGTTTCCTCACAGTCTCAGAAGGAACCAACACAGTCAAAACCTCAAGTCTGGACATCTAGTCTTCATGACTGCAAGACTATATATTTCTGTTGTTTAAGCCACTCAGTTTGTAGTGCTTTGTTACAGCAGTTCTAGAAAGCTAAAACAGATGGTAACAACCCAGCTTCTGAGGCTGTAACCAGTCAATGAAATAGCAATTATAGCATTGAAGGAAAGAGAGGTAAGGAATTTTAAAATGATAACAGGGTAGAATTTTCCATGACGACAACAACAACAACAAAACCAAAATGGAATCAAAGTTTCTTTGCCTAAAATATTTTCCCATTGATTTTGCCTAACAACTTTAATGAATAAACAGTTCTTCTGAAAATTTAATATTTCAATGTTTCATTTTCTTTAACATAATTTATTAAATGAGTAAGTAGATCCCTAAAAAAACAAAAACTGTGTTTTGGTTTATATCTGTTGGTTTTCTTTTATGGTTTGCTATATGCTCATTAAAAAAAAAAATTTCAGATGGTGAAAAGCCAGACCCACATGAACTGATTTTGCCCTAGGAAGATAGTGGCTCAAATAATAATAACTAATAAGAGGCTCATTTTGTGAATCAGTCAAACCATCAGTTTCACAGAACTCCATGATAGTACTGTAGGGTCATGAAGGTGTCATATCAATAGTTCTGTCTGTATTACTCAGGGTTATCCAGAAAAAAAAAAATAAAGGAATAGCTGCTCTGGGCAACTCATACTTGGGGTATTAGTGCATCAATAATTAATTCATGAGATACTTATTAAGCATCTATTAAATACTTGCTAAACTTTGAGCAATTGGCTCTTTTTATCTAGATAGTAAACAAAGAGAATTTTGCCACCAGAGAATGGCTTAGTATTCAAGGAGTCTTATAACCACCCTGTGATGAGGGCACTTTCAAATAGAGAGTAGCAATGTGCACACTCTACCTGACTATGCCTTCTCCCCTTTGCGTGCTGTCAACAGAATCATATTCATTAATTATGAAAAGTGAATGCTTAGGAAGGCTACAAAAATTTTCCATGGTTGCTAACCTTGCTTACTTATTTCTCATCACTGAGTATGAACAGATAACTCAGATTAACAAATTCTAAAGAACTTTAAATATGGCAAAGAAAAACCCCACCACAATCAACAAAAAAAACAGAGAAATAAAGAGGTGATATGGAAAACAAGAACATATAACATAAAATATAATTAATGCAAACAAAGAGAATTGAAAGCATACCACATCTGTAACTCAATAAAACAAGTTTGCAATGAAAAATTAACATTCAAGAGGCTAGGAGTCTAACAATGTATTTTGAATATTTAACAGTGAAACAAACAGTAGCAGCAAAGTGCTAGTAGAGGAGCTACACCTGATTACTAATGTAATGAACTAAATGCCCAAATAATGAGATAATTATGGAACAGAACACAAAGAAAATGTGAGAGGACATTTAAGGCTCATAGACGTAAGATGCAAAAATCTCATTGGTTTTTCATTTATTCATTGTATATTCTTGATGACCCTTCTAGATGCCAGACATGATTCTAATGGATCCGAAAAGATAATGACCTTTACTCTCAGAAAGCTTATATTGTAATACGAGTAGCCAGACAATTAACAATAGATACACTAAATAGTAAACGTCACAGAATGTTAGAGAATAGAAAAGAAGTAGAACAGATGAAAGCGGTTTGCATGTGACAGGGTAGAAGGCAGTTTGCATTTTAAATAGGGTGGTGTGATAGCTTTCATTTAAAAGGTGACAAGGGCAATATTTGAGTAAAATTTATGGTATTGGGAGACTTGAGAGATGTAGCCATGTGACTATATAAGGATAAATACTTTTTTCCAATTTGATTGAAAGAATATAATCAAAATAATAAAATTTCTTTGAGCTGGGATATAAATCTTCTATTTAAAAAAAGTCAATCTCATATCAAATAGGATCAAATGGGAGGAAAACAAAGCCAATACCCAATTACATATTGATGATACAGAAAAAAAATGAACAAGAAATTTCCAATAACCATGAAAGAAAAATATCAGTTCGCTTATAAGGCAATATGAATCAGATTGGCATCACAGTTCTCTAGCATTGATTTCTAGGAGATATATGTGCAATAAAATCAGTGATAATGCAAAAAACCATGTGTGCAATCAGACTCTTCTAAGAATCAGATATAATAGCACAAATTAAATATATCTATATACAATTTGAGACAGAGTCTTGCTCTGTTGCCCAGGATGGACTGCAGTGGCTCAACCAAAGCTGACTGCAGGCTTAATCTCCTGGACTCAAAGTATCCTCCTGTCTCAGCATCTCAGCCTATAGCTGAGACTATAGGCCAAACACACACGACCATGCCTGGCTAATTTATTTTTTGTAGAGATGGGGTCTTGCTCTGTTGCTCAGGTTGGCTGTGAACTCCTGGCATCAAGCAATCCTCCCATATCAGCCTCTGCAAGTGCTGGAATTACAGGCATGAACCATCGCTCTCAACCTTAAGATAATTTTAACACACGTGACGGAAGTGAGAAGCTTAAAAACCACAAGTATATCCAAAAAAAGTATGTATATATTTATTAATGAAAAACTGACAGGAACTAAGGAATAAACTCATAAAATTTAGGGAATTGTGACAATTAAAGGAATTATTAAAACTTAGGTGTAATTCTTCAAACTCTCTGGTTTACCAGCTCAGCTTTATCACTTACTAGCTGTATAAACACTATATCCTTTTGTGCGTCAGTTTTCTTATTTACAGATGAGAATAATAATAGTCCATGAGAATTGTTGTGTGCATTAAGTTAGATAATATATGCAAGGCATTTAGGATAGTGTCTGTTGAACTATATATGCTATGTGTGTGAGTGCTCTCTCTCCTACCTCCCTCATTCTTTTGTTCCATCCTTTTCTTCCTTCTTAAGCTTCTACCTGTCTTTCATATCTCTTTTTCTTTCCTTCTCCTTCTCCTTTTTCTTGGCTCACACAAAGAGTGAGAAAAAAGGTTGGTCTGAGCATGTTCAATTTCTCTTCTCAAAATCACCACTTAAAATATTGCTGCCTCATGCCTTGCAGAGGAATAAGGAAAGGAAACACAATAAGGCCAAAAATTATTACTCAACAATATTCCTTTAGAGGAAGTTCAGTGGAAAATCCATACTGAACACAGTAAGAGCTGAATAAATGTCCTTGGCAAATTAACATCTCAGTAAATGCCTAGATAAAAGTTGATGTAATTCAACATTTTATATGAGGGTATATGTGTGTATATGTGTGCATGAGCATTTGTGTGTATAATTATGTACATGGTCTACCTAATAAAATTAACCAAATATTGAAACTAATAATTGATTTAGTAAATTGACCAAATGCAAGGGTAGTAACATCTATCAAATTAAGCAAAATTTATATTATTTCACTTCTCTTTCTTTACTTTAGAAATACCCGCAAAAGGTTATATAAGCTCTCTCATTAAAATGTGAATAAAATATGCAGATAGAGAGTATGGAAAATAGTAGAGATAGATAGACAGATAGATAGATACCAGATTTACTGCTGATAATACTTTTATCCTGCCTGTTCAGTATGTATGTTTTCTGTAAAGTTTTTTTTATCCAATGGAGAAGTTATTTATATTAAATAAAGGAAGAAAATTTTCTGCCATACTTCCTCTATTATGCATCAACTTTTACATATTTGACAGAGAATTGAAATAAAAGATCATATTTCATTTTCTTATTTGAGACATTGCCTTCTGGACAATATATTTACATTATATCTCTGAATGCCAATAAGTACAGAACACTCTAGTATTAAGGAAAATTAAAAAATAAACTTTGTAGGGGTTTATTTTTATGTTATCCATTGGAATTGAACTAAGATATCAGCCTAAAAAGAACCATGATAATTTTATGGTGTGACCTGAAAGATTGCATGCGGGAAGGAAGAAAGATTTTCTTAAAAATTATACATGTAGAGGAATGAATTATATATAATAAAAGTATTATTTGTATTTTTTTTGTAAACCAACTTCTATTGAGAGTCATCACATATGTATTGAAATTTTCTACATATTTATTGAAATAAAAATTTCTCTCTTAAGTTAAATTTCTACAAACTAAAAATGTGGTAGGCATGGTAATACAATTTAGGATTATGCTTTGCCAACCTACATTACTTGTAATTATTTTTTCTTGAGACGGAGTCTCTGTCGCCCAGGGTGGAGTGCAGTGGTGTGATCTCAGCTCACTGCAACCTCTGCCTACCGAGTTCATGCCAATCTCCTGCCTCAGCCTCCGAAGTAGCTGGGACCACAGGCGCCTGCCACCACGCCTGGCTAATATTTTTGTATTTTTAGTGAAGACGGGGTTTCACTGTGTTAGTCAGGATGATCTCGATCTCCTGACCTCATGATCCACCCGCCTCGGCCTCCCAAAGTGCTGGGATTACAGGCATGAGCCACCACACCTGGCCGCTAATTATTCTTCAATCCTTCAGCTCTGAGATGCCCTCAGATAGTATGTTTTTATTAATAGCCTATCCTATCTTTAAAACCATATTTCTGTTTCATGTGCTCCATTATTACAGTATTTACTTCAAGAGAAACGATTATGGAGATGTTCACAGTTTCCTTGGGTTTTTTCTTTTTTTGCTTTAAAATGGTTTCATTTTAATTGAGAAGTATTTAAGTTTACTAAGTTTTCTTATCATACTCCTGAATCCATTCAGAAATTCATATTTAACTCTTTTACTCCTCCAGTGCAGCTTTCATTTTTATAATTTTTAAATTTTCCTTTCCTGAGTGCTGCCAGTTTTTTATTCTATTTTTTAAAACAATATTTCTTGTGTATCTGAGCTCTTCTTTTCAAAAGCTCTATCTTCTTCAAGACTGTTAAGCTCATGGAAAAGTGCCTGTGTTAAAATTTTCTTCTATATCATTATATAATTTTATGATTTTCATTTTCATCTACAAGTATGTTTGCATTTCTTTTTCTGTTTTCTTTCCCCCTTTTTTTTTTTGGTGGTATCAGCACATATGCACCATTCTGATTTCTTTATAATTTTTACCTGTTTCGCTGGAAGGACTTATGTATAGTTGCAGTATTTACTAAATAATTGTGAACAGACATGAAATGTGAGAAAGCTGGAGAGGCATCCAGTTCATTTTATAAACCTGGTTTCAGAATATTTTCTCATTCAATTTATTCAACAGATACGTACTTATTGAACAATGTATTAGTTTGCCAGTGCTACTGCAACAAAGTACCACACACTGAGTGGTTTAAATTATAGAAATTATTGTCTCATGGTTTTAGAGAATAGAAGTCCAAAATCAAGGAGACAGCAGGATTGGTTCCTGGTGAAAGCTGTGAGGGAAGAATCCATCTCAAGTCCTCTCTTCTCAACTTGTAGGTAGCTATTTTCTCCTTATATCACTTGTTCCTATCCACATCTCTTTGTTCACATTCTCCTTTTTTATAAGGACATTAGACATAATATATTAAGCCTGATCTAATAACGTCATTTTAACTTGATTACCACTCTAAAGACCCTATCTCTAAACAACATCACATTCTATGGGCCTGGGGTCTAATACTTCAACCTATGCATTTTTGGGGAGTACACAATCCAACTCATAACAAGCAATGACTTGTTTCAGACTCTCTTTAAGATTCTTGATCTCCAACAAAGAGCAACAACCATTAAAAAAAAGAAATACAACAACCCTACTTTTCTGGAACCTACTCCAACTTGGGGGAAAGGACAGTATAAGGATGGGAGGTGCTATTTTGTATTGATGTCATGGAAAATTCTTTCTGATAAAGTACCACTGAGTATGTTATTTGACCATACCATGAGAAATAGCTACAGATATTTAAGGTGGAATTCCACTGTAGGAAGAAGAATAGACAGAGAGGTTCTGAGAAGATAATTATTCTGAGAAGAGAATCATTATAAAGAATATCAGGCCAGGCGCACTGGCTCACGCCTGTAATCCCAGCACTTTGGGAAGCCGAGGAGAGCAGATCACGAGGTCAGGAGATTGAGACCTTCCTGGCTAACATGGTGAAACCCCGTCTCTACTAAAAATACAAAAAATTAGCCGGGTGTGGTGGCAGGCGCCTGAAGTCCCAGCTACTGAGGCAGGAGAATGGCATGAACTCAAGAGGCGGAGCTTGCAGTTAGCCTAGATTACGCCACTGCACTCCAGCCTGGCCAACAGAGTGAGACTCCATCTCAAAAAAAAAAAAAAAAAAGAATATAAAAGGCTTCTCTTTTGCAAATCTGGAACGAGTAAGATGATATTGAGACGAGAGAATTTCTTACTGGTTAATGGGAGCCAGATCTGGCAGGACCATTTTGGCCATGGCAAGTTATTTAACTTTCATTCCGAGTGAATTGGAAAACCATTGCAAAGTTTAGGTTAAGAAAGAAGAGAAATGATGTGACTTACATGTAAAAGTATTTCTTTCACTCTGGGACAGTCAAAACACTAACTAGAATAAAGATGAAAGACAGGACATCAACTAGAAGGTTTCTGCAGTAGTCCAGTTGAAATATGATGGTTGCCTGGATTCATAGAAGTAGTGGTCCAGCTTTTGAGTATCAATCAAACTATAGATCTATTTATAAGGTAGAGCCATTGGTATTTTTTTCTCACATTGATTTGCAGAAATAAGTGAAAGATGACTCAAAGAGATTAGACTAAAATAGTCAATCAGATGGTTATTATTGAGGTATAACAAACTGGAAACAAGGGCTGGTTTGGGTGAGGAAATCATGTGTCTAGCGTTTGGAAATGTTAAATTTGGGATGCCTATTTTAGCTACACAGGAGGACTTGCAGATTGACATCTTGGTTTAATGAGTCTAGATTTTAAGAGAGAAAATTATGTGTACTAAATGACTTAATTAAATCAATTCAGAGAAGAAAAGATTCAACATGAATCATTAGTTTTAAATTAGTGTATATTTTGTTTAGAGCTTACCCAAATAGATTGCCGAACTTCACCCCTAAAGTTTCTTAAATATGCAAAAGTTTGAGAAGCACTGGTCTAGACCATTTCTGCCAAACATTCTGTAGCACAATAATCTTTTGAGTGTTTTGTTAAAGTTTAATAGTTTTGTATATCTAATATTTTTGTGATGTATTTTTCTATCTAGCATCTCTCATTGTAAGTACTTCAAAAATATTCTCTCATCTTCCTATCGTAGCATTTTGTTTCCATGTGCAGTTCAAGAAATATTAGAAATATTTAGAAAAACTTTTATGCCAATGTAAATAATGTATTACATTCATTTAAATAATTCTATAAAGTAACCATATATCATGGTAACTAGTGCTTTTTATTTACTGATTGTGCACCAAATAGTAGCTATATCATTTTACAATTTTCATATTATCAGAGATCATCCTTAATAGAAAACATGAATTATATAATTTTTAAATTATCTTGCACTTTGTTATGTTACAAAAACTTCATATATTATTAAAACTCAAATATACTTCCAATTATAAAAAATAGTGCTTGATAGTTATATTAGTCCATTTTCACGCTGCTAATAAAGACATGCCTGAGACTGGGAATTTACAAAAGAAAGAGGTATATTGGACTTACAGTTCTACATGGCTGGGGAGTCCTCATAATCATGGCAGAAGGCAAAGATGAGCAAGTCACATCTTATATGGATGGCAGCAGGCAAAGAGAGAGCTTGTGCAGAGAAATTTCCATTTTTAAAACCATCAGATCTTGTGAGACCCATTCACTATTATGAGAACAGCATGGAAAAGACCTGCTCCCATGATTCAATCAACTCTCACTCTCTCACCAATCAACTCTCACTGAGTCCCTCCAATAACACATGGGAATTATGAGAGTTACGAGATGAGATTTGGGTGGACACACAGAGTCAAACCACATAATTCTGTCCCTAGCCCCTCCACAATCTCATATCTTCACATTTCAAAACCAATCATGCCTTCCCAACAGTCCCCTAAAGTCTCAACTCATTTGAACATTAACTCAAAAGTCCACAGTCCAACATCTCATCCAAGACAAGGCAAGTCCCTTCTGCCTATGAGCCCATAAAATCAAAAGCAAGTTAGTTACCTCCTAGATACAATGCAGGTACAAACATTGGGTAAATACAGCCATTCCAAATTGGAGAAATTGGTCAAAACAAAGGGGCTACAGACCCCATGCAAGTCTGAAATCCAGCAGGGCAGTCAAATCTTAAAACTCCAAAATGATCTGCTTTGACTCCATGTCTCACATCCAGGTCATGCTGATGTGAGAGGGAGGTTCCCATAGTCTTGGGCAGCTCTGCCCCTGTGGCTTTGCAGGGTACAGCTCCCCTCCCAGCTGCCTTCATTGGCTGGTGTTGAGTGTCTATGGCTTTTCCAGGCACATGGTATAAGCTCTTGGTGGATCTACCATTCTGGGGTCTGGAGGACAGTGGCTCTCTTCCTACAGCTCCACTACGAGGTGCCCAAGAGGGACTCTGTGTGGAGGCTCGCATCCCCACATTTCCCTTCTGTACTAGCAGAGGTTCACCATTGGGACACTGCTCCTACAGCAAACTTCTGCCTTGGCATCCAGGCATTTACATATGTCTTCTGAAAACTAGGCAGAAGTTCCTGAATCTCAATTCTTGACTTCCATGCACTCTGCAGGCTCAACCCCACATAGAAGCTGCCAAGGCTTGAGGCTTGCATGCTCTAAAGCCACAGACCAAGCTCTATGTTGGCCCTTTTCAGCCATGGCTAGAGCAGCTGGGATACAGGGCACCAAGTCCCTAGGCTGCACACAGCACAGATATCCTGGGCCCAGCCCATGAAACCATTTTTACTCCTAAGCCTCTGTCCCGTAATGGAAGGGGCTGCCGCAAAGGCCTCTGACATACCCTGGAGATATTTTCCCCATTTTCTTGGTGTTTAACATTCAGCTCCTTTTTACTTATGCAAATTTCTGCAGCCGGCTTGAATTTTTCCTCAGAAAATGAGTTTTTCTTTTCTATTGCATTGTCTGTTTGCAAATTTTCTAATCTTTTGTGCTCTGTTTCTCTTTTGAAACTGAATGCCTTTAACATCACCCAAGTCACCTCTTGAATGCTTTGCTGCATAAAGATTTCTTTGACCGGATACTCTAACTTATGTCTCTCAAGTTGAAAGTTCCACAAATCTTTAGAGTAGGGTCAAAATGCCTCCAGTCTCTTTGCTAAAACATAACAAGAGTCACCTTTGCTCCAGTTCACCACAAGTTCCTCATCTCCATTTGAGATCCACCTCAGCCTGGATTTCATTGTCTATATCACTATCAGCATTTTGGTCAAAGCCATTCAACAAGTCTCTAGGAAGTTCCAAACTTTCACATATTTTCCTGTCTCCCCTCTAAACTGTTCCAACCTCAGCCTGTTACCCAGTTCCAAAGTCGCTTCAACATTTTTGGGTATCTTTTCAGTAACACCCCACTCCTGATACCAATTTACTGTATTAGTCAGTTTTCATCCTGCTTATAAAGACATACTTAAGACTGGCCAATTTACAAAAGAAAGAGGTTTATTGGACTTACAGTTCCACACGGCTGGGAAGGCCTCATAATCATGGCGGAGGGCAAGGAGAAGCAAGTCACATGTTACATGGATGTGTATCAGGCAAAGAGAGAGCTTGTGCAGAGACACTTCTGTTTTTAAAACCATCAGATCTCAGGAGTCCCATTCACTATCACAAGAACAGCATGGGAAAGACCCGCTCCATGAATCAATCATCTCTCACTAAGTCCCTCCCACAACGTGTGGGAATTATGGAAGGTACAAGATGAGATTTGTGGGGGGACACAGAGCCAAACCATATCAATAGTATTTTTGTATATTCTGAATATCTGGATATGGAATGGTTAAGAGATTTGGGAAAAATAATGTAAACAAATATATAGTGGTAAATCCATGATAAATATCTAAATGTTTTGATTCTTATTATATTTATTAATTATTGAAGTGAAACAGAATTGACAAACTCTAAAATAATTATGGCCCAAAGTAGCTGGTTAACTCTATGAGAAAATCTTTAGAGTTTTATTTTTCGTTAGAGTTTTGTCCATAGGAACTAGAATCATACCTTGCCCATAGTATAAATGACATCAAGAACTGTCTGAATTCAAGATGCACTTATATAAAACTATAGCACAAAATGAAACCTGCATCATAGAATGCTTCCCTCCTCTACTTCCACCTCTATACTCAAAGACGTTTATTTTGAAATTTGAATAAAAGGCTTCCTAGAGGATCAGAGCAGAAGCACCATCAGTAATAATGAGTAACACAGTTATTCACTAGTTTCTAAAACGTGCACACAATCTTGTGTCACTAGATAAAAGGTAGAGAGTTTTACTTGTTGACCTTTACATCCTGAAAGGCATTCAGTAATTCACAAATAAAGAGATTTGATTATTTCATACATTTCTGGAGGACAGATGTCACTACCTCAATTGGATGTAATTGGGAGGCTGGTGGAATTGTAAATGTTGCGGTCAAAGAGAAAATGTTTCTGGACTTAGAAGTCCCTTTTCATTCCTTCTGATTAACTCTATTAGAGAAGATGAATATTCCCCAGAGGAACTGACTTACCTCACATTAACCATGGCCTCGATGTTTTTTCTTTTCCTAAATAATCAGATGACCATATATATTAAGAAGTTATTAGTCTGACATTATTTCTCACAAGTAGAAATTATCTTAAATTAATGCAGATAAATATGTTTGCTACATCAATGGAGTTAATAATATGAATGGTATTGTCACGTTGTTTTCCTCCAGATATTTACAAGAACATAAGAAAGTTTGAGTTTCAAATAGTGGTCCACCCAATTGCCTCCCAGGACTTTCCCCAAACACCCACAGAAATATAACTGGATTTACAGCAGATCTAATTGCTGAGATTTTTAAGGAACTTTTTAAAGACATCCACAAATATCTTGGTTACAGCAGAATATATACACAGAATACATTGTTGGCAATTTTCCAATGTGGAAGTTAAATTGTTTGACTTCTTAGAAAAACAATTTCTGTGAAATTTTCAGAACTCATTTGAATTATTTCTCTTATAGGATAGACTCTTTTGAGACTTTTATCATGCCCTTCCTTGGCTGAAGAAAAAGAGATTAAGCCATTGTTTTCTTCATTTATACAACGAGATAGAAATATTATCAGAACTCCCCTGAGATTGCACTTGTTGTGCAAACTTAGATCAGATACCAACAAAGTTGTTTATAGCTTTATAAAAACAAGTCCTTAATGGTTCTTAAGGGATCACTTGAACTTCCTGGCTTAGAAAATTGCCACTTTAATTTTCTTTCAGGACACTTCAGGCTGAAATTTATAATTCTCCTTAAGTCTTAAACATAAGTTACATAATGCTGCCTGCAATTTTTCTAACTAAAAACAACCAGATTCACATGCTCTGAACTTGGAAAATGAATTTGTTATGTGACTTTTGCAGCAAGAGATGCACAGCACTGCATAAACAGTGAGGATTTGGTATATTCCCAAAGTTTTATACTTCATTTGTTGGATTTTACTTTCTATAATTTAATATATGAAATAAAAGGAATTGTAGTGGGTAAATAAAGCCAAGGTCTCTAGAGAAAGAAAATTCTGGATTTTTAATCTGGCTGCACAACTAATGACCTCTATGACTGTGTGTCTCAGTTTGCTTATTTTCAAAATGAGGATCTTCCTTTCACATTGTAGTTTGGATGATTGTGCTTACTGCATATAATGCATTCAACGCAATATGTGTTCAAAAATAAAATATCATAAGGCCTAAAATATCCAAATAATCAAGTTATATTTGTCAGAGTTCTTTCATTCATAGGTCATTTAAATCAAATTCAGAATAGTTTAAACAAACAAAAAAGTAAAAAACACAATAGCTCTCTTCATACCTCACTTGAGTCTTTGTATCTTTTGGCTTTATTCTCAGTAAAGATGTCTCCATATTATAGTAAACTTCTTAGTCATTTGTTCAGGCTTATCTGTTTCTCAGAAATTCTAGAGCACAGAACTCCCCAGTGGCTAGAAAAAATCTGAATAAGAGCTTTGGTTGGCCTTGACTTGAGTCAAGTCTCAAACCTAAACCATCATAAAGGCCAGGAAATGTCTGTTCTCTGATCTGCTTCTTGAGACTCTGTGCTTCACCTTATGTCGGAGAGAATCAGGTAAGCTTCTTTAAACCACACAGTAGAGATTCTGTTACCAGGAGATGGGTAGGGAAGAAAAAAAATCTATTTCTCTATTTATCTATCTATCTCCATTTCTCTGTCTACAAATCCTAGGCTTCTCTTTCAATTGCCATCAGTCATTTTGGGGTCATCAATAATTTAAGAGTTTTAAAAAGGGGTACTGAGAACAAAATATGATCAACTTTGATGCTCTATTGGTAGATAGATGCCACATGTTAAACAAGAAAATATTAAAACACAAAAAAGTACCTAATCACATATTCCATTACCTGTGAGAATGATAATGTCACACAAGTAATGTAGCTTTGGGAAACTTAACTGATAATATGACAGTATAAAGGACAAGATAACAGCTTTTTAAATTAATTTTGTCCTCACGGAAGTCCTAAAAGTGCCTAGCAGAGCCCCAGGGATCTACAGACCACAAGTTCAAAAAGCCTTCTCGAGCCCATCATGCCACCATATATGGAAAACACACAAGAAATCTCTCCCTTCCCTCCATACACACAGCCACTGCTGTGGATAAGTTGGAACAAATTCAACTTATCCACTCTAGCCAACTCTTGCAGTTCTTAATTGTCATAATGCCACTGGGATAATCTTTATAGCCTTCAAATTTAAAAGCCATAGACAGTCGGGTGTGGGGGCTCACACCTGTAATCCCAGCACTTTGGGAGGCCGAGGCGGGCAGATCATGAGGTCAGGAGATCGAGACCATACTGGTTAACATGGTGAAACCCCGTCTCTACTAAAAATACAAAACAAAATTAGCCGGGTGTTGTGGTGGGCGCCTGTAGTCCCAGCTACTCGGGAGGCTGAGGCAGGAGAATGGCGTGAACCCGGGAGGCGGAGCTTGGAGTGAGCGGAGATTGCACCACTGCACTCCAGCCTTGGTGACAGAGCAAGACTCCGTCTCAACAAAATAAATAAATAAATAATAAATAAATGCCATAGACTAATTCAGCATATTTAACTACTTTCTATTTCTGTACATAATGAATCAAACCCACTTTGTATTATATAAATTTTTTTTTTTACTGTTTGGGCATTGCCTCTTCTTTCATGTCTTCACTGCATTCTATATTTGAATAACACTAAAGAACATGATCAGAAAAATGCTCTCAAGGAACTTTACTTGAAACAATGCTCTGGCATCTCCTATAATTCGTTTCACTATTTCTCACCATAAAGTTCACTCTAACAAAACTTTTCAATTTATACTATTTTATTCGTATCCAGAAAGCAGGCTTACTCACAATTTATATGTGCCCCTTGATACTTTCAACATGGATTCAAACTCCCAATTAAACTTAAAAAAAATCAGAGGAATAAACTCAAAGGATACTTGTCTTGAAGATTGCCCTAGAACTCTGCAAACGACTACCCAATTTGGGATCACTAATTAAATGTGAAATATATGCATGTCTATTTGGATGATCAGGATTGTACTGTAGGGCCTCACTTGCAAATCCAATTCTGCATAATTTCTTTTAAATTTCATATTAAGAGAAACAATTCTATTTTTAGATTTGTGTCATAAATGTTAATACTTTTATTACCATATTTCAATGGAAATGTTTATGATTATTTGAGTCTGCATCTGGACACAAAAATCTATGAGTTTATAAATGGAATATGTGCTATAAAATTTCTTATACTTGTAAACATTTGCATTATGTCTTATATAATTCAAGTGCTTTGTAATAAATTATATGACATAGTCTTTAAATGTACCTGATGAAACATATAATACTTACAGAAATGTCTATTTGAAAGTTTTTCTTACAAATCAATGTCAATTAGAAGGCAAATTTATTTATCCATTTATTTATTTTATTTTATTTTTTTGAGACAAGGTTCTCCTCTGTCATCCAGGCTGGAATGCAGTGACATGATCACAGCTCATTACATCCTCTACCTCCTAGGCTCAAGTGATCCTCCTACCTCATCCTCCCAAGTAGCTGGGTCTACAGGCATGTGCCACAATGCCCAGCTAAATTTTGTATTTTTGGTAAAGACAGGGTTTTGCCGTGTTGCCTAGGCTGGTCTTGAATTCCTGGGCTCAAGCTATCTTCCTGTCTCTGCTTCCCAAAGTGCTGAGATTATAAGCATAAGCCACTGTCCTTGGACCAAAAAAAAAAATTAATTTCTGATTGTTGTGATAATTAAAGGAGCTACGTATATATAAAGCACTCAGAAAAGTGCCTCAAACTTGAGTAGTGCATATGTCAGCTGCTATTATTAAAGTAAATATTGGAACAATTTTAGGATTATTAATTACTTGAAAAAATAATAAACATACTATATTTTACTTGAATTTTTCTAAGAGTATAATTCAAACAAATTAGGTACATTAGTACTTAAAATAGATAATAAGTGGAGGCATGGAAACATTTTAAGAATCACATATTGGGCCGGGCGCAGTGGCTCATGCCTGTAATCCCACCACTTTGGGAGGCTGAGGCGGGTGGACCATGAGGTCAGGAGCTGGAGACCATCCTGGCTAACACTGTGAAACCCTGTCTCTACTAAAATTACATAAAAATTAACCTGGTGTAGTGGCAGGCACCTGTAGTCCCAGCTACTCGGGAGGCTGAGCCGGAGAATGGTGTGAACCCAGGAGGCAGAGCTTGCAGTGAGCAGAGATCGCACCACTGCCCTCCAGCCAGGGCAACAGAGTGAGACTCCATCAAAAAAAAAAAGAATTACATAGTTTACACATTGAACTTTGTGGTATAAAACTTGTACCATTCACAGGGCAGAACTCGTCTGGAATGTTTAAGAATCCTTAAAGAGGTTGCGCGCGGTGGCTCACGCCTGTAGTCCCAGCACTTTGGAAGGCCAAGGTGGGTGGATCACAATGTCAGCAGTTCAAGACCAGCCTGGCCAAGATGGTGAACACTGTCTCTACCAAAAATACAAAAATTAGCTGGGCGTGGTGGTGTGCACCTGAAATCCCAGTTACTTGGGAGGCTGAGGCAGGATTATCGCTTGAACCTAGGAGGCTGAGGTTGCAGTGAGCCGAGATTGTGCCACTGTACTCCAGCCTGAGTGACAGAGCAAGACTCTGTTGGAAAGAAAAAAAAAAAAGATTACATTAGGCAAGTTACTTAGTCTTAGTAAGCATGTTTTCTCACAGGTAAACTTGTAGCATAATGTACATTGCTGGCATAATACCATGACTCTTGTGTTGCACAACTCCAAAAGCCGAGACAGGAGAATCTCTTGAACCCAGGAGGCAGAGGCTGCAGTGAGCTGAGATTGTGCCACTGCACTCCAGCCTGGGTAACAGAAGGAGAATTCCATCTCAAAAAAAAAGAATCCTTAAAGACTTTTGGGTGCAGTGGCTCAAGCCTGTAATCCTAGCACTTTGGAGGCCTAGGAGGGCGGATCACCTGAGGTCAGGAGTTTGAGACCAGCCTGGTCAACATGGCGAAACCACGTGTCTACTAAAAATACAAAAATTAGCTGGGGCTGGTGGTGCACATCTGTAATCCCAGCTACTCAGAAGACTGAGACACGAGAATTGCTTGAACCCAGGAAGTAGAGGTTGCAGTGAGCCAAGATAGTGCCACTGCACTCCAGCCTGGGTGACAGAGCGGGACTCTGCCTCAAAAAAAAAAAAAAAATAGAATTTTTAAAGAAAGGATATGACTACCATACCATGGAGTGGAACAACAGTAGGTAGAAATTCTGTAGCCTAGGATGGTTTCAGGAACATTGATGAACTGTAGTTAAAACAGACTTAGAAAAAACTGTAATAGAAAATTTAACATTTTTGTAATAAAGGATAATTGGCAGAAAAACAATAAACTGCCTTGTTGGTTTGCTAATAACTGTATATGTCAAGAGAAAGTATTAATAAGTAAGGGGCATTTGAGAAATGTTTAATAAGTTTATTTCAGAAATTGAAATTCTAAAGATTAAAAAAATTATAATTATCTTGGAGATGAAGGGGAAGTGGTAGGTCCTATAATTTGCAAAAATTATATGTTCCAGAACAATTATTGAGGAAATGAGAGATTGTGCCTTTCCTCTATCAGGCCTGGGAAAGTTATGCCTGATGTTGGCAAATTCTGGTGCTGGAAGAAGTGGAGGCTATCTAAGATATTGTTGAGAACCTTGAAGGGTCTTTAAATTTTACCCTTTTTGCAAGCTAGCATGCAAACCTGTGACAAATTTGCGAATGCTGGTAGAAGATATGAGGCTCCTTGGTTAGAAACAAAGGACTTTATTACTCGCGATCGCATTAGCCATAGTAGCAGCATTGTCTTGCACAGTTCACCCAACCTTAATTTTTAAAAAGTAAGGTGAAGGGGACCATGTGACAATTGCACACACAGTAGACTGCTTTAGGAAAAGGAATCTTTTTATAATGGGCAGTAAATATGCATATCCACTTCCCCAGAAAGAGACATTATCTCTATATTCCATGGCTGTTTACTCTAAAAATGTCCTTGAAGAAGTAGCTAGGAACAGGGTGGTCAGTGCCTCTATTTGTAACACATATATGAGACACCCATAAGGATTTGTCTTTCAACAGACAGATGCTACTATTCTCATCTCAATACCGAAATGCTAGGATATAATATCTTAAAAATATTTTCAACCCAGAATTCAAATTCCAACAAAACCAAGAAAATCTAATGTGAAGGTAGAATAAACAGGTTTCTTTTTCAGTGATGAATAAAAGCACAAACTTACTTCTAATATACAAATTCTTAAGATTTTGCATAATAATATGCACCATTAAAGCCAGACAGTAAACAGAAAAAAAAAGCATGGAATCCAAAAAACAATGTGTACAAATCAGGGAAGTAAGTCAGGACCAGGAGTACAGCCACACAGGAGCACAGGCCTGAGGAACTGATATTTTGTTCTTTTCAGTGAAAAGGAGGACAGAGAAAGGAAACTTAAAAGAACATTAAAAAAAAGTCATGTTAAAACTTTAGAGAATTACACAAATTTGTGAGAAGAAAAAATACGCTTTCATTAACTGAACTCTATCTATGAAAACATGCAAAATTATAAAAAATAACATGCAATCATAACATACTATTTGATCCTGCATTAATGTTTACACAGTCATAAAGAGTTTATTAATTTAGTATATGTATATATACTAGTATATGTATATGTGTATATATACTCATATATATGTATATTATATATATACTCAGTATATTTATATACTGAGCTAAACTAATATATAATATTTATATATATATACTGAGTTATATTTATCAACTGTGAGCAGATAGCTAGAGGTGACTTAGGAGCTTAATCATCAACTATCATTACAGAAAGCAAGTAATTGATGTTTAAAACTGACATATCAAAAGCAGTATAAATACATCATCTAAGAATAAAGAAATAGGTGCCCCCAAAACCTTAACAATTTGGAATTAATTGCATTTTGAAAGTAAGTATGGGGGTTTGGCAGGTACATGTAGATATAGGTACAATACAGGTGAGGCAGTTAGAGATAAAGGTAATAGGTATAGAAATGATATGGATGTTTACATGGACATGAATCTGTATGTGGACATGTTTGTGGAAAAGTCCATATATACATATGTGTATGTGTGGCTGTGCCAGTGAATGTTTTGCAGATTTCGATTGTTTTTATAATGCTATCTATTTTCTTAAGAGGATCTCATTTTTTTCAATATTTTGTGTGATTAGCCTATTACGTTTTATGTTTTATCTGGCCTGAGAATGTATGTTCCCTGAGGGCAGATCTTTGAAATGCCTTAAGCACACAGAATACAGTAGACATGAAATGAGTACTTGTAGAATCACTAAATCCAGCAACCAAGACAGATAAAATGGTAGGTAATATATTATATGGAAGGTTACTCATATTTGGAGTTTTTTGTTTTATTTTATTTTATTTTATTTTGAGACGAGTCTCGCTCTGTCACCAGGCTGGAGTGCAGTGGTGAGATCTCGGCTCACTGCAACCTCTGCCTCCTGGGTTCAAGCGATTCTCCTGTCTCAGCCTCCTGAGGTACTGGGACTACAGGTGTGCACCACCATGCCTAGCTAATTTTTGTATTTTTAGTAGACGGGGGTTTCACCATGTTGGCCAGGATGGACTTGATCTCTTGACCTCCTGATCCGCCCACCTCGGCCTCCCAAAGTGCTGGGATTACAGGTACGAGCCACCATGCCCGGCCTCATATTTGGAGTTTTTAAGAAATACAAATGTCCTCCAGCCCTGTTTTTAGCCACATTAAACAAGGCATCTGCGTGTATGTTTGAAAATTTCTCCAGGTGAATCTGATGTATATTAGATTGTCTGTAACACAATAGATAATATAAACATTAAATGATCATCACTAAGTCATCAGTAATAGAATGATACTTAAATAGTAAGCCTAAGGGGAACACTCAAGAAAGAAACAAAAAATTCAAAAAGTTACTACTTGGTAAATCAAAATGTTCTTTTGGAACAGAAAAAATAAATTGTGAGATGCTAATAACTGATTAAAAACATTTTAGCTTTCAGCATATGTATTCTTGAATGATCTTTCTTCAGTAGGAGCAAGCCATCATTAAACCTAAAGAATACAAGGTAATAATAAAGTTTCTAAGATGTGATGACACAGATATTCATTAACGACCTGTAGAAAATTGTGCTTATGACAGTGCTTGTGATGGTGATAATAAATGAATGTCATCAAGTGGCACCTAATTAGCATGATTAACCAACTTTAGCACTCACCAGAGAATTCATTGAATCAATGTGCTCCCTTGTATACATAGAAAATGTTTTTCATTTGCGATCAGTGCCGTGCCTCTAAAGCACCTTTCATAGAGCTCTTTCCTTGTTTTTACTCTTACATATCTGACCAGTCTGCTATCAGGCAGCTTGCCTGTATAAGCATGAATGACCTTGGAAATTATGTGGCACCCTGCAAAGAATTTGACAGGACTCGTCACAGTGAATTTGATGAGACTGAATATCAGGAGCTCTAACATAGTCTGAAACTCAAGCCATATTCACTTTCCCTTAAATAGCCTTAGACACTTAAATGAACTTGAAGATTCTAGAGTGAATACATGTGAAAGTGAATGCATATATCACATCCCTAGAAAAATTTCTTTGTGGAAAAAGGTCACCAGTTGTAAATTAAAACTTAGGCTAAATATTCATTAATAACAAGTACATCTTAAATCTCATTATATTGGCATTTATAGAAGCAACATTGCATAATAAATAAGGGTAATTTATGTGCATCAAATTTAATAAAATTATGTGATAGTATTCTGCAAATGATGAAGAGTTACATAGTCATATGTGTCTCTCAAGTGTATCATAAGTTCAATATCAAGCTTATTTATGCACCTAAATTTCACAAAGACAAGTTTTCAAAATTTGCATGTCTTTAATCTCAACATTTTTATTCAAAAATATTTCTTTTTTGGTAAAGTTGTTACATTATTTATTTAACAAAGGAATGTATTTAAAAAATTAAATTAGAATCTGTAACTATTAGCAGAAGTTGAACCTAGGGAAAGAAAATAAGACAATGATTTTGGTCTTTTAGAAGCCATGTGCCATGTATGCTCACGTTCTTCAGTTAGAAAATTAAAATTTAAGTCTCTTTGTTGCCAGGGTTATTTATGAGAGTCAATTAGCCATGGATACACACCTTTAAATTTTTTAATTGTTAAGTAAAATAATTTATTTTGTGAGATAAAAAATAAGTTTGTCACGCCTGTAATCCCAGCACTTTGGGAGGCCGAGACGGGCGGATCACAAGGTCAGGAGATCGAGACCGTCCTGTCTAACATGGTGAAACCTCGCCTCTACTAAAAATACAAAAAATTAGCCGGGCGTGGTGGCGGGCACCTGTAGTCCCAGCTACACGGGAGGCTAAGGCAGGAGGATGGTGTGAACCCGGGAGGCAGAGCTTGCAGTGAGCCAAGATCGCACCACTGCACTCCAGCCTAGGGGACAGAGTGAGACTCCGACTCAAAAAAAAAAAAAAAAAGTTTGAATATAGTACTCTACTGAGTTCAGTGTTGGGCAAGTGAAGCCTGATTATATGTAAGCTCTGCCCTTGATACAATCATTTTTGTTTTCTGAATTTAAATTTCATTCCTCTCCAGGGAACGTTCATGTTACAGAAGATTGAAATTTTGCTCTCCCAAATGTTAAAAATATTTTGACCTCAAAAAGAAGACAGCATATCTGAATGGAAAGAGCCAGAGAATTAGAGTAGAACAACTTCACAAGTTGTGTCTATACAATATGTGACTCAACTTCTCAACCTATAATTTGAGAAGAATAACGTTTATAATCAAAAGTTTTCTTTAATTAAAAATTAAATGAAATAAACATGGAGGCCACCTGTCTTATTATGGAGGTGCCTGTCATCATAAATGATGACCGAGCCTGAATTCTCTCTGTTTCTTAACTACATACATACATACATTTAGTTATTTGCAACAAAAACATCTGGCTTGACCTCTTCAAATTAGACTTTGCTTTCCATGTTAGGCTTTTAAAACTAGTTATAAACACAATAAGAACACTTATTTGGTTAAGTCAAGGGATAGATTCTAAAGCTCTAGGATCAGAACTAGCTACATCTGGCGGTTACTAATGTTCTAATTCATTCCCTATGTAGTCTAGTTGTTTATTATTCTTTCTGAAATATGACCAGTGGTTTTCAAAATATCCCTGTTATTATTCCTTTTCTGTTAAGCTCCTCTGGTTAATTAGATGATTTTCCAATTTTCTCAGTGATACTAAAGTGATAAGATTGCTTTAGGGTTTCTAAGATTTTTTTCAGAAGGACTAAAACTATGTAAATCAATAAGACTAGTAAGATGATACTTCAGGCACAATGTCCAATATATGTGAGCCATATATGTAAATTATCTAGTATTCATATTTAAAAAGTAAAAAGAATTATGTGATAGCAATATTAAAATATTTTATTTAATCTCATATGTAAATTTATTATAATTTAACCATAAAATCCATTCGAAGTTTATTAAAAGGTTTACTTTACCCTATTCTTTGAAATCTAGTATTTTACCATTGCAATAGTTCTTAACTGAGACTAGCCACATTTCTGATACTCAAAAAACACCTGTGGCTAGTAGATACCACAGTGCTAATTTATTGCTGATGATAAAATATCTGAGATGCTATGGCTTTCAGTTTATTTTATCTTCTTTGTATTGATTTATTTTAGTGGTAGTGCACTGAAATATGTGATTACATGGCATACATATATATATATATACATATATATATATATATGTATATATATATATATATATATATACAGAAATTCTCTGGGGATTAGAGGCATAGCTAGGTTTCATTAACTACTATCTTGAAGGAACATTTAAATATCATTACTTAGATATGCCAATTGTATAGCTTTATTATTTTATATTTTAATGAATCTTGAATTATTGAGCTTAAGTTGAGTTAGAGAAGTGTGACAAAATCTTGAGATAATTACAAGAGATGTGATAGTTTCCACATTTCTTTTAATTATGGCCTTATTGGATCCTAGCACAAGTGTAAGGCAATGGAGTATACCGTTTCTTATGATTTTCATTTTAAAAATACACGAGGCCTCCATTCATATGGTTATAGGTACCATGGCCTTATATTAGCCTGGGTCAATGAAACTCTTTGACTCAAGAGTTCCTTTCCAGGGAACATTCATGTTATGGAAGATTGAAAGTTTGTTCTCCCAAATATGGAAAATATTTTGCCCCCAAGAAGAAGACAACATATCTGAATGAAAAGAGCCAGAGAATTAGAGTAGAGCAATTTCACAAGTTGTTTGCTCTATACAATATGTGATGCAACTTCTCAACCTATAATTTGAAAAGAATAACGTTTATTATCAAAAGTTTAAAGTTTATTAACTTAAAAGTCCAAGTCCAACATATGAAGTAAATCCTTCACATTTAAAGTTAATTGACTCATATAGTTTTTATCCTACTTGACTTACTACTTGGCTCCTCTGTTCTTGATAAAATGCTCTTCTTGGCTTTTGTGGTACTATGTTGCCTTTCTTCTTAGGTCTCTGATGTTTCTTTGGTATTTTTTATACTTGCTCCTTTTTTTCTGACCTTAAATATTAGTATAAAGTTAATCACCTTTCTTTTTTTCATTTAAAAGTTTTGGGTAATGATTTATTTTCAGGCTTCAACAATACCAATATCTGTATTTCCAATTAAAACTCGAAAATGCATACTCATATATTCAAATGCCCAATGGAGAGCTCGACTTTAATACCTTGCTGGTTCTTAAATATAAATGTGATTAAAACTTTCACCATCATTCCTTACCTCAGTCAATAACATGACCCTCTCTGTTTCTGTGAGTTGCCCATACTGGAAACCTATAAATCATTTTTGACTCATTTTGACTCTTTCCTGGAAACCATATATTCACATGCCAAGCTCAATAAAATCAGATATTGAGCCTCATAATTACCAGTTATAGACATCAGATTTTTCCACCCATCTTGCTACATTTTTCCAGCAGTATTCTCTTTCTCCACGTAAACTATTTCAAACATGTCTTATTAACTGGCCTTTTACTTCTAGGCTATCCTATATGATCTTCTTGTCTTCCATTTTGATGATCTCCTGTCCATTCTCCAGAATTCAGGCATAATTGGAAAACTAAATGCAAATGTGGTTATGACATTCTCTTTACCTGCATAACACCAATAGTTGGGATTCAACCTCAATGCCACTTCTTTCATTAATTGAAGGGCCTGAGCTTCAATTTATTTTACTAAAGCATTAGTAACAATCTAAGTTGTATTATGTATTCTTTCCAGAGAAAGCAGAGAGATAGAGTGATGTTATTTCATTATTTCCCTCTGTATTAGTTTATTGTCACACTGCTATAAAGAACTACATGAGACTGGAAAATTTATGAAGAAAAGAGGTTTAATTGACTCACCTTTTATACAGTTCTGTAGGCTATATAAGAATCATGGCTGAGAGGCCTCAGGAAACTTACAATCATGGCAGAAGGTGAAAGGGAAGCAAACACATCTTCACGTGGTGGCAGGAAAGAGAGTGAGAAGGGGGAAGCACTACACACTTTTGAAATGACCAGATCTCATGAGAACTCATTCATTATCACAAGCACAGCAATGGGGAAGTCTTCCCCCATGATTGAATCACCTCCCACCTTGCCCCTCATCCAACACATGGGGATTACAATTTGACATGAGATTTGGATGGGGACATAGAGCCAAACTGTATCAGTCCAACAATGGCCCCTCCCAAATCACATGTCCTCCCCAAATTTCAAAACACAATCATGCCTTCCCCAAACCCCCTCAAAGTATTAACTCATTTCAACATTAACTGAAAAGTCCAAGTCCAAAGTGTCATCTGAGACAAGGCAAATCCTTTCACCTATGAGCCTGTGAAATCAAAACCAAATAAGTTATTTCCAAGATACAATAGGGTTACAGATATTGGGTGAATGCTCCCATTCCAAAAGGCAGAAATTGGCCAAAACCAAGCGATTACAGGCCCTATGCAAGTCTGAAACCCAGCAGGGCAGTCATTACATCTTAAAGCTCCCAAATGCTTTTCTTTGACTCCATGTCTCAAATTCAAGCCATACTGATGCAAGGGTTGGGCTTCCAAGGCCTTCGGTAGCTTGGCCTCTGTGGCTCTGCAGGGTACAGCTCCAGCTGCTGCTTTCATAAGCTAGCATTGAGTGTCTGTGGCTTTTCTAGGTGCATGGTGCAAGCTGTAGGTTTATATACCATTCTGGGGTCTGGAGGATGGTGGCTGTCTTCTTACATCTCCACTAGGCAGTGCCCCAGTGGGGACTCTGTGGGGGCTCCAAGTCCACATTTCCTCACGCACTGTCCTAATAGAGGTTCTCCATGAAAGCTATACCCCTGCAGCAGACTTCTGCCTTGACCTCTAAGCATTTCCATATATCCTCTGAAATCTAGGCAGAGGCTTGCAAACCTCAGCTTTTGCCTTCTGCTAACCCACAAGCCAAACACCACGAGGAAGCCACCATGACTTGGGGCTTGCACCCTCTGAAGCAACAGCCCAAGCTATAAGTTGGCCCCTTTTAGCCATGGCTGGAATTTGAGTAGCTGGGACACAGGGCACCATGTCCCAAAGCTGCACAGAGCACTGGGGCTCTAGACTTGGGCCACAAAACTATTTTTTCCCTCCTATGCTGCCAGGCCTGTGATGGGAAGGGCTGTCCTAAAGGTCTTTGAAATGCCTTGAAGGCATTTTCCCCATTGTCTTGGCTGTTAACATTCAGCTCTTCTTTCTTTATGCAAATTTCTGCAGCCTTGAAGTCCTCCCCAGAAAATGGATTTTTCTTTTTTACCACAAGGTGGAGCTGCAAATGTTCCAAAACTTTATGCTCTGCTTCTGTTATAAATATAAGCTCTAGTTTCAGGTCATTTCTTTGTTTATGCAAATGAGCTAGGCATTTAGAAGAAACCAGGCCTCCTCTTGAATGGTTTAATGCTTAGACATTTCTTCCACCAGATACCCTAAATCGTCTCTTTCAAGTTCAAATTTCAACAGATTCATAGAGAAAGGGAACAATATCACTAGTCTCTTTGTTATGTCACCCAGCTGGAGTGCAATGGCATGGTCTGGGCTCACTACAACCTCCACCTCCTGGGTTCAAGTGATTCTCTTGCCTCAGCCTCCTGAGTAGCTAGAATTACAGGCGCCTGCCACCACGCCCAGCTAATTTTTGTATTTTTAGTAGAGATGGGGTTTCACCATGTTTGCCAGGCTGGTCTCGAACTGCTGACCTCGTGATCTGCCCGCTTCGGCCTCCCAAAGTGCTAGGATTACAGGTGTGAACCACTGCGTCTGGCCAAGAAAATCTATTAAGTAGAAAGATGCTGCCAATATGTTATTCCCTGTGAATGCCTTGGAACTGTGGACATTAACTCTTCTGATCCCAAACTTTTGGACTCTTAACACCAGAAACATATAGCAGTTTTCTTATTTAAAGTATAGACCCAGCTGGGCACAGTGGCTCACGCCTGTAATTCTAGCACTTAGGGAGGCCGAGGTGGGTGGATCACATGAGGTCAGGAGTTTGAGACCAGCCTGGCCAACATGGCGAAACCCGTGTCTACTAAAAATACAAAAATTAGCTGAGCATGGTGGCAGGCACCTGTAGTCCCAGCTACTCGGGAGGCTGACCCAGGGGAATCGCTTGAACCCAGGAGACAGAGGTTGCAGTGAGCCGAGATCGCACCACTGCACTCCAGCCTGGGCAACAGAGTGAGACCTTGTCTAAAAAAAAAATATTAAAAAATTAATTTTAGACCTGTAAGTAAAGACCAATATTTTATAAAGGTGAATGACTTGTAGCTTTTTATTTTTATTTTTTAATGATATTGCCGCTATTGGGCCACTGTGGGTCTTCTACTTCTCCAAGTATTTCTGAAAATGGAGGAAGGATAAAGGGAAAATACCCATCCAAAATGTTTCGAGGCAAATGCTAAGTGCCTCTCAGCATTTCAGGTCCAACTGCTTTTTCCACTGCTCACCAATTGAGGTTTCTGTGGAATTTACACCTCAGATGGACATAAACCAGTCTGCGGGGTGCTTGGATGACAACTGTACTCAGGATGAAATGTAGGTACCTTACTGAAGGGGGCCAGCCCCTCCACACCTGTGGGTGTTTCTCGTCAGGTGGAACAAGAGACTGAGAAAAGAAAGAGACACAGAGACAAAATATAGAGAAAGAAAAGTGGGCCCAAGGGACCGGCGCTCAGCATACGGAGGACGCGAGCTGGCACTGAGACCTAAGTTCCCTCAGTATTTATTGATCATTATCTCTACCATCTTGGAGAGGGGATGTGGCAGGACAATAGGGTAATAGTGGGGAGAGGGTCAGCAGGAAAACATGTGAACTCTGTGTCATAAACAAGGTAAAGAAAAGGTGCTGTGCCTTGATGTGCATGTATACAAACATCTCGGTGCATTAAAGAGCAGTATTGCTGGTGCATTAAAGAGCAGTATTGCCACCAGCATGTCTCACCTCCAGCCCTAAGGTGGTTTTCTCCTACCTCAGTAAATGGAACATACAATCAGGTTTTACACTGAGACATTCCATTGCCCAGGGACGAGCAGGAGACAAATGCCTTCCTCTTATCTCAACTGCAAAGAGGCCTTCCTCTTTTACTAATCCTCCTCAGCACAGACCCTTTACAGGTGTCGGGCTGGGGGATGTTCAGGTCTTTCCCTTCCCACCAGGCCATATCTCAGGCTATCACATGGGGAGAAAGCTTGGACAATTCCTGGCTTCCCTAGGCAGAGGTCCCTGTGGCCTTCCGCAGTGTGTTGTGTCCCTGGGTACTTGAGATTAGAGAGTGGTGATGACTTTTACAATCATAGTGCCTTCAAGCACTTGTTTAACAAAGCACATCCTACATAGCCCTAAATCCATTAAACCTTGAGTCAACACAGCACCTGTCTCTGTGAGCACAGGGTTGGGGCTAGGGTTACAGATTAACAGCATCTCAAGACAGAAGAATTTTTCTTAGTGCAGAACAAAATGGAGTCTCTTATGTCTACTTCTTTCTACATAGACACAGTAACAGTCTGAGCTCTCTTTCTTTTCCCCACACCTGACCTAATGCAATCGCTGGCCTTAAACTGATGCATTTAAGAAAGATGTTTCAATTACCAGCCTTGACAAGAGCTTTTCTCCTGATTAAATTTACACAATAACTAAGAAAAGAGAACAGTGAGGAGGAACTTAGCCTAGGGTGACTCTCTAGCCCCTCAGCCTTCCCCAACCATTCCTCCTAAAGAGGCCCCAGCTTCCAGATCTCAGGCATCCCCCAGTCCCCTGAAGGTTAACGATGCTGTTTCCCGCTGAACCAGCCAGAAACAACTAACATGAAAGTGGATTTATTTTTACCCCAGGCTTTGTCATCTATCATTACTGAAAAACTAAGAGACAGATTTTGGCTGAACAGCCTATGGAATATTCAAGATCTCCATGCAGACTTTGGCTCTCCATCTGCAGCAATTCATCTTATTTGGAGTGGCCTTCTCCTCCATGCCAATGTTCCTCATTAGCAAGGATATCTGTCATCATGCAGCACCACTGACATAATAGCTTCCGTGGTGGAAGCAAGTTGTTGGTACCTTGGATGACATGGTCTATTTAACCAAAGACTGGGGAACAAATTTAAGCATGTCTTGCAGAATTTCTCGGCACACAGACTTCACCAGCAAAAACTTATCTATTGAGGGACATTCTCCCTGGATTTAATACTTAAGTATTCCACATGGTAAGGGTATCTTTTGCTGGTTTGCAAGATGGAAATGACAGAGCCTGCTGATTTCATGCCTTCTGTAACCATGAGACCCAGATGGGCACTGCATTGGTGATTCTCCATTACCTTCCATATCACGTTCAAACTATTCATTCTAGGTTTCCAGACTTCCTTGTTCATGGAACTGTGCATGCATTTCCTTTCTCATCTTGTTTCCCAGTCAAGCAAACTTGATTTGAGCCCTTCAAAGTCAATCCAGGCCAGGCGCGGTGGCTCATGCCTGTAATCCTAGCACTTTGGGAGGCTGAGGCAGGTGGATTGCCTAAGGTCAGGAGTTTGAGACCAGCCTGTCCAATATGGTGAAACCCCATCTCTACTAAAACTACAAAAAAATTAGCCAGGCGTGGTGACATGTGCCTGTAATCCCAGCTACTTGGGAGGCTGAGACAGGAGAATTGCTTGAACCTGGGAGGCAGAGGTTGGTTGCAGTGAGCCAAGATCATGCCACTGCACTCCAGCTGGGCAACAGAGTGAGACTTCCTCTAAAAAAATAAAAGTCAAATCAGAGGGATTTACAAGCTAGTTCCTGGGTGGCCCATATGGTGCTAGACCCAGGCCCTGTCCCTCTGTCTCCTATTTCCATATTTAATTTAAAGCTCCCTCCCGTGACTTTTTTTTTCCAAGTGCCAAACTACTACCCATCCTTTTAAAACCCAGCAAATACTTCTTTCAGGATAGCGTGGTTTTTTTTCTTTCCAACTTTTATTTTAGGCTGAGGTGGTACATGTGCAGGTTTGTCACATGGCTAAGTTGCATGTTCTAAGGGTTTGGTGTACAGATAATTTTGTCACCCAGGTAA
Source organism: Homo sapiens (assembly GCF_000001405.40). Taxonomy (NCBI): domain Eukaryota; kingdom Metazoa; phylum Chordata; class Mammalia; order Primates; family Hominidae; genus Homo; species Homo sapiens. Next base: position 37,491,807 of record NC_000010.11, on the reverse strand, counting down.
TCAGCATAATATGTGGTAGGTAGTTTTCTTCATCGTTGTTGTTGTTGTTTGAGACAGAGTCTCATTCTGTTGTCCAGGCTGGAGTGCAGTGACACAATCTCAGCTTACTACAACCTCTGCCTGCCAGGTTCAAGTGATTCTCCTGCCTCAGCCTCCTGAGTAGCTGAGATTACAGGTGCCCACCACCACACCTGGCTAATTTTTGTATTTTTAGTACAGACAGGGTTTCACCATGTTGGTAAGGCTGGTCTCAAGCTCCTGACCTCATGATCCACCCACCTTGTCCTCCCAAAGTGCTGGGATTACAGGCATGAGCCACCGCACCTGGCCTAATTTTTGTATTTTTTTTTTTTAGTAGACATGGGGTTTTGCTATGTTGGCCAGGCTGGTCTCGAACTTCTAGCCTTAAATGATCCACCCATCTTGGCCTCCCAAATTGCTAGGATTACAGGCATGAACCACCATGCCAGCCTGATACGTAGTTTTTTAATCTTCACCCTCTCCCTACCCTCCACCCTCCAGTGGGCCCTGCTGTCTGTTGTTCCCTTTTTATCCATCTGTACTCAATGTTTAGCTCCCACTTATGAGTGAGAACATACAGTATTTGCTTTTATTTTTATTTGAGATGGAGTCTCACTCTGTGGCCCAGGGTAGAGTGCAGTGGTGCAATCTCAGCTCACTATAACCTCCGCTTCCCAGGTTCAAGCGATTCTCCTGACGCAGACTCCTGAGTAGCTGGGATTACAGGCATGCACCACCTACCCGCTAATTTTTATATTTTTATAAATAGAGATGGGGTTTTGCTATGTTGGCCAGGCTGGTCTTGAACTCCTGACCTCAAGTGATCCACCCACCTTGGCCTCCCAAAATGCTGGGATTACAGGTGTGAGCCACCACGTCTGGCCAGTATTTGGTTTTCCGTTCCTGTGTTATTAACTTAGGATAGTGCCCTCCAGCTCCATTCATGTTGCTGCAAAAGACATGATTTTGTTCTTTTTATGGCTGCATAGTACTCCATGGTGCATATGTTCCAGATTTTCTTTATCCAGTCCACCATTGGTGGGCATCTAGGTTGATTCCATGTCTTTGCTTTTGTGAATAGTACTGCGATGAACCTATGAGTGCATTTGTCTTTATGGTATAACAATTTATATCAGGATAGGTTTTGACAGCTGGAGAAATTGAGGCATCAGAACTTGCCCAAGATCACATGGCTCATCAGAAAAGAGTGGAGCCTGCAATAAGGTTGCATCTGAAAGCAAAACCCACTGTGCTGTCCTGCTCCGCAGAATGTCATTGAGAGGAAGACTGTGATGAGTCATTTTATGTGTTAACTTGACCGCACCATGGGGTCACGGTGAAGTAGAAAACCCTCTCTAGTGTGGGAGGGCATTGAACAATCCATTGAGGGCTTGAATAGAGCAAACAGATGGAGGAAAGAGGAATTTGCTCCTTTTTCCCTTCCTGCCTGATTGTTGGAGTTGGGACATCCAATTTCTCCTGCCCTGAGGTCAGAAGATCGTGACCAGCCTGGCCAACATAGTGAAACCCCATCTGTACTAAAAATACAAAAACTAGCCAGGTGCGGTGGCATGTGCCTGCAGTCCCAGCAACATGGGAGGCTGAGGCACAAGAATAGCTTGAATCTGGGAGTTTGAGGTTGCAGTGAGCCGAGATTGCACCACTGCACTCCAGCCTGGGCAACAACAACAACAACAAAACCCTGGAAAAAGTTATAGGTCTGTATTTATCACGACTTGGTCCTGAGAGTGGCACTGGGGATAGAGGTCACATCCAGAGTTTCTGTTCTGCTGCTACTAGTGTGGGAAAGCCCAATGTTCATTGATACCATACAGATGTGAAGCCTTTTCCCTTCAGCTGTCTGCCTTCTGCTGAGAAAGGAGGGAAGCCAGAAGCAGGTTTCCCCACCTCTCCCATTTGCACTGACCCTGCACAGGCTTACACATGACAGTGTTAATCCTGCCATTTCCCTAAGGGGTTTAAGTCACTAGGCAATTAAAACCCAAGATCTGGGTGTATGGTTCCAAATGTGAATCAGGGCAGCCTTCATGACGCCCAGTTATTAGTCAGAAATCCAGCATTGTTATGGAATCCCTGAGGTTTCTTCAAGATGAAACTTGCATTTCTAAGCACAAAGCTTCAATTTCTTCTTCATTACCCTACCAACCTATTTCCCATGAAGTAAGTAAGCACGATGTCATCATTCTATCCCAAACCTTCCTACAGCTCCCTGGCAGAAGATTAGCAGGTTTTTCTCTCTGTAGTTCCTCTGACTCAGATCTCTCCTCTCCCGCTGGTAGCGGGTTTTTCTCTCTGTATTTCCTCTGATTCAGATCTCTCCTCTCCCCCTGGTTGCCTTGAGGAGGCCGAGGTTCTAGGTTTTCTGGTTTCAAAATAAATTGGCAGAAATCGGAAATGACGCCAATACTGCCCTCCTGCCTGCAGGCAGCTGGTCCCAGTGGGAGGTCTCTTAGCAATCAGGCTCAAATCAAATATTTGGGTGTCTGGAAACATTCTGATTGGAATGAGATCATAAACAAAAACTTCTCTCTTTCCCTCCCCAGTTAACCAAGCCACTGGGTTGCTGCCCTGCACCAGGGAGATCTGTGACTCATGCAGAACCTTCAGTTACAGGCAGGCCCCACAATGAGGCATCACAATCCCAGACAGCCAGGCCAGAGAGCCACTTCTATTTCTGTATTGATAGGTAGCCTTGGACAAGACATGCCAATTTCAACTTTTTTGTGGCTGTGCCTACCTAAAACCCAAAGTTTTAATTTGGTCCAGTCAGACTTTCTGCACGCAGCTCCTTCCAGAAATCAAAATGTTTCCAGGTTCACGGGAGCATGAGCTTCAGTTCAAGTCAGAGGCAAATCAGAAGAAACGAGGGTTTCCAAGTCCTCTCTTCCTCCATCTGCCATCTTGATCTTCCCTCCACCTTCCCCGCAAGTGACAAATGATGCATGGTTGAGAGAAGGGGCAGATGGATACTAGCCGAGGATAGTTTCACATCTTTTATTTTCCAACCACGCCCAGCCGTAAAAGCTCTATTTTATAGACATAAAAGCTGAGGCTGGGCACGGTGGCTCACATCTGTCATCCCAGCACTTTGGGAGGCTGAGGTGAGTGGATCATTTGAGGTTAGGAGTTCAAGACCATCCTGGCCAACATGGTGAAACCTCGTCTCTACTAGAAATACAAAAGCCGGGCATGGTGGCACACTCCTGTAATCCCAGCTACTTGGGAGGCTGAGGGATGAGAATCGCTTGAACCCAGGACGCAGAGGTTGCAGTGAGCTGAGGTCATGCCACTGCACTCCAGGCTGGGTGACTGACTGAGATCCTGTCTCTTAAAAAAAAAAAAAAAGGCTGAGATAAAAGATAAAATCTCTCTTGTATATAAGGATACCACTTGTCACCTTTTAAGATACCCTACCCCTTACCCTGGGGGACAAACATTGCTAGATCCTAAACAAACACTTAAGAATTGAATTAGCACCCAAAACACCTGGAAATGTCATCTTTTCTTTCAGTGGTAATAAGCAAGTGGTAAATTAGGCACTACTGTTTTGCCTCCACCACGCTCTAGCTTTGTGGCCTTAAGGGCAGCAAGTTGCATAACTCCTCTCAGCCTCAGTTTTGTTTACCTGGAAAATGGAAATAACAGTAGTACAGATCGTACTCTACTTACAATAATTTAACTTATTATTTTTCTTTTCTTTTTTTTTTTTTTTTTTTTTTTTGAGATGGAGTTTGTTCTTGTTGCCCAGGCTGGAATACAATGACACAATCTCAACTCACTGCAACCTCCACCTCCCAGGTCCAAGGAATTCTCCTGCCTCAGCCTACCAAGTACCTGTGATTACAGGTGCCCACCACAATGCCTGGCTAATTTTGTATTTTAGTAGAGACAGGGTTTCACCACGTTGTCCAGGCTGGTCTTGAACTCCTGACCTCAGGTGATCCACCTGCCTCAGCCTCCCAAAGTGCTGGGATTACAGGTGTGAGCCACCGCGCCCAGCCTAACTTATAATTTTTCAACTTTATGATGATGTGAAAACAATCTGCATTTAGTAGAAACTGTACTTTGAGGCTGAGTGTGGTGGTGGCTCATGCCTGTAATCCCGGCACTTTGGGAGGCTGAGGCAGGTGGATCAATTGAGCCCAGAAGTTCAAGACCAACCTGGTTAACATGGCAAAACCCTGTCTCTACTAAAAATACGAAAGTTAGGCGTGTTGGTGAGTGCTTATAGTCTCAGCTACTCAGGAGGCTGAGGCAGGAGAATCACTTGAGCCCAGGATATGGAGGTTGCAGTGAGCCGTGATTGTACCACTGAATTCCATCCTGGGCAAGACAGCGAAACTCTTTCTCAAAAAAAGAAAGAAAAGAAAAAAAGAAACGGTACTTTGCGTACCTATAAAAACATTCCACTTTTCATTTTTGGTACAATGTTCAATACATTCCATGAGACACTCAACACTTTATTTATTTATTATTTTTTGAGACACAGTTTTGCTCTTGTTGCCCAAGCTGGAGTGCAATGGCACGATCTCGGCTCACTGCAACCTCTGCCTCCTGGGTTCAAGTGATTCTCCTGCCTCAGCCTCCTGAGTAGCTGGGATTACAGGTGTGCACCACCACATCCAGCTAATTTTTCTGTATTTTTTGTAAAGACGGGGTTTCACCATGTTGGCCAGGCTGGTCTCCAACTGCTGACCTCAGGTGATCCACCTACCTCGGTCTCCCAAATCAACACTTTAGTATAAAATAGGCTCTGGGTGAGATGTTTTTGCCCAACTTTAGGCTAATGTAAGTGTTCTGAGCACATGTAAGTTAGGCCAGGCTAAGATGTGATGTTGGGTGGGTTAGTTATACTAAATGCATTTTCAGCTGGGCACAGTGGCTTATGCCTGTAATCCCAGCATTTTGGGAGGCCAAGGTGGGCAGATTATTTGAGGTCAGGAGTTGGAGACCAGCTTGGCCAACATGGTGAAACCCTGTCTCTACTAAAAATAAAAAAAACTGGCCAGGTGTGATGGCACACACCTGTAATCCCAGCTACTCGGGAGGTTGAAGCAGGAGAATCGTTTGAACCCAGGAGGTGGAGGTTGCAGTAACCAGAGATCATGCCACTACACCCCAGCTGGGTGACAGAGAGAGACTCTGTCTCAAATTAATTAATTAATTAATGAAATAAAAGCATTTTCAACTTACAATGGTTTGTTGGGACAGACCGGAATCATGTAAGTCAGGAAGCATCTTTTATCTACTTTGCCAGGTTGTTTTAAGAACATAGACAGTGAGTGACTGTAAAACACCTAAACCAAAGGCAGACAATAAATAGTAGCTACTGTTGTTGTCATGACTTTTTCACTTGTAAAACAAGATCACTTGATTAGTTTTATTTGAGCATCAAATAAAAGTATACTTTGGTTACTTCATTGTTCTGATTATAAAATTATAGTAATTCTTGGCCAGGCATAGTGGCTCACACCTGTAATTCCAGCACTTTGGGAGGTCAAGATGGGAGGATTGCTTGAGGCCAGGAGTGATACCAGCCTGGGCAACATGACAAAACCCCATCTCTACCAAAAATACAAAAAATTAGCTGAGCATGATGGTATGCGCCTTGGTCCCAGCTACTGGGGAGGCTGAGGTGGGAGGATTGCTTGAGCCTGGGAGGTTGAGGCTGCAGTGAGCCATGATGGTGCCACTGCACTCTTAAATGGGTGACAGAGTGAGACCCCATCTCGAAAGAAAAAAAAAGGAAAAATTCATGGTAATTCTTTACCTAAAAAGCTGCAGAATACAGAATGAGTCAGTCAGCACCCCAGCTTCTATGGCTCAAGGCAAATCACCTTACCATTCCTAAATCACTCCTCGGTTAAAAAAAAAAAAATGTACCGGTGGCAGTGATTGCTAGAGCATTTATTAAAATAATTTTGGTCAAAGGAAATACCAAAGTTTATCATTAAGATTCCACAGTGACCCTGAATTCTATATTGAACATCTTTCTTTGATCTCCTTTGGAAATCGTCTGAATTTTTCCCTTGGGAGGCTCAGGAATCAATTTTTGTTGATCTTGTTTATACTATAGAGGATGCCAAACTTCAAGCACTGAAGGAGGCTCAGGAATCAATTTTTGTTGATCTTGTTTATACTATAGAGGATGCCAAACTTCAAGCACTGAAAGATACATCCAAAATGAGCCTGAACACAGTGTCAAGGTTCGACTATAGACACATTTCACCATTTTCACTTTCGTCAGTAGACAAAGAAGCTGACATTATCTCTAATAGCCCAAAACTGGAAACAGCCCAAGTGCCCAACAAGTCAAGACTGTTTCCACAAAGAAATGGAGTATCAGCATTTCACTGAAGATAAAGATCCTGTTCAAAATCATATCAGGGGGCCAGGCGCGGTAGCTCTTGCCTGTAATCCCAGCACTTTGGGAGGCCAAGGTGGGCGGATCACCTGAGGTCAGGAGTTCAAGACCAGCCTAGCCAACATGGCGAAATCCCACCTCTACTAAAATATACAAAAATTAGCCAGGTGTGGTGGCATGTGCCTGTAATCCCAGCTACTCAGGAGGTTGAGGCAGCAGAATTGCTTGAACTTGGGAGGTGGAGGTTGCAGTGAGCCAAGGTTTTGCCACTGCACTCCAGCCTGGGTGACAGAGCAAGACTTTGTCTCAAAAAAAAAAATCATATCAAGTAAAAAATTAAAACGAAATAACAATGATTGTATTAATCTAACAACCAGGTTTAGAAATTAACAAAGGGGAACAGGACCTTCTACATAGATAGTAGATGCTGATATGAAGATTTGATCTTGATCCCCAAGAATGCAGTTTTCTGATATGGTTTTATCTTTAAATACATGCGGGGATTTTTTTTTTCTTGCTCTGTCTGCCAAGCCTTGGGGCACCACCCTTCTAGAACCACCTTAATCCAAGTTCAAATCTTGGTTTTACAAAAAATGTTTCAGAGACAAGATCTTGCTGTCACCCAGGCTGGAGTGCAGTGGTGCCATCACAGCTCACTTCAGCCTCAAACTCTTGGGCTCAAGTGAACCTCCTGCCTCAGCCTTCTGAGTAGCTGGGACTATAGATGCATGCCACCATGCCCAGTAAATTTTTTAAAAAATTCTTCTTGTAGAGATGGGGTCTCACTATGTTGCCCAGACTGGTCTCAAACTCCTGGCCTCAAGTGGTCCTACAGCAGCCTCCCAGAAACCTAGAAATACAGGCATGAGCCACTGTACACAGCCTACATACATGTTTTCTGGGTAAGTACTTGGTTATCTTTACAAAGTAACCCTTCCTGTAGTCCATGCTGATTGAGCATCTACTATGTATCAGGCATTATTAGGGAAATAACAAATAATGGTGAAGTGCCACTTGTCTTTTTTTTTTTTTTTTGAGACAGAGTCTCCCACTGTCACCCAGGCTGGAGTGCAATGGCGTGATCTCGGCTCACTGCAACCTCTGCCTCCCGGGTTCAAGCGATTCTCATGCCTCAGCCTCCTGAGTTGCTGGGATTATAGGTGCCCATCACCACAGCCAGCTAATTGTATTTTTAACAGAGACATGGTTTTGCCACGTTGGCCAGGCTGGTCTTGAAATCCTGACCTCGTGATTTGCCTGCCTCAGCCTTCCAAAGTGCCGGGATTATAGGCATGAGCCACCACACCAGGCTGTGAAGTGCCATTCTTTTGGAATTGACATTCTAGTGTGGGACACACACAATAAATAAATCTGTGACTATATCCCTTTATAAAAAACAATGTTCACTTTTAAATTTTACAGCCACGACATCAAGTAGGTACGGGTTTAATGTGTGCATCAGATAGATGAGCAAACAAACTTGGCTGACACCAGCCAGCTGTAAGTGATACACACACCTGGGATTTGAACCTAGGTCACCTGGTACTTCTCCCTTGCTAACAGCAGGTTAAGTAATTTAGATAAACTCTTCTACAAAAGACAACTTAAAAAGCCAGCTGAAAGATTTGTTTAATTTCCTTAAGAGGATCAAAATGATAATAAAGTGGTGAAGAAACATCTGCCAAAATTGAGGCCAGGACAAACCCAGAAGAGGTTCGCCCAGCCCACAAAGCTTTTATCCTAAGGCATTTTTCAATCTGGAAAAAAATAGCTTTGAAAATGAGCTGTTTTTTCCATAGTCTTACAGGGTAAAAGAACACAATTCAAAGCCCAGGGTCTGCCAAATTTAGGGATTCAGATACACCACTCCCCATGTCAAGCAGGGTCCGCAGGGTCAGGGAGGAGGGCAAGTATGCAGCCCTCAGGCTCACAGACAAGTTCAGATCATCTGGGAGGTCCAGGAGTCTCAAACTTTGAACTTGGATTAAGGTGGTTCCAGACTGGTGGTGCCCCACTGGCAGACACAGCTAAAAACCTATCTGGAAGACTCCACCATTATTCACGTATATACATATATATTCATACATATGTAATGCCCAATACCATCTAACATAATTCAGGTACTCAAGAAAGCAGGACATTACAGCCCAGCTTGTTGGTTCATGCCTGTAATTGCAGCATTTTGGGAGGCTGAGGCAGATGGATCACTTGAGGCCAGGAGTTCAAGATCACCCTGGCCAATATGGTGAAACCCAGTCTCTACTAAAAATACAAAAATTAGCCAGGCGTGGTGGCGTGCACCTGTAATCTCAACTACTCGGGAGGCTGAGGTAGGAGGATTGTTAGAGCCAGGGAGGTGGAGGTTGCAGTAAGCAGAGATTGCACCACTGCACTCCAGCCTGGGTGACAGAGCAAGACTCCGTCGCAAAAAAAAAAAAAAAGAAAGAAAAAGAAATAAAACAAGACATTAAGAGCTAGGATGGCAGGAACAGCCAAGAGTGCAAACGGGCTCACAGAGACTTTAGAAATGAGAATTCTTAGACACAGGCCATAAAACAACTCTGTTTACTGCCTTCAGAAACATAAAAGCCACACTTGACAATTATGGCAATTGGAAACTATAGAAAATGACACAAAAGTTTTTTAAAGGGCCAACTAGAAATTCTCAAACTGAAAAATACAGTCATTGAAGTTAAAAAGCCAGTGGCTGACTTCATAGCAGATCATCTCAGCTGAAGTGAGAATTAGTGAAGCAGAAGACAGGTCAGGAAAAAACTATCCATAATTCAGCTTGAAAAGGAAAAAAAAAGAAGGAAAATATAAAAAGGAGAGTGGTTAAAAAGATCTAACATTCATTTAATCGACATACAGGAAGAAAGAAGAATGAGATATTGGAGCAAAGCCAATGTTTGGAGAAATAATAGCCAGGAATTCTCCAGAGCTGATGACAGACATCAACTCACAGCAAATCCCAAGCAATATAAATTTGTAAAAGTCCACACCTGGATACAATGTATAAAACTGAAGACAGGCCAGGCGCTGTGGCTCAGGCCTGTAATCCCAGCATCTTCAGAGGGTGAGCTGGGCAGATCATGAGGTCAGGAGATCGAGACCATCCTGGCTAATATGGTGAAACCCGGTCTCTACTAAAAATACAAAAATTAGCCAGGTGTGGTGGCACATACCTGTAGTCCCAGTTACTCAGGAGGCTGAGGCAGGAGAATATCTGGAACCCGGGAGGCGGAGGTTGCAGTGAGCAACACTCTGTCTCAAAACAAACAAACAACAACAACAACAACAAAAAAAAACCAGTCCAAGATAATTAATCCAAACTATGTCATCATTCTTCATTAGAATCTAGAACATTTCCTTTTTTTTTTTTTTTTTTAGACGAGTGTTGGTCTGTCGCCAGGCTGAAGTACAGTGGCATGATCTCGGCTCACTGCAACCAACCTCTGCCTCCCAGTTTCAAGCGATTCTCCTGTCTCAGCCTGCCGAGTAGCTAGGGATACAGGCACGTGCCACCATGCCCAGCTAACTTTTTTTATTATTATTAGTGGGGGGGGGGGGGGTTCACCATCTTAGCCAGGCTGGTCTCGAACTCCTGACCTCAGATGATCCATCTGCCTTAAGCTCCCAAAGTGCAGGGATTACAGGCATGAGCCACTGTGCCCGGCTGACATTTAGTTTTTATACTCTTCTTTATGTATGCTCCAAACTGCAGGGACTGTATTTCACTCATCACGTGTGCCTAGCATCTGACTGAGGGACTGGATTATAATAGGAATTCATATATTAATTTGTGAGTGAATGAATTAGAAGACAAAGCAAGGTAATTCTACCAGGCATGCACTAGAAATACTGACTTACTGGGAAGGTTTCAGACAGACACACTGACAGCCTAACTCCCTGGGGAAAAACGCTTCATCTTCCTTCTTTTATTGTCTTCCATTATACATTATCTACTGCAGTTTCTTTCTTTTTTTTCTTTTTTAGAAATGGGGGCTCACACTATCGCCCAGGCTGGAGTGCAGTGGCATGATCACAGCTCACTGCAGCTTTGACTCCTGAGATCAAGGGATCCTCCCATTTCAGCCTCCCAAGTAGCTGGGTCTACAGGCACCCACCACCATGCCTGGCTAACTTCTGCATTTTTTAAGGCGATGGGGTCTAGCTATGTTGCCCAGGCTGGCCTTGAACCCCTAGGCTCAAGTAATCCTCCTGCTTCAGCCTCCTAAGTAGCTGGGACTACAAGTGTGTACCACCATGCCCAGCCTGCAGCTTTTTCTAAGACTATATAGACTTTTTGGCCAGGTGCAGTGGCTCACACCTGTAGTCACTGGGAGGTGGTAGTAGACGGATCACCTTACATCAGGAGTTCGACACCAGCCTGGCCAACATGGCAAAACCCCATCACTACTAAAAAATAGAAAAATTATCCAGGCGTGGTGGCGGGCACCTGTAGTCCCAGCTATTTGGGAGGGAGGCAGGAGAATTGCTTGAACCCAGGAGGTGGAGGTTGCAGTGAGCTGAGATTGTGCCACTGCACCCCAGCCTGGATGACAACAGCGAGACTTCATCTCAAATAAATAAATAAATAAATAAATAAATAAATAAATAAATAACACCCCTTCCCTGGTGGGGGGTGGTGGTTCTGATGGGCCCTTTCCGGAAGAAGCCCATGCATGGGGGGAAGGGTTGATGCTCCCTTAAATGTTATGCAATTCCCTCACCCCCTGACACCCCTGATCAGAAGCAGGAGTAGTGGAGTTTATACAACAGATCCCTAGGCTTATGCAAAGCACGCTTCACCACTACCACAGATCCTGGTAGTTACTTAAAAGCTAAGCAGCAGGTCAGGCCTGGCAGCTTAGGCCTGTAATCTCAGCACGTTGGGAGGCTGAGGCGGGCGGATCACAAGGTCAGGAGTTCAAGACCAGCCTGGCCAATATGGTGAAACCTGGTCTCCACCAAAATACAAAAAAATTAGCCAGGCATGGTGGCACGTGCCTGTAGTCCTACCTACTCAGGAGGCTGAGGCACAAGAACTGCTTGAACCCAGGAGATGGAGGTTGCAGTGAGCCAAGATCGCACCACTGCACTCCAGCCTGGGCAACAGAGCAAGATGCGAGATTGTCTCAAAAAAAAAAAAAAAATGCCAAGCAGCAGCCCTGAAACCTCTCTATGGCAATGCCAAAGCAGCTCCCACGGCATGCTAATTAGTGATGGAAACACAGCCACTCAAAGCAGCTTTATGGCCAATCTGAGCTAACAACAGAAGGAAGCCCACAGGCTATCACTCGCAATCCACTGTTCTTAACAGCCTCGTCCCTCTACCCAATATCCTTGACAGCTGTGTTCTGCCCTAAATACCAGCCGGTGACCCCATCTGATGTCACCTGTCATCCCGGGAACTTAAGAGGAACCATCATCTTCTACATATGAAATGACATGCAGAAGTCACTCCTTTAACTGGGGGGCCTTTGCAGTTTCTGAATAGTGTTCACATGGTGGAAAGCCTGCAGTTATGAAAGGCTGGGTGTGTGGCCTCAAGTGGATTTGGGGGCTCGAGGGAAGTGACTTGCTCTCTGTTTGATCAGTTATATAAATCTCCCCTGAACTCACTGGCTGCGGCCATCTGGAGGAGCACAACACAGTTACTTACCCACCCACAAGATTAATTAGTGCCCAGAAAGAACAATAGCCACCCCACGTGGTCTTCACATGTTCAAGTGACTTTGCTGCCACATCACTGTCAGTGGGCCATGTGCTTTGGTTGGCTTTGCCAATTGTGGAAATGAATTTACATCAATTTGTCTAGCTGCACCCCCGGTTGGCTTTCCGTCGTTGTGACCAGCGGGTGACATTTAGAGGATGTCTGGCTGTTGGCTGCAGCTGCAGAAAAGATCAAAACTCCCTGGTAGAGACCTATCCAAACCTGTTCTAATGGGCAGAGGACAGAGGACAGGTAGACCCTGCCATGGAGCCAAATGACAGAATTTGGCAATTCTGTAATTCCTCAACTCAAATAACCAGAAGTCACAGATTGGCAGTCCATGAATTCACTCCAGCCTATATATATATACAACTTGTTTGGCCACAGTGGTTTTTTATTTTGTTGTAAGTTACCAACAATTTTTTTTTTTTTTTGAGACAAAGTCTTACTCTGCCACCCAGGCTGGAGTGCAGTGGCATGATCTCAGTTCACTGCAACCTCCGCCTCCTGGGTTCAAGTGATTCCCCTGCCTCAGCCTCCCAAGTAACTGGGACTACAGGTACATGCCACCACGCCCAGCTAACTTTTGTATTTTTAGTAAAGACAGGGTTTCACCATGTTGCCCAGGCTGGTCTCGAACTCCTGACTTCAAATGATCCACTTGCCTCAGCCTCCCAAAGTGCTGGGATTATACGTGTGAGCCACCATGCCTGGCTGTAAGTTACTGACATTTAAACTGTCAGAGATTTCATACAAAAACCTGGATTCCTCCTGCTCTGGAAAAATCAAAAGCCCTAGCAACACTTCTGATTAGCTGTCATCACTTGAGGCCGAATGGTCCAACTTATTTAGGCCAGGGCACACTGGGTACGAGAGTTCCACCAGAGGCAAAGATAGGTTTTTATCAGGCCTGAGGCTTATATTAGTTGGAATGACTTCTCTAAGAAAAATAAATTGAAATTATAAATACAAAATTGCTAAGGCCCCTCCAGAGGCCTGAGCAAGTCAGGGCTCGGGAAGCTTAAATCATGTACTTCCACCTCTGGTCCCACCCACGGCTACCATTTGACACGCCCCATTTGCTACATGCCTGGCCATGCACGTGTCTGGGTCTGTGACCTCTTGCCAATATCCTATGGCCACCTGTGCCTGTCACTATTCCTAGGCCCTGGCCCTGATGTTCAGTATAAACACAGCTGGCCCCGGCTCTGTAAGGAAGGCCTCACCCTCCCTTTATCTCCATAACTAAAATGAAAGATGATTTCATTTATTATTTTTTATTTATTTTTATTTTTTAGACAGAGTCTTGCTCTGTCATCCAGGCTGGAGTGCAATGGCACGATCTTCGCTCACTGCAACCACTGCCTCCCAGGTTCAAGCAATTCTCTTGCCTAGCCTTCTGAACAGCTGGGACTACAGGCCACACTAATTTTTGTATTTTTGTAATTTTTTGGCTAATTTTTGTATTTTTAGTAGAGATGTGGTTTCACCACGTTGGCCCGGCTGGTCTAGAACTACTGACCTCAAGCGATCCCCCCGCCTCAGCCTCCCAAAGTGCTAGGATTACAGGCATGAGTCACCATGCCCAGCCGATTTCATTTATTTTAAAAGTTAAAAAAAGAAGTCTTTATGTTTTACAACTCCTTTCTTTGCTAGGTTAAAAGGACAGAAAATTCCAAGCATCTGTGTAGAGTTAATATACCAGGTGGCTCTTTTCCAGCACAGAGGTGTGTGAAAAACAACAAAAGAAGGAGGGAGGATAATAAACATCTGCTAGGTCTACAGCTGAATTTCTGTTCAGTCTGGGATGCTCATGGGCTCACTGAGATTGCGGAAGGTCTGGTCCATCTGTCTCTAAATGGCTTTGTTTGGGGAGGGTAGACGGGAAATACGCAAAGAAAAAAAAAAATTCCTGAATGCATAGAGAACCATGTTGCCACAGGTAGCTTAGAAATGAGATAATCTGCAGTATTTATTGAGCACCTGCTGTGTACTAACACTACTCTTATATACTAAGTATCACACTAGACACCACAAGGTGCTTGCAATCCACTTGCAGAAACAGATGCTATATATATATTAGCCAGGTGTGGTGGCACACATCTGTAGTCTCATCTTCTTGAGAGGCTGAGATGGGAGGATTGCTTGAGCCTAGGAGTTCGAGGCTACGGTGAGCCACGAATATGCCACTGCATTCTGTCATGGGTGACAGGGGAAGACCCTTACTTGAAAAAGAAAGGAAAGGGGAGGTGAGGGGAGGGGGAGGGGAAGGGAAGGGGAGGGGAGGGGAGATCTGGAAGACATTAAAATCTAAAAGCTCCACTGTAATCCTATCAATAAGAGAAAAACCAGTTAACATTTTGGCATATTTTCTTCCTGTTTCATTTCTAAATATATATTTATTTCAAAATGGAACCTGTGTATCTATTTTCACATAACACCATATTATGAGACTTTCCCCATGACATGGAATATTCTTTGAAAACAAAAAGTCTTTGTCTGTTTTCTGTTGCTATTACAGAAGACCTGAGGCTGGGTAATTTATCAAGAAAAGAAATGTATTTGGCTCATGATTCTGGTGGCTGGAAAGTCCACGATTGGACAGTTGCATCAGGTGAGGGCCTCCGCTCCAGGCAGAAAACAGGAGGGAAGTGGAAGTGTGCAAAGATCACATGGCAAGAAAGGAAGCAAAAAAGAAAAACTGGGGAAGCCAGACTTTTGTTTTTTTCAGGGTCTCACACTCACCCAGGTTGGAGTGCAGTGGCATGGTCAAAGCTCACTGCAGCCTCCAACATCTAGGCTTAAGCAATCCTCCCACCTTAGCCCCCTTAGTAGCTTGAACTACAGGCCCATGCCACCATGCTTGGCTAATATTTTAATTTTTATTTTTGCAGAGATGAGGTCTCGCTATGTTGCTCAAGCTGGTCTCAAAATACTGGACTCAAGCCATGTTCTTGCCTCGTACTCCAAAGTGCTGGGATTGCAGGTGTGAGCCCTGCCTCCAGCCAGAATTTTTTTTTTTTTAATCTGCTCTCAAGGGAACTAATTTATTCCTGCCAGAGGGAGAATTCATTTACCTTTGCAGAAGAGCACTAATCTAATCTATTAATGAGGGATCTGTTCCCATATCCCAAACACCTCCCACTAGGCTCTACCTCCCAACACAGCTACATTGGGTATCAAATTTCAACATGCATTCCAGCAGGGACCGACCACATCCAAACCATACCACAAAATGTTTACTAGCCACATAATCTTACATTTTCTTGATGTATCATAATGTTGTTTATAATTGCTCTCTGTTGAATATTTGAGTTGCTTCCAATTGTTCATTATTATAAATAATGCTGCAATGAAATCCCAGGATATAAATATTGGTCTGCATCTCTCTGACAACTTTGTGATATGAAATTACTAGAGAAAAGGGCATAAATATTTTAGGACTGTTGATATATATTGACAAATTGTTTTCAAAAAAGAGTTTAGCAATTTACACATTCATCAAGTGTACATGAAAGGGCTTTCTTTCCTGCAAAGGTACACTAGATTGAAGTATTCTTCTTATCTTTGCTAATTTGATAAGGGAAAACTAGAATCACAGAATTGCATTTAAACCATCATTTTGTTCCTTGTGTGTTTGAATTCCTTAAAATATATTTTTCATTAATGTGTATTTCTATGAATTATCTATATTTTTGCTTACTTTTCTTTTCTTTTCTTTTCTTTCTTTTTTTTTTTTTTTTTTGAGATGGACTCTCTCCGTCACCCAGGCTGGAGTGCAGTGGCACAATCTCAGCTCGCTGCAAGCTCTGCCTCCCAGGTTCACACCATTCTCCTGTCTCAGCCTCCCGAGTAGCTGGGACTACAGGCGCCCGCCACCGCGCCTGGCTAATTTTTTGTATTTTTAGTAGAGATGCGGTTTCACCATGTTAGCCAGGATGGTCTCGATCTCCTGACCTCGTGATCCGCCCGCCTTGGACTCCCAAAGTGCTGGCATTACAGGCATGAGCCACCGTGCCCGGCCACTTTTCGTTTACTTTTCTCTTGGTGCAACGTATTCATTACATATATATGTGCATATAATTTTTTATTTTTTCAGAGACAGGGTTTTACCCTGTTGCCCAGGCTGGAGTACAGTGTGCAATCATAGCTCATTGAATCCTGGAGCTCCTAGGCTCAAGTGACTCTCCCGCAGGTAGCTAGGACTAGAGGCATGCGTCGCCACACCTGATTAATTTTTTATTTTTGTAGAGACAGGATGTTGCTATGTTTCCCAGGCTGTTCTCAAACTCCTGGGCTCAAACAATCCTCCCACCTGGACCTCCCAAAGCACTGGGATTACAAAGGTGAGCCACTGTACCGGCCTGTTCTATATTTTTAAATCTCTTAATATATCTGACTGGTATTTGTTGTAATATGTGTTTTAATTTTGCTTATGACATTTTTACCAAAAAAAGTTTTACAGTTTATATAATTTAATCTATGGGTCTTTCCTTTTTTAATTTCTTCCATTGATTTTTAAAAATTACAATGTCCTGTTATGCCAGGCATGATGGCTCATGCCTGTAATCTCACACTTTGGGAGGCTGAAGCAGACAGATCACTTGAGGTCAAGAGTTGGAGACCAGCCTGCCCAACATTTTGAAACCCGTCTCTACTAAAAATACAAAAATTAGCCACAAGTGGTGGCACATGCCTGTAGTCCCAGCTACTTGGAAGGTGAAGCATGAGAATTGCTCGAACCGGGTAGACAGAGGTTGCGGTGAGCCGAGATGGCGCCACTGCCCTCTAGCCTGGGCAACAGAGTGAGGCTCCATCTAAATAAATAAATAAATAAATAAATAAATAAATAAATAAATAACAATGTCCTCTTTGACTCTGAGATCATTTAGATTTTCTTTTGGATTTTTTTTAATGGTTTTATTATTCCATTTTACTCTTAATCCATCTCGAATTCATTTTGACATTTGCTTTTTTTTTGAGATGGAGTCTCGCTGTGTCACCCAGGCTGGAGTGCATTGGCAGGATCTCGGCTCACTGCAAGCTCCGCCTCCCAGGTTCACGCCATTCTCCTGCCTCAGCCTCCCGAGTAGCTGGGATTACAGGTGCCCGACACCATGCCCAGCTAATTTTTTTGTATTTTTAGTAGAGATGGGGTTTCACCATGTTAGCCAGGAAAGTCTCGATCTCCTGACCTTGTGATTTGCCCGCCTCGGCCTCCCAAACTGCTGGGTTTACAGGCGTGAGCTACCACACCCAACCGACATGGTTTTTTTCTCTGATGGTGAAGATAAACATAACTTGAGACCTCTCTCAGATATTTCATTCTCTTACCATCATTAATTAAATAATTCATCCTTTTAGCAATGGTTTGTAAAATGCCTTTATCATAAACTATCATTACAAGCTCTAGAATCTGCTTCATGGGTGTCTTCTGAGTTCTATTTATCTATGTTCTACTATTTTTACCAACAACACACTGCTTTAATTACTGCAATCTTACATACACCTACAGAACTTCTCATTGTTTCAAAGATCGTTCATGCACGTAATTATTTTATTTTATTTTATTTTATTTTATTTTATTTTATTTTATTTTATTTTATTTTATTTTATTTTATTTTTTGAGACACGGTCTCACTCTTGTTGCCCAGGCTGGAGTGCAGTAGTGCAATCTCGGCCCACTGCAACTTCAGCCTCCTAGGTTCAAGTCATTCTCATGCCTTACCCTCCCCAGTATCTGGGATTACAAGCATGCACCACCACACCTGACTAATTTTTTTTTTTTTTTTTATAGAGACGAGGTTTCCCCATGTTGACCGGGCACTCCTGGCCTCAAGTGATCCACCCCCGTTGGCTTCCCAAATGCTAGGATTACAAGTGTAAGCCACAGCACCTGGCCTCATGCGTGTTCTTTTTCTTTTGGAGAGAGTCTCACTTTGTCACCATGCTGGAGTGCAGTGGCACAATCTTGGTTCACTGCAACCTCCCAGGTTCCAGTGATTCTCCTGCCTCAGCCTCCCGAGTAGCTGGGACTACAGGCGCACGCCACCATGCCCAGCTAATTTTTGTATTTTTAGTAGATACGGGGTTCCACCATGTTGGCCAAGTTGGTCTCGATCTCCTGACCTCATGATCTGCCCGCCTCATCCTCCCAAAGTGCACGAGCCACTGCGCCCAGCCTTACATGTACTTTTTATACATTATTCCATGTGAAAATAAAGATCATCCATTTCTCTCATTTCTTTTCTTATTACTCATGTAAAAGCAAATGTTCTGAGAAACATATATCTGGATTAAACCTAAGAAAAGGATTTTGCAATTCTGGACCTCTTCTTGGGTGAAAAAAAAACAAAACAGACAAAATAAAAAGCATGGTCTGGTTTTTAAAATGAAACACTACTAAACTGAAAACAAAACAAAACAAAAAAAAGTAGTGAAATCTGAACATAAGCTTGTTTCATTTTTTTTTGTTTGAGAATGGATATGTTAATCTCAAGGTAAACCTGAATCTGTAAAGGAAGCCAAAGTTATGATCATTTGAAATTTACTTTCCTAAACAGAAACCTTTCCAAATGAGCATAGACTCCATAGAAGTGGAGATAAATTCACTTACTCTTTTTTTTTTTTTTTTTTTTTTTTTTTTTTTGAGATGGAGTCTCATTCTATTGCCAGGCTGGAGTACAGTGGTGTGATCTCAGCTCACTGCAACCTCCACCTCCTGGGTTCAAGCAATTCTCCTGCCTCAGCCTCCAGAGTAGCTGGGACTACAGGCGTGTGCCACCATACCCAGCTAATTTTTATATTTTTAGTAGAGGCGGGGTTTTACCATGTTGGCCAGGCTGGTCTCCATCTCTTGACCTCATGATCTGCCCACCTTATACTCCCAAAGTACAGGGATTACAGGCGTGAACTACCGTGCCCGGCCCACTTATTCTATTCTTTAGGAGTGACACATGAATCACTGATGGAGTCCACACTGAATGTCATCTACTGGAGCTCATGTTCCCATAAAGAGGGTTTGTAGTGGTAGGTACCTATCACCTATGCAGCTCCCTCAATATGGGGTCAACTGTCAAGGACTTAGAGAAGACTCCTTCATCCATGTATAAAATTTTACAAATCAGCCTGACTTGTAGCTTTTGCCATTATCACAAGCCACTTCACAGCTGAGTCCAGCAGCCTAACTGATCAGAACATGGTGGCCAGGAGGCCTGGGTCGTTGACTGTCCCTCTACTTTAACAGTCTTCCTTGCACTCCTTACTCAACTATCCTTGGAAAATGAGTATCCTGGTTCACAAGCAGTCTCTAGGCAAGCTGTGCATCAGGAAAACCCATCACCATCACTAGAAAGCAACTAGAAGTGCTCATCCTCTTAAGAAGAGGGAAGTCAATCCACCTTACCATCAATGAATGGCATATGACTGTCAATCAGCACATGCTTGTTGAATGAATGCAGGCATGAATGAATTACACTCATCTAGACTATCTTTCACATGGCTTCATTCACGTCAAAGACAGCTTAGACCACTGCACTAGGCTAAATAATAATCGATATCAGGTCATGATCTTAGCAGTTTGGAAATTTTTACATGGCCTGAACATGTGTGTAATTCCCTTCCCCTCCCTTCCCCTCCCTTCCCCTCCCTTCCCCTCCCTTCCCCTCCCCTCCCCTCCCCTCTCCTCTCCTCTCCTCTCCTTTCCTTTCCTTTTTTTTGTCTCTCTTTGTCGCCCAGGCTGGACTGCACTGGCATGATCTCAGCTCACTGCAGCCTCTGCCTCCCCAGTTCAAGCGATTCTCCTGCCTCAGCCTCCTGAGTAGCTGGGATTACAGGCACCCACCACCATGCCCGGCTGATTTTTGTATTTATAGTAGAGACAGGGTTTCTCCATGTTGGCCAGGCTGGTCTCAAACTCCTGACCTCAGGTGATCTGCCTGCCTCAGTCTCCCAAAGTGCTGCATTACAGGCATGAGCCATTGCGCCCAGCCTGTAATTTCTTTTCTCTATCTTGAACAACCCCAAAGAATGAAAAACAAACAAACAAACAAAAGCTATATGTGCCAAGCAAGCCACATCACATCTAAGTCTTCTTGGAGCTAGAGAGGCAGCCTTGTGTTTTTTCTGCAGATGGATAAATAAGAATGAGATGAAGGAGAGAGAGGGGCCTGTTTATGGGAACAAGTATCAGATACCCCCATTAAAAACAAGCGCTGGCGGCCAGGCACAGTGTCTCACGCCTATAATCCCAGCACTCTGGGAGGCCGAGGCAGGCAGATCACAAGGTCAGAAGATTGAGACCATCCTGGCCAACATGGTCAAACTCCATCTCTACTCAAAATACAAAAATTAGCTGGACATGGTTGTCCATGCCTGTAATCCCAGCTACTTGGGAGGCTGAGGCAGGAGATTCACTTGAACCAGGGAGTTGGAGGTTGCAGTGAGCCAAGATCGTGCCACTGTACTCCAACCTGGTGACAGAGCGAGACTCCATCTCAAAAACAAAAAACAAGCACTGGCCCAGGAAAGCACACAGGCATCTGATTTCCCCTGCATTTTCTTTGGATTGTGTTTTCACAGAAATCGATGTTTCTAAAGAATATCTTTCCCACGGCAGCTCATCTTTTCCAGAAATGTTGCAATTAGTTGGAGTTTCTTTGGTTCACAGTGATATCCTCCCTTCTCTCTATACACACAATAAATACGTGCATTCCACCATGGCAAGCTAGGTGTCAGCCACTGCTAAAGAATGTCAGGTACAGTCATGAAAATTTTCTGACACAAATCAAACCTCATTAAATCAGAAGGAAGACAGATCATAATTGGAGAAAATCTTAATCTCAGCATTTTAAAAAGGAGGATGACAACCTGGCCTAACAAAAAGCTGCCTCATAGAGGCATCCTTGGGGACCACATTAATAAACTGGGAATAAGACACATACTTAATAGGGATTGTTGTCTGGAAAGAAATGCATGTGATCAAGCCACTGAAAACTCCCCCAAAACAGTACAGTCTCTGACATCTCTGTTTACCTTACTCATTTGTATAATCTTTTTTTGGGGGGGCAGGGTGGAGTCTTGCTCTGTCGCCTAGGCTGGAGTGCAATGGCATGATTTTGGCTCACTGTAAACTCCGCCTCCCGGGTTCAAGCGATTCTCCTGCCTCAGCCTCCTGAGTAGCTGCGACTACCAGTGAGCACCACCACACCCGGCTAATTTTTGTATTTTTAGTAGGGAAGGGGTTTCACCACATTGGCCAGGCTAGTCTCAAACTCCTGACCTTGTGATCTGCCCGCCTCAGCCTCCCAAAGTGCTGGGATTACAGGCATGAGCCACTGCGCCCAGCCAAAGGAATTTTTTTTTTCTTTGCTAAGTAAATACAGAAAGGCTTTAAATAAGCCACTGCTTGGTCACTGTGAATTTTAAATTAGAAGTGTCTGAACTCAATGAACCTGCATCACAGACTGAAATTCATAATTTCATCATCTCCCATAAAACCTGCACACATAGCCAAGCCTCAGTTAACCCAGTTCCACAGCTGCCACTTTGTTGGTGCAATAAGGCTGATTTCCAACCTCCTTCTGACTTCCTTCTTGATTCCCCCTCCCAACTTCCATGAGCTCCTGTAAACTCACAAAATGTAAATTAATGTCAATATTAGCCTAAACAGAACAAGTAAATCTCACCAATAATAGATTCCAGAAGCAAGCAGGATTTTTCAAAGTTGTCTGCCATTTGGACTAGCCCCACATGCACCCTCTTGATCCCCATGGAGGACCACAGGCAGCTGGAGGCAGGAGAGCCTGGTGGTTGGGAAAACAGTCTTTGGCACTGTTTTCCCAGACAGAACTGGGTTTCAACCCCAGCTCCGCCTAGGGCATAAGTCCTCTGAGCCTCTGTTTCCTCATCTGTGAAACTGGCGAGACTGCAGGTAACTTGGGCCTGCTGCTGAGGACACAGAACAGACTCAAGTCAGAACAGACTCAAGAAACCATAGTTGTTATCAGTGGCAACAAAGAATTCCTTCCAAGGAAGCACCAACCTCTTCACTTCTAAATAAGGCACTAGGCAGGGTGCAGTGGCTCACGCTTATAATCCCAGCACTTTGGGAGGCCAAGCGGGGAGTATCACCTGAACCCAGAAGTTTGAGACCAGCCTGGGCAACATGGTGAGATCTTGCATCTAATTAAATAAAAATTAAAAATTAAATAAGAGGTTGGGCGCAGGGGCCTATACCTGTAATCCCAGCACTTTGGGAGGCCAAGGCAGGCGGATCACTTGAGGCCAGGAGTTCGAGACCAGCCTGGCCAACATGGTGAAACCCCGTGTCTACTAAAAACACAAAAATGAGCCGGGCATGGTGTTGTGCTCCTGTGGTTCCTGCTACTCACAACAGGCGAATTGCTTGAACCTGGGAGGCGAAGGTTGCAGTGAGCTGAGATCATGCCACTGCACTCCAGCCTGGGGGACAGAGTGAGACTCCATCAAAAAAAAAAAAAAATTACTGGGTGCGGTGGCTCACACCAGTAATCCCAGCACTTTGGAAGGCTGAGGCAGGTAGATCACGAGGTCAGCAGTTCGAGACAAGCCTGGCCAACATAGTCAAACTCCATCTCTACCAAAAATACAAAAATTAACCAGGCATGGTGGTGGGCACCTGTAGTCCCAGCTACTTGGGAGGCTGAGGCAGGAGAATTGCTTAAACCTGGGAGGCGAAGGTTGCAGTGAGCTGAGACCGTGCCATTGCACTCCAGCCTGGGTGACGGAGCGAGACTCCATCTCAAAAAAAAAAAAAAAAATTAAATAAGTAAATAAATAAGGGACAGAAAAGATGAAATCATTCTTCCATCTCCCTGCAGCTAAGATGTGAAGGGGACATGGAAAATGGAAAATGCTTTCATGCAAGTCATAGTGACAGTATTTGATAACCTAAAGGTCCAGTCTGTGAATGTGAATGAGACCTCCTTCAAAGGGACCCAGTACTTGAAACATCATGGCTGTCTCTGGAGAGTTACATGGAGGAACCCACTGGAAACTGGGCAAGTCCAGACAGATAGTTCAAAAACATGAAGTAATTGCTGGAAACCTGTCAGACCCGCTGACTTAGGAGTCCTCCAAAGTGTGGGCTGCAGTTCTATGGTGAGGTTGGGGCAACCACCTTGTAGCACAGCTAAGTCCAGTAGCTATTCAGGAGCCCCAACCCCATCTCCAATACCAACAGCCCTGACTGGACAAAGGAATATTTTTCCAAAAGTTCATGGAGATGTTGATTTTGGAAAGGCAAAACACGTTTTCCTCCAAACCACCTTCCAAAGAGTTGTTGGGTTTTTGTCAGATCAAACCCACAAAGACTCCAGAGTTAAAGGGGAAGCTGGGGGAAAGTCTGGGGCTGAGCCTGAGTCCAGGGGCCAGTGCCCTGCTTTCTGAGTCGCAGCAACTGGGCAGCAAAATAAAGCTTTCCTGTGCCTCAGTTTCATCACCCCTGAATTGGAAATGACAGTGCATTTATCTCATGGCACTGTTGCAAGGATTAAGTGAGTTAATGCATATAAAGTGTTCAGGTACTTCCCAGCACAGAGCAGGTGCTCAATAAATTAGCTATTATTATATCTCTCTTTTTTTTAAGAAACAGAGTCTGGGCTGGGCACAGTGGTTCACGCCTATAATCTCAGCACTTTGGGAGGCCGAGGCGGGCAGATCACGAGGTCATGAGATCAAGACCCTCCTGGCTAACACGGTGAAACCCCGTCTCTACTAAAAATACAACAAAGTTAGCCAGGCATTGTGGTGGGTGCCTGTAGTCCCAGCTACTCGGGAGCCTGAGGCAGGAGAATGGCATGAACCCAGGAGGCGGAGCTTGCAGTGAGCCAAGATCCCACCACTGGACTCCAGCCTGGGTGACAGAGCAAGACTCCATCTCAAAAAAAAAAAAAAAAAGAAACAGAGTCTGTTCCCTAGGCTAGAGTTCAGCGGAATGATTACTGCAGCCTCAAACTGTTGGTCTCAAGTGATCCTCCTGCCTCAGCCTCCCAAGTAGCTGGGACTATAGGCATATGCGATTGCACCTGGCTAATTTCTTTATTTTTGTAGAGATGAAGTCTTGCTATGTTGCCCAGGCTGATCTCAAACTCCTGGCATCAAAAATCCTCCTTCCTCGACCACCCAAAGCGTTGGGATTACAGGGATGAGCCAATGCATCTGGCCCAGCTGTTGTTATCTTTATTATGAAACCACAAAGTCACAGGGTAGGGGCATCAGGATGGCTACAGCAGGGAATTTAGGCCTCCAAGGACAGTTAGGAATTTTACAAGAACCCTGTGGTGAAGGAGGAGGGCTTGGGGAAGCAGCCACCCACGGCAGCCATTTATTGAGCACTTAGGATGTTCCAGGCGTGGTGCATCTTCTCTTTCACCTCCTGCCAGCAAAGCTTTTAGGGAGTTTTTCTTGTGGCTGCAGTCACCTCCAGGTTAATAAGGACCAGTGCTTGGAGAGGCAAAGGAACTCATTTGCACCATGACATCCCTTCAACGGCCTCCCCTCAGGTTCTGGGCCTGAAAAATACGAGTGGCTTTCATAAGCACGATGTTTATCAGTAACTTCCATGTTAAGAACAGCACTTTGGGAGGCTGAGGGAGCTGGATTGCTTGAGTCCAGGAGTTTGAGACCAGCCTGGGCAACATGGTGAAACCCTGTCTCTAAAAAAATATATATGCAAAAAAATTAGCTGGGGATGGTGGTGAGCACCTGTGGTCCCAGCTGCTAGGGAGACTGAGTTGGGAGGATCACTTGAGCCCAGGAGTTTGAGGCTGCAGTGAGCCATGATTGCACCACTGCAATCCAGCTTGGATGATAGAGCAAGACCCTATCTCAAAAAACAAAAGCAAAACCAAAAAAAGAAACAAAGAAGCAAAAACAAAAACACACCCACCACCAACAGCCTTCACGTACCACAAGAGAAGCTGAAAATGTGAGCCCTGCAAGATCATCCTTGTCTCATTTTGACTCCCCAAGAAATCCCAACTTCTCTCTCTCTCTTTTTTTTTTTTTGAGAGAGAGTCTCATTCTGTCACCAGGCTGGAGTCCAGTGGTGTGATCTCGGCTCACTGCACCTTCGCATCCTGGGTTCAAGCGACTATCATGCGTCAGCCTCCCGAGTAGCTGGGATTACAGGCACATGCCACCACACCCAGCTAATTTTTCTATTTTTAGTAGAGACCGTGTTTCAACATGTTGGTCAGGATGGTCTCGATCTCCTGACCTTGTGATCCGCCCACCTCAGCCTCCCAAACTGCTGGAATTACATGCATGAGCCACTGCGCCTGGCCAAAATCCCAACTTCTTAGAGCAATTAGGCAACATCTCCCGTGAAGGGGCATCAATTGTCCTCTTCTTGACTAGAACATTCTCTGCACACTGCCACTCTTATCTCATGAGTTCCTGGATCCATTTCCATACCCAAAGCAGTGAAAGCTATGAAGAGGGCATAGTGGGCTAACCTGGGTGCCCTAGGAGGGAAATTGACACTGGCATTTCTATTGTTTGTGAAAATTGATGTCTGCTCTTACTGATGAAGACAATTCAGAAAGAAAGGAGTTTCCATTGCACAGGAGATTTTTGGGGGACTAGCATCAATTATTGCTATCCTAAGAGGCAATGCAAAATCTCTTAGGGTGGGGTAAGGTGGCTCACACCTGTAATCCCAGCACTTTGGGAGGCCATGGCAGGCAGATAACAAGGTCAGGAGTTCGAGACCAGCCTGGTCAACATGGTGAAAGCCCTATTCTACTAAAAATACAAAATTAACTAGGCTTGGTTGGCACACGCCTGTAATCCCAGCAACTCAAGAGGCTGAGGCAGGAGAATCACTTCAACCCAGGATGCGGAGGTTGCAGTGAGCCAAGATCATGCCACTGCACTACAGCCTGGGTGATAGAGTGAGACTCCGTCTCAAACAAAACAAAAACAAAAACAAAAAACTGGGTAAATGCTGAGTACTGGAGAGGAGGAAAGGGGTGCCTGCTGCTGCCTGTGGGTGTTTACCATGACTTTTATTACTATTTTCTGAGATGGAGTCTGGCTCTGTCACCCAGGCTGGAGTGTAGTGGCATGATCTTTGCTCACTGCAACTTCTGCCTCCTGGATTCAAATGGTTCTCCTGCCTCAGCCTCCCAAGGAGCTAGAATCACAGACACCCACCACCACGCCTAGCTAATTTTTGTAGTTTTAGTAGAAATGGGGTTTCACCACACTGGCCAGGCTTGTCTTGAACTCCTGACCTAAAGTGATCCACCCGCCTTGGCCTCCCAAAGTGCTGGGAATACAGCCATGAGCCACTGCATCCGGCCTATGACTTTTAAGCAAGCCCGGCTGGAAAATTCGGTCAAGCAAAGTTGAATGGGGTTCGGGTGGAGTGACGGGCAAGACCATCTGAGGGTGGAGGAAAAGTTCCATCATCTATAGGGAAGTGGAAGCACCAGCCTCAGCTTCTCCCAGGAGGTTTAATGTCAGCAAGAAAGCATTAATCTAGCTGATCACAGAAGACAATGGGGATAAAGGCAGTGAAGCAGCCAATTATTGAGGACTAAATGTATCAACAACTGATTGAAGACCAAAAAAGTCCAGAAGGCAGAAATCCTAGTTTTGGGGTCTCACACAGGACATCTGGTTTACCTAAGTGGGCAAATATTTATTGAACATCTACTAAGGACCCAGAACATGGGGTATTAGGAAGAACCTGTTGGCTGTAAACACTGCAATTCACTGAAACATTTTCACCCTGGGACAGGGGTGGAATCTACTTCACTGAGTAAAACGACTCATCTGAGAAAGCTAAACTAAAGTTCTGCTTAGAGGCACAGAGCTGTCATCTGTAGTCAAGTTTTCCCAAAGTCCAAGGCTTTGTTTTGAGGGTGGAGGTTGCAAAACTACAGATTCTGAAATGATTTTTTTTTTTTTTTTGAGACAGAGTCTCCCTCTGTCACCCAGGCTGGAGTGCAGAGTGCAGTGGCACAATCTCCGCTCACTGCAACCTCCGTCTCCTGGGTTCAAGCAATTCTCCTGCCTCAGCCTCCCAGGTAGCTGGGATTACAGGTGTGTGCCACCATGCCCTCCGAATTTTTGTATCTTTAGTAGAGACAGGGTTTCACCATGTTGGCCAGGCTGGTCTAGAACCCCTGACCTCAAGTGATCCACCTGCCTCAGCCTCCCAAAGTGCTAGGATTACAGGCATGAGCCACTGCACCTGGCCAGAAGTGATTCAAATTTTGACAAAAATATATTATTTCGCTCTACATGGATATAAGACTATCCTTCTCATGGTTTCATTTTGTCTTTTCATAGTTTCCAGTTTTGTTCATTGCCGTGGTTGCAAAGAAAACATCTTTAAATTCTTGAGAATCAAATTAAAGTCAAGTCAGGAAACTTTTTCCTACTTAATATTATAAGAACATGTATCAGGGGAATCCCCTGGCATTCAATCAGAATTTACCCTCACAAACTGGAGAATTTTCTCAAGGCGGATTACTATGTCCTAGACAAGGAAACTGCTACCTCTTGCATGATGTTTTCCTTTTTTTTTTTTTTTTTTTTTTTGAGATGGAGTCTCGCTCTTGTCTTTCAGGCTGGAGTGCAATGGTGCGACCTCAGCTCACTGCAACCTCTGCCTCTCAGGTTCAAGCGATTCTCCAGCCTCAGCCTCCCAAGTAGCTGGAATTACAGGTATGTACCACCACGCCCAGCTAATTTTTGTATTTTTAGTAGAGACAGGGTTTCACTGTATTGGCCAGGCTGGCAACTCCTGACCCCTGGTGATCCACCCACCTTGGCCTCCCAAAGTGTTGGGATTACAGGCATAAACCACCGCGCCTGGCTGATTTTTTTCCTTTTTAATGAGAAATTCTCATTCTTAGATGCATCTTACAAAAACTACAATTGGTTTTGCAGGCGTAAGTGCACTGAAAGTTCTGTGTGTAATACTAACAGAAGCCCTTTTTTTTTCAGTTGTAAAGGTCACATCAACAATGCACTCAGTTCACTTGAGATTCTTTCTTTCTTTTTTCTTTTCTTTTTTTTTTTTTTTGAGATGGGATCTCCCTCTGTCACCCAGGCTGGAGTGCAGTGGCACAATCTCAGCTCACTGCAACCTCCACCTCCTGAGTTCAAGTGATTCTCCTGCCTCAGCCTCCTGAATAGCTGGGATTACAGGCATGCACCACCAAGTCTGGCTAATTTTTTTATATTTTTAGTAGACAGGGTTTCTCCGTGTTGGTCAGGCTGGTCTCAAACTCCCAACCTCAGATTATCCACCCGACTCGGCCTCCCAAAGTGCTGAGATTATAGGTATAAACCACTGTACCAGGCCACTTGAGATTATTTCTATTGGCAAAATACTCTGTGTTAAATATAATTAATGGAGAAAGATCATTTACTAAAGAAAAATTGGATTTAAATATTTGACCTCTCAAGATTACTCTATCTAATTACCTGATAGAATCATCAGCAGGCATTTGAATGAAGAGGAGGGCAAAATAAGGTATAATCCCTGCCCTCAAGATCTAAATTCTGTGCTTGGGACCCAAACTATTCAAATAAATACAGTAAAATAGCACATGACCTAATCAAACCTTGAATTAGTCTTCATAATAAAACAAGCAGGAGGCGGCTGGGTGCGGTGGCTCATGTCTATAATCCCAGCACTTTGGGAGGCCGAGGCAGGTGGATCATGAGGTGAGGTATTAAAGACCAGCCTGACCAACATGGTGAAACCCCATCTCTACTAAAAATACAAAAGTTAGCCAGGTGTGGTGGTGTGTGCCTATAATCCCAGCTACTTGGGAGGCTGAGGCAGGAGAATTGCTTGAACTCGGGAAGCAGAAGTTGCAGTGAGCCGAGGTTGCGCCACTGCACTCTAGCCTGAGTGACAGAGCGAGACTCTGTCTCGAAAAAAACCAAACTAAACTAAAACAAACACAAGCAAGAGGCTTATTTGGCCTAAAATTATGATTGATTTGATCCTTAAAGCAGTTTGACCAAATGGCTCTATTGGCCATTTTGTTTGGTTGTCTTTCATTCATTTATCTACTCAACAATTATTGGGCACCTATGATGGGCTAGGCACCATGCTAAGTGTTGGAGATTTCACAGGAAACAAGTAATCCCAAGGGCTTGTTTCCAGGGGTGGGTTTAGCCAGGCTTCTTTGTCATGAGGTTGGGGGTGATTATGGAAATGCCTAGAACACTGTTGGAATAGCTTCTCCTCTCCACTCCTGAGGGTCAGCTATGGATCTGAAAGATGCCCAGTTGTCTGAGATGAAACTGAGGTGAGATGGTTTCCTTTCTTACCAGCTTCCTCCAGCCTTCTTACACAGAAGCTCTTCATGCTGCAAATAACTGGTTCCATGTCAACCTTTCCAAAGCTCTTAGCGTCCTCCTGGGGTTTCCACTCAATGCAAACCCTCTCTGAAATCCAAGTGCCACTTAAAGGAAGTCTGATGCAGACTACATTTAAGATGCTACAGATTTGGGCTTTTCAAATAGGAAATATGCACTGTTCCTTCAGAAGTGCAGAAATGTCTGGAAGGAGGTGTCAGCAGTGGGGGGCACATTCTTCCTGGTGCCCACAGTCCTTCAGTATGTTAGTCCTCTCAGTCCTTCAGTATGTTAGCACAGACGCATTCACGGACAGTGAAAAACATGTTCTGCTTGGAGACTTTGGAGTTAAATCACAGTAAATTCCTTAGCCGGCCTCTCTTATGCTTCCTCACATAGGGGCTTTCATTTGAAGCTCTAAGTTTCATATTATCAATTCCTTACAGCTAATAAGAGACACCTACTGTATAAAATAAGTGTATGCTAAGAGGTTGAAAGATACAGAGCCCCTGATTAAGATTGGGGAGGCTGATGGGAAAATAAAGTGAAATTTTGATAGGTTCCATAATATGAGTGTATGCCAAGCTCAATGGGAATGCATGGGAGAAGTGATTACCGCTTTTATTTTTATTTTTTTTGAGACGGGGTCTCATTCTGTCACCCAGGCTGGGGTGCAGTGGCACAATCATAGCTCACTGCAGCCTCAACTTCTTGGGCTCTGGCTGGGTACGGTGGCTCACGCCTGTAATCCCAACCCTTTGGGAGGCTGAGGAGGGAGGATCACCAGGTCAGGAGATGGAGACCATCCCGGCTAACACAGTGAAACCCCATCTCTACTAAAAATACAAAAAATTAGCCAGGCGTGGTGGCGGGTGCCTGTAGTCCCGGCTACTCTGGAGGCTGAGGCAGGAGAATGGTGTGAACCCGGGAGGCAGAGCTTGCAGTGAGCCAAGATCATGCCACTGCACTCCAGCCTGGGTGACAGAGCAAGACTCCATCTCAAAAAACAAAACAAAACAAAAAGACTTCTTGGGCTCCAGCAATCCTCCCACCTCAGCCTCAATAGCTGTGACCACAGGTGCACACTGCCATGCCCAGCTAATTTTTTTTTTTTTTTTTTGAGTCGGAGTTTCACTCTTGTTGCCCAGGCTGGAGTGCAATGGCACGATCTCGGCCCTCTGCAACCTCTGCCTCCCAGTTTCAAATGATTCTCCTGCCTCAGCCTTCCGAGTAGCTGGGATTACAGGCATGTGCCACCACACCCAGCTAATTTTTTGTATTTTTAGTAGAGACAGGGTTTCTCCATGTTGGTCAGGCTGGTCCCGACCTCCCGACCTCAGGTGATCTGTCCACCTCAGCCTCCCAAAGTGCTGGGATTACAAGCGTGAGCCACCGCGCCCGGCCCCAGCTAATGTTTATTTTTATTTTTTGGTAGCAATATGGTCTTGCTATGTTGCCAGGGCTGGTCTTAAACTCCTGGCCTTAAGACATCCTTCCCACCTCAGCCTTTCAAGGTGTTGAGATTAAAGGCATGAGCCACTGCGCCTGGCCGTGACGACCTCCTGAAAGGGGCTTCATAGATACCTGAGAACTCTGTAGCTGCAGGGTTGGAATTGCAACATTCCAGGGAGTGGGGACAAGTGGAAGAAAGAACAGATGAGAGCAGTGGCTCACACCTGCAATCCCAGAACTTTGGGAGGCTGAGGCGGGCAGATCACCTGAGGTCGGGAGGTCGAGATCAGCCTGACCAACATGGAGAAACCCTGTCTCTACTAACAATACAAAATTAGCCGGGCGTGGTGGTGTGCGCCTATCAACCCAGCTACTCGGGATGCTGAGGCAGGAGAATCGCTTGAAGTCGAGAGGCGGAGGTGACGGTTAGCTGAGATCAAGCCATTGCACTCCAGTCCGGGCAACAAGAATGAAATTCCATTTCAAAAAACAAAACAAAACAAAAAAAAAACTTGGCTGGGGTCAGTGACTCACACCTGCAATCCCAGCACTTTGGTAGGCCAAGGCGGGCAGATCACTTCAGGTCAGGAGTTCAAGACCAGCTTGGCCCACATAGTAAAACCCCGTCTCTACTAAAAATACAAAAATTAGCCGGGTGTGGTGGCGGGTGCCTGTAATTCCAGCTATTTGGGAGGCTGAGGCAGGAGAATCACTTAAACCCAGGAGGTGGGGATTGCAGTGAGCTGAGAACATTGCTTATTGTTTACTGATGGTCTGGTCAGTCCTATGCTAATGAAGGTAGCAGAAAGGGGAATTTGATGTTAAAGGGCAGAAGAAATGGTATGGTAAAACTGTGCTTTAAAGTCCCTACTAGTCCACAACTTTGGATGGACCAAGAGATAGTCTCTTGTTAGTGTAATGATACGTAACAGATTTCTCTGTGTTTTATCTATTTTTTGCTTTGTTACACATTGTGCATTTCCAAAAAGGATTTAAGGTACTTTAAAATAAAAGCTGAGGCATCAGAAACTATGGAGAAAAAGGCAGTCATAATTATGCCAAGAACCAGGGGTGGGAAAAGATTTTTATTGAACACTACATTTAGCTTATTTTGAGCATCATAGGGACTAAGGGAAAAAAATGTGATGACTCTCTTTTCAGATAATAGCTTTTTCACGCTAAAATTCTAAAAGGAATTTATTATTAAATCAAAATGAGTGAAAACACATTTCCTTATATAGCTGTTTCTTGTTTGGGCCTTTGATAAAAACCAAGCAGGGAGACTAATGACTTGCGGCTGAGCCAGGGTGACTCTTTTTTTTTTTTGAGACGGAGTTTCATTCTTGTTGCTCAGGCAACAATGGTGAGATCTCGGCTCACCACAACCTCCGCCTCCAGGGTTGAAGCGATTCTCCTACCTCAGCTTCCGAGTAGCTGGGATTACAGGCACCCGACACCACACCCAGCTAAATTTTGTATTTTTAATAGAGACGGGGTTTCACCATGTTGGTCAGGCTGGTCTCAAATTCCCGACCTCAGGTGATCTGCCCACCTTGGCCTCCCAAAGTGCTGGGATTATAGGCGTGAGGCACCGCGCCCGAGCAGGGTTGATTCTACAGGTCTGAATGTATTCATATCTGTTGACCAATCTTCATGTAAGGGTAGGACTCAGAAGATCTAGACCAGGGCCTCTCCAAGTGTTCCCTGAGCCTCTGCATCAGATTCAGCTGCATTATTATAAAATATGGATTCTAGAGCCAACCCAGACCTTTTGGATCAGAATATTGGGAGGAGAGGACATAAATCTGTATTTTTGAAACTTGGTGATTTTGATGCCCACTAAACTTCAAGACATCATGATGTAGAAAAGAATAACTGTGTATGGCCCCATATGCATTTTTTGTGTTTTTATTGTGGTTTTTTTTGAGATGGTATCTTGCTCTGTTACCCAGGCTAGAGTGCAGTGGCGTAATATCAGCTCTACCTCCCAGGTTCAAGTGATTCTCCTGCCTCAACCTCCCGAGTAGCTGAGACTATAGGTGTGTGCCACCATGCCTGGCTAACTTTTTTGTATTTTTAGTAGAGATAGGGTTTCACCATGTTAGACAGGATGGTCTCAATCTCCTGACCTCATGATCGGCCCGTCTCATCCTCCCAAAGTGATGAGATTACAGTTGTGAGCCACCGCACCCAGCCGACATTTTCTTTTTTATTGTCTGCACTGCCAGATAGAGTTCCCTATGCTTTAGATACCTGAAGCTAGCTACAGGAATTGACAGACTGTTGTAAAATTAAGGGGTCTCACACAGACTCTCTTTTTCTTTTTTTTTTTTTTTGTTTTGAGACAGAGTCTTGCTCTGTGCCAGGCTGCAGTGCAGTGGCACAATCTCGGCTCACTGCAACCTCCGCCTCCTTTGTTCAAGCTATTCTCCTTCCTCAGCCTCCGGAGTAGCTGGAACTACAGTCGTGTGCTACCACGCCCCGCTAATTTTTGTATTCTTAGTACAGACAGAGTTTCATCATGTTAGCCAGGATGATCTCGATCTCTTAACCTCGTGATCTGCCCACCTTGGCCTCCCAAAGTACTGGGATTATAGGTGTGAGCCACCACACACAGCCTCTTGTTTTTGTTTTGAGACAGAATTTCACTCTGCCACCCAGGCTGGAGTGCAATGGCATGATCTTGGCTCACTGCTACCTCTGCCTTCTGGGTTCAAGTGATTCTCCTGCCTCAGCCACCCGAGTAGCTGGGATTACAGGCATGCATCACCATGCCCAGCTAATTTTTGTATTTTTAGTAGAGACAGGTTTCACCATGTTGGCCAGGCTGGTCTTGAACTCCTGACCTCAGATGATCTGCCTGACTTGGCCTCCCAAAGTGTTGGGATTACAGGCATGAACCACTGGACCAGGCCCAGACTCTCTTTTTCAAAGAAAGGCCACCATTCCCAAAGTTGCAGGATCCAAATTTTTCTAAACAACGAATTATGAGCCTGCCTCAATGAGCATCAAATTACAGTCAAATGTCATGCACCATACAGTATACAAGAGAGCCTGGGCAACACAGTGAGACCTTGTCTCTGTCAAAAGGAAAAATTTAAAAATTAACCAGGCATGGCAGCATGTGTCTGGAGTCCAAGCAACTCAGGAGGATTGCTTGAGCCCAGGAGTTCAAGGCTGCTGTGAGCTAGGTCGTGCCACTGCATTCCAGCCTGGGTTACAAAGCAAGACCCTGTCTCAATTAAAAAAAAAAAAAAAAAAAGGGCTGGGTGCAGCGGCTCACGCCTGTAATCCCAGCACGTTGGGAGGCCTAGGCAGGCGGATCACGAGGTCTGGAGATCGAGACCATCCTGGCTAACGTGGTGAAACCCTGTCTTTACTAAAAATACGAAAAAAATTAGCCAGTCGTGGTGGCGGGCACCGGTAGTCTCGGCTATTTGGGAGGCTGAGGCAGGAAAATGGCATGAACCCAGGAGGCAGAGCTTGCAGTGAGCCGAGATCATGCCACTGCACTCCAGCCTGGGCGACAGAGCAAGACTCTGTCTCAAAAAAAAGTAGGCTTAAATTTCAAGACATATTAGCCATTGGCCACCATGATCAATAATGATTTCATACAGCTCCTAACACATATGTAATATTGAGAAGCAATGCCTCTAGTCATGTCTGTTATAATAAACAGGTGAGATGGGTGTGATCCCTAAATACCATCTTTAAAGAACATTCTATTGTAAAATAAACCCCTAAGACTTTCTCAGTGAACGAACTGATTGGTAAACAGAAATACTTTTTTTTTGAGATGGAGTCTCTGCTCTGTCACCCAGGCTGAAGTGCAGTAGCACAACCTTGGCTCACTGCAACCTCCCTCTCCAGGGTTCAGGTGATTCTCCTGCCTCAGCCTCCCAAGTAGTTGGAATTACACCACCACCATGCTTGGCCTCCCAAAGAGCTGGGATTACAGGCATAAGCCATCCTGTCTGGCTGATAAACAGGAGTACTATGAACCAGTTGTTACACTATTGGTAGCTTGAAATCTGCTACATGTATTTATACCATGAATATCAACAAATGCTACAAATGTCAGCTATTTTTTCCCAGAGAGACCTGGTTGACCAGTATACTGTTACTAGAGACACCACAGTTTCCATCCAGGTACTGCTGCTTGCTGCACAGAAAGCCATTCACTGAGATTTCAACTATTGCCAAGGAAGAAGGCTTTAATAGGGTGCTGCAACCAAGCACATGGGTGCTCAGTCTCAAATCCATCTCCCTGACTAAAACCAGGCTTTAATATAGCAGGGAAGAAATGTAACAATGTGTAAGAAAACAGGAACTAGGGAAAGGCACAGAGGCATCTGCTACCCTGAACCCATGAGTTTCAGTTCTTTGATACTTTTTTTTTTTTTTTGAGACGGAGTCTCCGCTCTGTTGCCTACGCTGGAGTGCAATGGCGCAATCTCGGCTCTGCTCACTGTAACCTCCGCCTCCTGGGTTCAAGCAATTCTCCTGCCTCAGCCTCCTGAGTAGCTGGGATTATAGGCGCACACTACCATGCCAAGCTAATTTTTGTATTTTTAGTAGAGATGGAGTTTCTCCATGTTGGTCAGGCTGGTCTCGAACTCCTAACCTCGTGATCTGCCCACCTCAGCCTCCCAAAGTGCTAGGATTACAGGCATGAGCCACCGGGCCTGGCTGATACCTGTTTTTAGAGGACTGAAGGTCCTTTCCTGAGGAAGGAACTCAGATAAAAAAAATACAAGTTTCAAGCTTTAATAACAGAAGGGTCCATTTCAATGTTTATCCAAAAACAACTGTTTCTGGGACTCTTGGACTGGTTTCAGTACCACAGGTGCATACTGAAGAATGATCCTGAAACCCTTGACAAGGAGAATCACACACCCTTCCCACATGGACACTATCTCCTGTTTTCTGCTCAGTGCCAACTTTGGTAATGGTCTATGTGGAAAGTTGAGCTTCCCCAGGTAGTCAGGAGTATCATAATGCTATGTAGCCAGGTTTAATGTGGTTGACATATAGGAGTTGTTTTTTAAAAAAAACAAAACCCTTCAGTTGATATATTTTTTCCATTAAGAACAATGCTTTTGTCCAGGCGCGGTGGCTCACGGCCATAATCCCAGCACTTTGAGAGGCCAAGGAGGATGGATTACTTGAGGTCAGGAGTTCAAGACCAGCCTGGCCAATATGGTGAAACCCCATCTCTACTAAAAATACAAAAAAAATTAGCCACGCGTGGTGGTACACACGTATAATCTCAGCTACTTGGGAGGGCAGGAGGAGAGTCACTTGAACCTCAGAGGCAAAGGTTGCAGTGAGCCAAGACCCCACCACCGCACTCCAGTCTAGGTAACAGAGACTCCATCTCAAACAAATAAACAAAAATAAATAAATAAATGCAAACAACTGGAAGAATGCACTCATTGATTCCAGTTTCTGTCAAGGTGGGAATGGCTGATACCAGATCTTTTCCTGAAGACTGGTTTGGAGAGGAAGAAGGAAGGGATAAAGAACAGGAGCGTTGAGGCCTGAAGAAAGCAAGGAGAAAAATGGGCAGCAGGAAATAAGACAGCTGCAGAGTCGAGAGGCCGGTATATGAGTAAAATGTGGCTGACGGCCTCATTAAGCCCAGACCCTATCCAATTAAGAAACTTGTCTTTAGAGCACAAAAGGAGAAATCAATGCTAATACACACCACAGCTTTCTGTTTTACACCAGCATATCCTGGGGCACAGAGCTCTTGCTACATTCTCTCCTGGAACTGAAAACCAATTCTAGGTTACTCTGTACACACTGATCTAGTTGTTAGTGCTGTAAAAACACCAGTTTATATCAAAACCAGAAAAATGTATCAGATAAAAGACAAGATTAGACTAGTGCCTATTGTTGGCAAGTATCTGAGGAAAGAGCATTAAAGGTGCTGCGTGCTTTTTCCGAGTAGTCCCAGCTACTCAGAAGCCTGAGCCAGGAGAATTGCTTGAACTTGGGAGGCTGAGGTTGCAGTGAGTCCAGATCGCACCACTGTACTCCAGCCTGGACAACAGAGCAAGGCTTCACAAAGAAAAGAGCATGAAAGAGTTAAATCTCAAACTCCAAAACTGCTAGATGACAAAGAGGGAGAGGGAGGCAGAACCTAACGGTATGCCAAAAGTAGAAACTATGAACTCTAAAGAAATGAGGATGTCTAAATTCACCTGGAGGGTTTTCTCCTCTAGACAAAGGCCAGGGCAGGAGAGAAATGTCCTCCCACCTCTGGCAGATGCTAAGGCTGGCTGACTTGGCATCCAATCCAGCTTCTTTGTGTGCCTTGCTCTATTACAGAGACCCAAATGTCAAAAACGACATCATTCCTCAGACTCTCCTGCATCTAGAGTCCTGCATATGATTTAGGTTCAACCAATTCAGTGCATGCATGACAGACATAAATGCCGTGCTAGTTACAAGGGGAGATGGGAGGTGGGGAGCATCCACGGTGCTGGCTCAGATCATGGCAGAGGCAGGATGGCTCTGCAGTCAGGAGTTTCCTGGGTTGTGTTTATCCTGTGGCAGAAGCAGCGATGGTCCCCAGTCTCCCAGGATTTACATATATGTTAAGGGTGGGGCATGGTGGCTAGGGTATCAGTCTCAGTTGCAGAAAACAAACATTTCTAACTAGTTTAAGCAGAAAGAAATTTGACATCAGATTGCAAGTGGCTTACAAAAAAATATTTGGGAGGAGTAGAAGAGCAAATCCCAAGCCAAATTCTCAGGACATTTTCCTGAGTCATGAAATCACACATTGTGATAAGTGACATGGGAATTATAGAACAGGACCTAAAGAGAAACAGGAGACAAGAAAAGACCCAAGAGCTCCACATCATATGTGTTAGTTTCTCATGGTTGCTGTAATGAAGTACAACAGACTGGGCAGTTTAAAAAAACAGAAATTTGGCCAGGTGCGGTGGCTTACGCCTGTAATCCCACCACTTTGGGAGGCAGAGGCAAACAAATCATGAGGTCAGGAGATCGACGCCATCCTGCCTAACACGGTGAAACTCCATTTCTACTAAAAATACAAAAAATTAGCTGGGTGTGGTGGCACATGCTTGTAATCCCAGCTACTTGGTAGGCTGAGGCAAGAGAATTGCTTGAACCCCAGAGGCAGAGGTTGCAGTGAGCCGAGGTCACGCCATTGCACTCCCGCCTGGGCGAAAGAGCGAGACTCCATCGCAAACGAACAAACAAACCAGAAATTTATTCTCTCACAGTTCAGGAGGATGGAAGTCTGAAATTGAGGGGTTGGTAGTGTTGGATCCTCCTGGAGGCTCTGGAGAAGAAATCTCCTTGCTTCTGATGGTTGTCGGCAAGCTTTGGTGCTCCTTGGCTTGTGGCAAAATAACTTCCTTCTCTGCTGCTATTGTTGCATGGCACTTTCCCTGTGTGTGTGTCTGTGCCTCTTCTCCTCTTCTTACGAGGACACCAGTCATGCTGGATTAAGGCCCTCCTTACTCTGATATGACTTCATCTTGATTACATCTATAAAGGTAACATTCATAGGTAAACAGGATTTGGACTTCAGGACATGTTTCTGAAGGATACAATTCAACCCACAGCAGTCCTTTTTCCTTCATGAGAAAAAAATGAAGTGCACTCCAGAGTCTTACTGTGGTTATAGCTATGTAGTTTGGTGGTTCCTGAATTAATTGAAAATAGTTTAACTATCACTCAGTGGAATGTGTTCAGCTTCTCAACTAATCTTTTTGTTCCCTTTGAAATAACTCAGAGCTTTCAACAGCCCCATAGTGTGCAAGAACTCCTTGAAACTAGTTAAAAATAAAAAAATATATTATTGAGAGAAAATAAGAAAATCCTAAAATGATCATGGTCTATAGCATGTTGTGAATTATAGGACATGATATTATAAACATATCAATTTTTCCCCTAATGAATCTATAGATTTAATGTAATCCCAGTCAAAATACCAAAAGTTGTTTTTTTAAAAAAAGAAATGGACAGATTCTAAAATTTTCACTGAAGTTCAGAGGCCAAGAAGAGCAAAGGTCACCTTGAAGAAGATGGATCAAACTGGAGAACTTCCAAGCTTTGTCAAGTCCTATTTTAAAGCTATGGTATTGGTAATATATGCTATATATTACTAATGTAATATAAGAATAGAATAGACACAAAAATGACCAAAACAACCAGTGGAATAGAAGACCCACGCAGAGTTTTACATATACAGTCATATAAGAACATCCTCATGACTTTGGAGTAGGCAGAGGTTTCTTAAATAGGAAACACACCCACAAAGCTGAACTTACAAGTGAAAATTGATAAATTCTACCATATTAAAATAAAGAAATTCTGTTTATCAAAAGTCACTATGAAGAGACAAAAAGAGAATTCACAGAATGGGAGAAGGTATTTGCAACACATATATCTGATACATAATTTATATGCAGACAATATCAAGAAGTCCTACTAATTGATAAGAAAAAGACAACCCAATAGAAAAACTGGCAAAAGACTGGAACCAACACTTCACAAAAGAGGATTGCCAAATGCTAGTAAAGAGATTGAAAGTGTTCATCATCACTGTTTACCAGGAAAATGCAAATTAAAGCTATAATGTGGGGCCAGGTGCGGTGTAATCCCAGAACTTTGGGAGGCCTAGGTGGGTGGATTGCGAGGTCAGGAGATCAAGACCGTCCTGGCTAACATGGTGAAACCCCGTCTCTGTTAAAAATACAAAAACAAAAAAATTAGCTGGGCGTGGTGGCGGGTGCCTGTAGTCCCAGCTACTCAGGAGGCTGAGACAGCAGAATGTCGTGAACCCAGGAGGCGGAGCTTGCAGTGAGCTGAGATCGCACCACTGCACTCCAGCCTGGGTGACAGAGCGAGACTCCGTTTCAAAATAAAATAAAAATAAAATAAAATGAAATAATAAAATAATAAAATAAAATAAAATAAAATAAAATAAAATAAAATAAAATAAAATAAAAGCTACAATGTGAAACCACTACACACCTGCCAGAATGGCTAAAACAAAAAAGCAAACTATATCATATCACATATTGGCAAGGATTTGAAGCAAATCCTTGGAACCTGCAAAGTGAAAGTTTCTCCAAGTCTCAAAAGTCTATTCCAAGAACTTCATTTCCATAGGCGTTAGAAACATGAAGAAAACTACACCAAGGCACATTATAATCAAAATGCTCAATATCACTGATAAAGGGAATATTTTGAAGCCAACCAGGAGAGGAAAAACATATATCACATACACAGGGACAAAGATAAGGATAACAAATTTCTTTTTGGAAACAATGTAAAGAAGAACCCAGTAGAGCAGCGTTCTTCTAAAAGTTTAAAGAAAAATTACCAGTGTAAGATTGTATACCCTACAAAACTATCTTTCAAAAATGAAAGCTACTGCTGAAGAGAATGTAAGTTTGAACAATCACTTTGGAAGCCCATTTGATAGTGTCTTCTAAAGCTGAACATATGCCAAAACATCCAGTATGCTAGTAATATTCTATAACTTCAGCTAAGTGTTTGCTTCATGAATATTTTTGAGCTGTATACTTTTCTATGTGCACTCTACTTTATGAATATTACTTTTAAAAAGTCTGATGTATTGCTTAATAGTCCTTTTGAATATTATTAAGCAAAAGTACCTTAGCTTTATGAATCTACCTGGACAATCATTAGAACTTTGGAGCCTGGAGTTAATGTAAGTGTCTTAGCTTGGGTGTTCCCAGAAGCAAACCCTGAGAGAGGGAGATTTAAGAGGTGAACCCAGGAAATACTGATATGAAAATAGGGAAGTGATACAGGGAATGGAAAAAAGCCAATAAAGGATCCACATTCAGTGCAGTTACCACTGAGGGCCAGTGAAGCTGAAGGGTACCCTAGGAGATGCAAGAAAGTTGGTGTTTTTCACCAACTCCCCACCTGTCATGGGCCCAGAGCTGCTCCCAAGCCATTATTAAATCTCCAGCACTTTTTGATTTTCCATGAAAGTAGACTGAGTCTGCTCACCAAACAAAGAGATGTCTTCAGGCAGAGAGAGTCACAGTTGCTCACAGTATACAGTTTGGTGTCTAGAGGAATGCCAAAGGATATAAGTACAGTGCCAGCTCAAATCCACTCTCTTGCACATCAAGTTCACCATGTCCTTCAAGGTAGTGACCACTCACAATTAAAAATATTTTTTAAAAGGCTTGCATTGGGAGTATTAGTGGGACAAGCTACAACTTAATTGCTGCAGTTGGTCTCAAACCTAATGGACACTCATCTTCTCCTCCTGCACCACCTATTGTAGATTCCTGTCACCCTTGGTCAGCATTTCTATTGTTCTAGTTTGCTTGCATGGTGGGTAACCCAGACCTTCGTTTCTAAAGAGATCTGAGTCCTGGGTACCATGCCCTTATTAGACTGTGGTTGTTGCCATTGCCTGTTTTCAGTAATCAGTGGTATGGAAGCACCAGTATGTTCCCAATGAATCACCTGGTTTCCAGACACACACTTCCACTATGGTTTGAATAATGGTTTCACCTCCAAAATTTATGTTGAGACTTAATTCAATTAATTGAGGTGGGCCTTTTGGGAAGGTGGTTAGGTCATACTTCATGAATAGATTATGATTCTTATAGAAAAGCTCTTCCACTCTTCTACCATGTAAAGGACGCATTGTTCATCCCCCTCTTGCCCTTCAGCCTTCTGCCATGTGAGGACACAGCAAGAAGGTTCTCACCAGGCACCAAATGCTGGCAACTTGATCTTGGACTTTCCAGCCTCCAGAACTGTGAGAAATAAATTCCTGTTCTTGATAAATTACCCAGTCTCGAGTATTTTGTTATAGCCATACAAATAGACTAAGACACCTTTCCTACCCCATTATGTAGTAGCTGCCATAACTCCTCATGACAATCTGTGGCAATTACCCCTGCCAGTTCAGTAACCTTTTTGCCTGCTGGACTAGTGTCAGGAGGAGCCCGAAGTGACCAGGAGGTAGTTGGAGCTTTAGATTTAGTGGTATCCTTGTAAGGTATTCTCTGCTAGAAGATCCTCACTAACCCCCTACCGCTACCCCCACCCCCCGAAAAAAAAAACCTGAAGTTAAAAGGACAGGAAGAAAACATTTCCCATTGGATCCCTGGGGTATATGATGAGAGAAGCCAGTTCTACCTACACACACTCCTGGTTGCCAGATCCATGTATTCTCTTTCTCAAGGACACAGCATCATATAATAGCAAATAGCAATTTCAAAATATGGCATTTTGAAAAAGAGTACCTCAAACTCCCAGGGTTTCGTCTCTAAGCTGGCCCCTTAGCTGCCCATTTAAGTTACCATTCAAGCATTCAGGTAGGCAACTTCTGGCAGATTCAGCATAGTAGGACTCGTGGATCCTGGAGTCATCTCCTTTGTGATAAAGTTGGTCTCTTGGTCCAAGATGATGCTATTTTATTCAAGATCCCATGACAATAAGTCAGACACTGAGTGAGCCCTTGGAGAGATTTACTGTCTGAGGCACAGTGGGCAAAAAAGTCAAACTCTTATCTATAATATATATACTCATTGCAGTACAGAAAAATTGATGAGTGTATTTGTAAAAAATATCTATGTCATAAAAGACAAAGAAAGGCTATGGAAATGTTCTATTAATAGGTGGAAGGAGACTTGACAATACCTGATCCCAGAGCAGCTACTATACTGGAAGGAGAACATAAGTTATAAGTAATATTTTGGGATAATTAAGACTGTTGAAATACCAGTGATAGAACAGATAAAGTACTGGGTTAATGTTAAATTTACTGAGGTTAGTTATATGTTTATTCTTAGCACACACACACTAAAGCATTTGAGGATAAACAACCATGATATATGCAACCTTCTCTCAAATGATTCAGGAAAAAATAATATTACAAATATAGAAAAAGAGAGAAAGTGAGACAAAAGCACGTGCAAATGAAATTTCAACAAACAATAGTGAATCTGAGTCAAATATATACAGTTGTTCTCTTTACTTTTCCTTGAATCTATTCTTTAAGTTTGAATTTCCAAATAAAACATTTTTTTTAAGTTCCAATTGAGTTCAGCAAACACATATTCATAGAGAACTTACTATGCACCAAGCCTTGTGGACACAAGTGTGACAAAGACCTGGCCTCTGTCTTTTAAGACCCCTGGTCTAGTGTAGAAGAAGGAACAGCCCCTGAATTAGAACAATTTGTCGCATTCATTTTCTCCAGGACCAAAATTTTTTGTCCCACAGGAATGGATAATTTCCTCTCCCACTTTATGAACTCCTACTCGCTGGCCTAACTGCCTATCGAATGATTCTTTACCACTTTATTATCTGTGTGCAACAAAATCTCCCACATGCC
Source organism: Homo sapiens (assembly GCF_000001405.40). Lineage (NCBI taxonomy): Eukaryota > Metazoa > Chordata > Mammalia > Primates > Hominidae > Homo > Homo sapiens. Next base: position 37,448,487 of record NC_000010.11, on the reverse strand, counting down.
ACCATCCCATGTACAGCATGCAGCCTGGGCTCTGCACAAAGGGGCCAAGTATGCAGTGCTGGTTTGAGATCCACAGTCCAGACAGCTTCTGTTGCATGTTTCCCTTCTAGGCTACCTGAAAACCAGAACTGAAAGCCATATGGGACAAGTGATTCAGCCTAGAGTGTCAGGGGCCTCCAGAGGCTGAGCTGCCTACGGGAAAGCTGAGCTGCCCCCAAGAAGGCTGACCACCTCGTTTGGGTCACTGGGCTGGGTTTTTGGCAGAACTTCGCTTGCCCTCAAATTCTAATTGCAAAAGAAATCCTCTGAGCTCCCACTCAGCTCATCTGCATCCATGAGAGGAGCCACCCTTCTGGGCCAGGCTAATTGGATTTGTCTTTATTGCAGTCATTACCAAGGGTTACTGGAAACTAAATAAGTCAACGTGTTCCAACTTGCTATATCCACCTCCAGCTCAGAGCAGGTGTTTTACAAAGCAACCCTCTGAAATTATATGCAATGAATGAATGAATCCTTTCTCTCTGCAACATAGTTGTGGTGGACTAAGGCAGTGAGTGATAGGACCGGACTTGCAACCTGAAATACGCAACTTTCCAAAAAGACTTTGTTTTAAAATGGGATTCACCATAACCATGCTGTTGGCACTGAACTTCCCATTGGGATTTAAGCTGCACTTTACTTTTCAAACAGTATGTTTATTCGCAAGGGAGAGTCTGTCCTATTTTACAGGAGAGGTGGGCCACTGCACCAGCCACCTTGCTTGTAGTCAGTTTTGAAGCCATCTGGATCTCATGAGGTTTCATCAATGCTGGCAGAGACTGAGCTCTATAAGATGTCAACAGTATCTTACTTTTTTTTTTTTCTGAGGAAGTTCACTTTCTGTACCACCTGCATTTGGTACAATACTTTCTGACTGTCCACTAAAATGTCAAACTATTTCAGACTCCTACTCCTCCACTGTCTTAGTTGATTTTGTGCTGCTATTATAGAATACCTGAAACTGGGTAATTTATAGAAAACAGAGATTTATTTCTTATAGTTCTGGAGACTGGTCAAGGGGATGGCATCTGGTGAGAACCTTCTTGCTACATCATCTCATGGAAGAAGGTGGAAGGGCAAGAGGGCACATATGCCCAAGAAAATGTGTGCACACACAAGAGAGGTGGAGAGAGAAAGAGAGAGATAAATAGAGAGACGAAAAGGGGGCCAAGCTCATCCTTTTATTAGGAATCCATTCCCATGATCTCCCATGATAACAGCATTAATCCATTATAAGTGCAGAGCCCTCATAACCTAATCACTTTTTAAAAGTCCCACCTCTCAACACCATTGCATTGAGGATTAAGTTTCCAACACATAAACTTTGGGAAATGCATACAAACCATAGCACTACCTCCCACTCACATCTTGGCTCTTCAATGTCAAGGTATATTGGTTGTTAAGGGAATATAAACACATGAAAACATGTCTCTCCTTTCAATCCAAGACTTACTGGAATTGTGTCAAGCTTCTTGTGGTCAGAAATGAGGACTTCTCTTTATTTTGTCATTCTTATGATCCCATGAGCCCAAATAACAGTGAGATGTTAAGAACCTAGACACCCTCCAGTAAATGCCCACTGATTGCCTTGCTCTCAGAAATGGCTGGTTTCTCTGCAGATCTTCAGCTGGGTCCCACCCAGGTTGGGAGATGCCAGAAGCATGGCTGCAGAAAAGCAATCTCCCTCCACCGTGACTATCACACTGCTGCTGCTGTCACCATTTATATTTCTATCACCACCACCATGGCTGGGGAGCTGCCATGTCAGATGATGTCAGAGTACTTTACAAACATTCCCCATTTACACCTTAGGGTATACATCCACATTCCCAAACATGTTTTAATCTCAGTATGAAAATCTGAAGATTTTCCATCATAGAAATTAAAGCTGATAATTCTTTTAAATCGAAATTTACTTATTAATTTAACATAATAAGAAAACCCTACGTGCGCGCACACACACACACACACACACACACACACACACACACACAGAGGGAGACAGAGAGAGATAATTATTTTAAGGAATTGGCCCATGTGATTGTAGGGGCTGGCAAGTCCTAAATATGCAGGGCAGGTCAGCAGGCCAGATACTAAGGAAAAAGTTAATGTTGCAACTCAAGCCCAAAGGAAAGCAATTTGGAGGCAGAATTCCTTCCTCTTTGAGGGATCTCAGTTTTCTCTCTTAACATCTTCAACGATTGGGTGAGGGCCACTCACACTATAGAAGGTAATCAGCTTTACTCAAAGTCTGCCAATTTAAATGTTAATCACGTTTAAAAAATAACTTCACAGCAACATGTAGACTGATATTTGACAACAACTGGGCACCATTGCCAAGCCAAGTTAACACAGAAAATTAACCATCACAGACAATTTCAATTGATGAATCTGTACAGAGCTTAGATGACTCAGCTCTGTGGCTATGCAGAAAAGTGCATCGACTTTGCTTCCCAAATCTTCTCTCATTGTTTTAATTATTTAATGTTTGGGTCTCCATAGAGGACAAGTGTGATTCCTATGACTTGATGGGCATCAGTAGGGCTGGAGGGTGCTGCAGAGCAATGCAGGAAGCATTTGGGGTTGAGGCCTTGAATCAATTGAAGAGGAAGGACTGATGAGATCTGAGACAAATGGATGCATAAAACTAGGACTCAGGAATACAGCAGCAGCCTCTGCTGCCACTTAGGGACACCAGGTGGGGAGCTGGAAGCTCTTCATCTTGAGGCAATGCCTCATACAAGGAGTTGAATTCCTGCAGATGGGGAAGGAGTAACAAGTAGGTTACCACACTCAATGGAAGGGTAACTCTGTCCCAAACCCTATAAGCAGGGAGCCAGAGCCACATCTATATGAAAAGATCTACTTGGCATGACAGGCCAATGAAAATCATTGTCATGTCTGAAATATGTCCACAACACAGTTGTGAACAAATTCCAGTTCACCCTCCAGCTGTATGAATAAAGTATAGACTTTAATCTCAAGTTGAAATATAAGATATGGCAATCAAAGGAAGGAACTCTTACAAGTTCATGGTGCTAGATACCTTCTACTTTCCCTTCTAGCCCTATACCTAACTCCTTCATAATTCTGGCTGACTTGTATCAATCAGTAACATCAGAGAACAGCTCAAAGACATTAGCCCCTGCTCCCTGGCTTCCAGCAGGAGATGCAGCCAGAGACCAGAGGGAGGGAGACAGGTTGCTGTCTTAGTCCATTTTGTGTTGCTCTAATGGAATATCTGAGGCTGGCTAATTTATAAGGAAAAGAGGTTTATTTGGCTCACAGTTCTGCAGAATGTGCAAGAAGCAAGGTACCAACATCTGCTTGGCTTCTGGTGAGGGCTTCTGCTTCAACTCATGGTAGAAGGTGAAAGGGAAACAGTGTGTGCAGAGATCATATGGTAAGAGAGGAAGCAAGAAAGAGAGGGGAGATGTTGGGTTCTTTTTAACAACCAACTTTCATGAGAACTAATAGAGAACTCACTCACCTTGAAGGAGGGCATTAACCTACTCATGAGGGATCTGCTCACATGACCCAAACACTTCCCATTAGGCCCCACCTCCAAATTTCAACATGAGATTTAGTGGGGACAAACAAACCATGTCTAAGTTATAGCAGATAGAGAATACAATCCCCAGAGTTCCACCCTGCAACGTGGCCACGGGCTGACTGACAACATCCCACAACCAAGGTTCTGCAGGTGACCTTCTGCACAAAGCCATCTTTTTCTTTACAGGCCCAGGGTTGCAAGGTGGCCCATTGTTGCTTGTCCTGGGAAACTGCCTGTGTGCCAGTCAACAAGAATGGAGAAAGGTGGTGAGCAGAAGGCATATAGCACTAGAAACCTACAAGGGTTCCCTACACACTGTCCATGCTTTTTCAATGCTTTCTCTGTCTTATCATGATGTTGACTGACACAGGACCACTCCATTCAGAGGACCACTCTGAACCTGAGACTTGGGCTGCATCCACTTAGACCTCAGTTATACACAGATGGCAATGATACAGCTGAGTTCATAAGCTAGGTCAGTACACCATGGGCTAAAGCCAGAGTGAGCCTCTGCTATGTCACATCTGTGTGACCTGAGAAACCTCTGAGCCTCAGTTTCTTCATGTGTAAACTGAGAATATTAACCTTATGTCCTAAAGAGAGTTGTGAGAATTAAATAATTTAATACATTTAAATCAAAGAAAAAATGCCTAGTATAGAAGGCACTGTTTGTAATTTTTTTTTTGAGATGAAGTCTTGCTCTATCAACCAGGCTGAAGTGCAGTGGTATGATCTTGGCTCACTGCAGCCTCCACATCCTGGGTTCAAGTGATTCTCCTGCCTCAGCCTCCCAAGTAGCTAATATTACAGGCACACACAACTAGACCAGACTAATTTTTGTATTTTTAGTAGAGATGGGGTTTTGCCGTGTTAGCCAGGCTGGTCTCAAACTCCTGACCTCAGGTGATCCACCCACCTTGACTGTTTATGAATTTAAGTCAGTGGTTCTCTGAGTGTGTTCACAGACTCCTGAGGGCTCCAGAGCCCCTTCAGGGACTTCATGAGGCCAAACTGTTTTATAATAACAAAAATAATTATTTGCTTCTTTCTCATTTTGTTGACATTTGCATTGGTGGTGCAAAAATAAAGGTGGGTAGAATGGTGACACCATCACAAAAATCAAGGCAGCAGCACATGCTTTACTACAGGTGGTCATTCATTGTAGTCTTTGCTGCCACATGGTTGCAGTAAATAAAGAAGAAGAGGAAGAAGAAGGAGAAGGAGGAGGAGGAGGAGGAGGAGGAGTCAATGTCACCTAAGAACTTAAGAATTTCCTTGATACAATGAAATAAATTCATTAATTACTAAATCTCAATGTGAGCGCAATTTCTAATATTCAGTGTGTCTAAACAGGAAGCATGCATAAAACACTTTTGCTGCCTACCAAGGAAGGTCGAGTACTTGTGCAGTCATTCAAAGTGTGAGCAAAACTAGCTACTTTTTTCATGAAATACATTTTTACTTGAAAGAACTATTGACAGAAAACTACAGCTACTCAGAGTTGAGTATTTGTCAGGCATTCTCTCTAAAATGAATTATATGACCCTGTCATTTCAAGGAAAATGACTGACAGAACTTGCTGCCAATGATGTAAAATTTTTGTAGATTTCAAATGAAAATTAGAATGTTGCAAAGCTTGTATCTGCCACCATCAGCTTGATAGCTTCTGAATACTTAGAGACTTTTCTAATACAAAGGAGGGATGATATTAACAAATGTGACTTTTTTTGAGACAGGGTCTCACTCTCTTGCCTAGGCTGGAGTGCAGTGGTGCACTCATGGCTCACTGCAGCATCACCAAACCACCTGGGTTCAGCAGATCCTCCCACCTCAGCCTTCTGAGTTTCTGTGACCACAGGCATGCACCACCACACCCAACTAATATTTTAATTTTAATTTTGCAAAGATGGGCTCTTGCTTGTTGCTCAGGCTAGTCTCAAACTCCTGGGCTCAAGTGATCCTCCCACCTTGGCCTCGCAAAGTGCTGAGATTATAGGGGTGAGCCACCACCCGGCCTAAATGTGATCTTTTGCTGCTGTTTAATGAAATGTGTCAGGGTTAGGAAGATCTGCACAACTCAGTGAACAAATATTTTCCAAATGGCCAATGCATGGTGTTACAAAATCACACACAGGTAAAATCACACACTGCATGATGGGCCAGTGGATTATAACACAGCAGAATATGAAGGTGTATTGATAAACTTTCAGATTCCACATTGTAACCAACATTTAAGAAATCGCTTCTTGCCAAATTCTATACTATAGATACTATCAAAGAATATTCACAACAATTTGGAAAGTACTGTTAAACTATGTCTCCCCTTTCTAACCACATATCTTTGTGAGGTCAGATTTCCTTCAGCTCCTACAGACAAAACAACATATTGCAACAGATTAAATGCAGAAGTGAATAAAACAAGCCAGCTGTCTTCTATTAAGATTTTCAAAAACAATACCAGCCTTCTTGCTAATTTTTTTTTCCAAAAATGGAGTTATTTTTCATAAAACTGTGTTACTTACTTCAACTTCAAATCCAGTAAATACCAATAAAAATTACCCACATACACACAAAAAAATCTTTGATGTGTTCAGTAATTTTTAACAGTGTAAAGGGATCCTGGATCCATGAAGTTTGAGAACTGCAAATCCAATTTCTCATTATTATATAACTGAAGAAGAACTGGATGATGGCCCCCACCAAAGTAGCATTCCCTCTCTGCCATCCTGTTTGCTAATATTGGCCTCTCAACTTGCTATCCCTGTTTCTCTTTATCCATCCAGACTCTGCCCATTCTTCCAGGCAAATCTGAAGTGTTACCATATCCAAGAAGCCCTTCCTGGGGCTATAAGACACGCAGTCCTCACCGCCCATAACTTTCACTGCCTCATACTGTGTTCTCTAGTTGCCTAATGTTGCAGGTCTTGTCACACCAAGCTGTTTGTAAAGTCTTTGAGAGTGGGAACTCTGCAAAGCTCTTCTGTGTCTTCCTATGCCCAGCTCATTAGATACGTATCTGCATAGTTAGGTTTAAATATGACCTTCCAACTTGAATGTGAGCATTATAACACATTGTAACAGACTTTTGCCACAGAGCTTCCCCCTTAGAAATCCATCTTCTCTCAAGGCCCTACCTTTTGAGCTTTGTATAAAAGGAGAATCATCTGGCTGGGTGCAGTGGCTCACTCCTGTAATCCCAGCACTTTGAGATGCCGAGGTGGGCGGATCACGAGGTCAGGAGATAGAGAGGATCCTGGCTAACACGGTGAAACCCCCGTCTCTATTAAAAATACAAAACATTAGCCAGGCCTGGTGGCAGGCGCCTGTAGTCCCAGCTACCTGGGAGGCTGAGGCAGTAGAATGGCATGAACCCGGGATGCGGAGCCTGCAGTGAGCCAAGATTGCACCACTGCACTCCAGCTTGGGCAACAGAAGGAAACTTGGTCTCAAAAAATAAATAAATAAATAAATAAATAAATAAATAAATAAATAAAATAAAAATAAAAATAAAGCAGAATAATCTATACACAATTTTCCATTACCTGCTAAAAGGACTTTTCTTAAGGTGAGATGATGCCTCACTCAATACATGCTAACTGGGGCTAGGGGTGAGGCACATCTCATCCTGGTTCATTATTAAACACTTCTCACTGAGCTCCCCCAGAATCTTGTGGCCCACTGAGTTTTCCGTGAAAGAGCTATGTCAGAGTGAGCACCTTGAGAAGCTGGGTGAGGCATGAGAATAACTATGGAAATGTTTATAGGTTAAAAAAAAGTTTAAAACCACAAATGTGATATCATATTAGAATGGTGTGATTATGGATGAGTTTTTTCTGTTTCACAAATTTCTGTCATATTATTTGTATTAATTTTTATAATTCCATTACATATTTAAAATCTAGTTGTGTATTTCTCTTTTTGTAGAGATGGGGCCTTGCTATGTTGCCCAGGCTGGGAACTTCTGGTCTCAAGTGATCCTCCTGCTTCAGCCTCCCAAAGTGTTGGGATTGCAGGTGTGAGCCACCACACCCAACCATAGTTGTACATTTCTGAAAGGGACTTGTACCAGTGGAATTTCTGATTCCATGTATCAAAAACCAATTATGGCTTACTTGGTGGGAATAGATACAGAATGGTTAATTTTACGTGTCAACTTGACTGGATCATGGGGTGTCCAGGTTTTGGGATAAACATTATTTCTGGGTGTGTCTGTGAGGGTGTTTCTGGATAAGATTAGCATTTGAATTAGTAGACAAATTGCCTTTGCCAATGTGGGAAGGAGGCCTTCAATCCATTGAAGGCCTGAATAGAACAAAAAGGCAGAAGTTAGAATTTCTTCTCTTTTCCTGACTTCTTGAACTGGAATATCAGTCTCCTGCCCCTACACTAGAACTTACACCATCATCCCTCTGGTTCTCAGAATTCCACCACTGGCTTGCCTGCAAGTGGCTTTTCTCCAGCTTGCAAGTGGCAGATGGTGGAATTTCTAAGCCTCCAAAATCACTTGAGCCAATTCCTTATACTAAATAACGTGTGTGTGTTGTTGTTGTTGTTGTTGTTGTTGTTGTTGTCCATTTGTTCATTCTGTTTCTCTGGAGAACGCTAATAGAATGTATTATGAAATATTGGGTAGTGGGAGCTCACAAAACCTCTGGGAAGCCTGGATAATAGTCAGCATATTGGCAGAAAACAGAGAAAGCCTGGCAGCTCAGAACCTAGTCAAGTCTGCACCAGACAGTCTGGCCAGGGTGCCAATGTTGGTGCTGCATCCCCTGGATACTCACAGTGCTAGAAATTTCCACAGATGACCTCACAGTGTTGGACAGGAGCATCTGATTGGCCAAGTCCAGGTTACTCAAGCAGCAAAGAACAGGGAGAGAGGATATTTGTTCCTTCCTTTTGTTTCGTTTGGGGATCTCACCATCCCTCCCACAAAGGCCTGCATAACAAACGGCAGTCTCCAAGTAAGAGAGTATTCAAATGCTAGAAAACCAAAAGCTAGCTAATTCCACCATAGCACTGTACAAAACCACAGCATTGAACAGGGTCATGCATAAAAATCACAGAAAATTCATTGCAATGAGTTAAATGAATAATATTCTCCTTTCACAGAAAAAGAAAATCATGACTTTTGAAGATAATGTTGAAAAGGCTCGGTTCATCTAGACCACAGCCCGTGGCAGTAGATAGTTCAACTGACTATCATCACTCCATTTAATTGTTCTGAGCCCTGCCCATTCTTCAAGGGCAATCTTAAATCCCTATGCTTCTATAAAGTGACATAAATCCTTTTCTGCTAAAACAATCATCTACCCATGGACTAAGATACAAGTATTTGCAAACATTCTAGAATCTACATGAAAGCAAATGTTAAGATGAGAAGGGCCATCCTGATGCCAATTACATCTTTTGAGAAAGTAGCACCCCAGAAGCTGGCGTTAAGCAGTTAGCAGACAACAGGAGCATGTTTCAACCATTCACAGTCTACCTGGAAATACAATATAGTGGCATTCCATAGTCACCTGTAAAATGTAGACTGCAGTTAGAGTCCCACCTTCTCTATTTCCTGGTCATGTAATCTTGGGTAAAGTTACTTAACTCTCCAATCTGAAATTGCTTCAACTGCAAAATAGTAGTAATAATAATAATGATAGCACTTACCCCTTAGGGTTGTTGCTAAAATGAAGTGAAATAATACACATAAAATAATTCAAAAATGTGTTATCACCATCACTCAGATTAATGTTAACTAGGATTATTATACTTTGACCTCAATTCAGATTTTAAGCTTAATTCTTGGCTAAAGTAGTAATCATCCCTTTCAATATTTCTGGTTTAAGTACAAGTAGCAGGCAATGGAAATTTACCCAACAGTCTAGGCATGGTAGCTCATGCCTGTAAAGCCAGCACTTTGGGAGGCCGAAAGTGGGAGGATTGCTTGAGCCCAGGAGTTCAAGACCAGCCTAAGAAATATAGCAGGAGCCCACCCCACCTCTACCAATATATATATATATATATATATTAATTAAAACCAAATGCTTACATCAAATTTACCCAACTGACATTTAAGTAGCTACTAAGACTAGAAGATAACTTAGCTATTTTAGTCATTTTCATTGTTTGCCCCAACTTTTAAATGGTTCGGATAAAATTCAATCCTGTTAAATGGTTACATCAAGCATTTATATTGCAGAGCTGAAACACAAGGACAAACATGTGATCCCTTCATACTCAGGCAAGCAGGAAACATTTCAACTCTGCTAAGGAAAAGGAAGAGGAAATGAATCTTCACACTGGGGAGGGAAAGCAAGGACCAATTGCAAATAACGCACGCAGTTGTGAGCACCTCCAAGGTATTCTGAGATGTTATTCACTGCTGAGAGAGAAAATCTGGTTGACATATTATTTTCTGAGCTGGTTATTAATGCATTGACCAAGGAAGAAGCAGGAGCAGTCTTCAATCCCATCCTCCAATTCAAAGTCAGTGTCTTGCCACCATCTCTCCTTGCTGGCTGGGAGTAGAAGAGAAAAATTAAGATTCTGAGAAAGCTGTTAGGAACAGTTGAGCAGAAAAGGAATCTGATCTTTTCACTCCTTGCATGAGTAAACAAAGCTTATGCTTTCAGTGGGAGCATCTGAAGGAAAATTCACATTCACTGTGGACTGGAAGAAATGCCTTCTGTTCAGCCACCAATCAATCAGCCCAAATGAAGGAGGCAGTTAATGTTTTTCACCAAACTGAAAGCCTCTGGCTTTGGACTAATATCAGAGCTAAAGAAATTAATCAGGCTCTTGCTGATGACTAAGCTTCAAAATGTAATCTACATCCATAGCTCTAACTCTACAGTTCACCAGTTAATGGGGAAAACAGACCAATGCATGATTTGGCTCAAACCTCACCCGAAGCTGCGAGGTCATACTGCTACCACAGTCAAGAGCATAAATGGTTCCACATAACATAGCAAAGTGGCCAAAATCCATCTCTCCCATGAGAAAAGAGAGAGTACGGGGGATTAAAAGGCACCTTGTGAGATTGGAGACTGAAGGATTTACTGATAACAAGAGGTGTTCAAAATTAGAACAAGTCAACTCAAAGCTGACTTCAGTGCCTTTGTTTCTTCTCTTCAGGAAGTTTTTTAAAATCATACTGGTTTGGAGCACAGCTCTCCGACTATGGCTCCTGACAAGCAATACACTCAAGTCACTCTGTTAAGCGTAAAATGGGACTCACAGATTTAATAAAGAGTCAGTTTCCTGCCAGGTGCTGTGGCTCACACCTGTGATCCCAACATTTTGGGATGCTGAGGTGGCACGGGATCGCTTGAGGACAGGAGTTTGAGACCATCCTGGGCAACATAACAAGACCTCTATAAAAATGAAAACATTAGCAGGGCATGGTGGCTCACAACTGTAGTCCCAGCTACTCGGGAGGCTGAGGTGTGAGGATCACTTGAGCCCAGGGGTTTGAGGCTGCAGTGACCTGTGATAGCATCATGGCACTCCAGACTTGAGTGACAGAATGAGACTCTGTCTCCAAAATATATTTTAAAACTTTAATTTTTTAAAAAGAGTGAAACTCTTTCAGGCCAAGCACAAAGCCTATCCCACATGTCTGTTTATGCTTATAGCCAAATGTTTAATGCAGCATCTGTGGAATAAATCCACAGGACCAGATATTTGAAGATATAATCCAACCAACATTTATGAAGCAGCAATTACTGCAGAATATTCCTGCAAAGTATCCTGCTAAGTGCTATAGGGGTCACTGATGAATACGTGTCTAGTTTATGCCTTTGCACACCTTTAAAATCTTACTGGGGAGGCAAGTATGCAAACAACTACACTGAAAAGCAAAATTGTTGGTTGCAATGGCTCACACCTGTAACCCCATCACTTTGGCAGGCCGAGGTGGAGGGACGGCTTGAGCCCAGGAGTTCGAGACCAGCATGGGAAACATAATGAGACCCTGTCTCTACAAAATAATAATAATAATGAGAAGAAGAAAATTAGCCGGACATGATGGCATGTGCCTATATTCCTAGCTACTTAGAAGGCTGAGCTGGGAGGATTTGCTTGAGCCCAGGAGGTTGAGACTGAAGTGAGCTGCCATTGTGCCACCACACTGTATGTAGCCTGGGTGACAGAGTGAGACCCTGAAAAAAAAAAAAAAAAGCAAAATTGAGAAAGGCATGGAATTGGAGGAACAAGTAAAAGCTATGGGACATAATTGGAATGATTCTCCTTTGCCCTTCACCACAGCCCTGTCACCTGCTAATGAGAGTTGCCAAATGACCCATGGTTGAATCATTGCCACCTTCTTATTATAATTCTGCACGTCACCTTCCTATAGAGCCCTTAGTCAGCACTTTCACTTCAGTCACTGTGATTGCAAAGTTCTGACTGTAGAGCAATTGCAGAAAGTCATTTTTTCATCCTGACCAGTGTGGTTTGGAAAGTTGCTATCTTCAGAGAGACTGGAGGCTCATAAAGCAGTACAAATTTCCTCTTCAATGTCTTTGCAAAAATACCTAATGCGTATTCAGTAGTATTTTGCAAACCAACATATATGAAAAATTCTAATTAGCATATCATGGGATCATATACCTCATCTTCTTTTCTCCCCTCTGAACTCTTCCTGGTTGTAATTAAAGGTATGTATAGCTGTGGCTATATATGCCTTATTCATGTTCCAAGAATAGCCTTTCCCTCTTTCTGTCAGAACCATTAGAAAAAGAAAAATCTTAACATTAACATAGATGAATGACACCAGGATCTTATTTGCGCTCATAATTAAAATCCAGTTTAATCCACAGCATAAAATTAATCTAATCTAGCAGGCCTCAGTAAGAAGCTACTATAGTAAATGCTCTTCATTTACCTGACAATAATGTCTAATAGAGCTCTTCCCCCAACCACATTTCCCAGATTCAAAAGACCCATAAAAATATTAGAATCATAAAGAGCCTTAGAAATCTTCATTTTATAATCCAAAATAAAATAAAGTAACCAGGCACTGTGCTAGAAAATGCATCACATTTAACCTACCTGCACCTTAAGAAATGCATCATAGTCTGTTTCCTGCAAACAAATTCCAAAGGGTGGAGCCTGGATTTAAATTAAACCCAGGTGTCTCTGGTCCATATAGTTGTCGAGCTGGTTCCTGTCCCATGCTGACTCTCCCAGGCTCCACAGAGGTTCATGAACCTTATGTGGTGGTTGCAGTGGCTCACACCTATAATCCCAGCCCTTTGGGAGGCTGAGATGGGGGGATGGCTTGAGCCTGGAAGCAGGGATACCCCAGTCCTCCTGGTTATTTTATTGGCCCAGGGCTCTTACAATTGCCCAGGTTAAGTACTAGAGAGGCACTAGCCTAGATAACAGGAGCCTTGCCTGAGTCAGATGCTGTAAAAGCTTGATCAACAGCTGCCTCTGTTTTCTTATATTTCCCTCCTTTTAAATTAATTATTCTAACATTATCTTCCTGATTTCAAATAATATAGAATTCAGAGTACCAACCAATTGAATTCCCCTTCCCACAGTTTGAAATGCATTGGTATATTCCATTTTAGACATTCTCTGTGCATTTGTATTCCATAAAGACTTTCTTACCTTAATGTAGTCATTATATTTTACTCTGTGATTTGCTTTTTCTACTGACTGTGTTTTGGAGCTCTTTCCATATTATTTCATATAACTCTGATTATTCATTTGAGCTCAGAAGTATCCCATCATATGAATGCACCATGATTTCACCAACAACATTCAGTTGGTTCCCAGTTTATCAGTCTTACAAACAGCAATGTAGCCAACAATTATAAAAGTAGTGGAAGAAAATATGAGAGAATTGTTTAAAAACCTAGGATAAGGAAAGCCCATCTTCAACAATATTTAATAATCCAGAAGATAAAATAACAGTATTAACAATATTTATAGTATTAAAATGATAATATTCTAAATTATTCAAAATAGAGGATATTACTTTAAAAAGAAGAAATCATTGCAATATAAACATCGAGGAACCATTAGTAATATCCAGAATACATAAGGAGCTTTTATAAATCAATGAGAAAGAGCTGCATTTACAAGAATACAACTAATATATTTCTATGAGTGAATGTGATTTTTTCTTTAATCTATGTTATACTGAGCTAAAGTAATATATTTCTGAATGTTGAGCCATCCTTCTATTGTTGAGTAAAACACATCACGATCAAGTAAGATTTTTCTTTTAATAAATTAGGAATAATTTTTAATATCTATTTAAAAGTACAGAATTAAGATTTGTGCATGACACTGGAGTATCATTTATTTGAGGAAAAAAACTTATTATTGTTTTTCACACCCTGTTACAGCGGTTTGTGGGTTTTGACTTGCTTGTCTATTCTCAGAGTACCCATTTTTGAAGAGCAGAATTTCACTTATTTACATTAATTGGGATTAATGTTATATTCAAACTTAATTCTGCTGTATTATTGTTTCTATTTCACATTCATTTTTGGTTCTGTTTTCTCTTTTTAATTTTTGTTTTTATTTATTTCACTTCCTTGTCTTTGGTTTCATTGTTTTTTCTTTATCCCATTTCCCCCTCTAGTGGTCTAGAAGTAATAAATCCTAATACTGCGTTTGTAATACTTGCTCTTCACATATTTGTATGCAGCCAGTCACAGTGGAATGTGACTAGAATCCTTGTTACTCAAGAGGCTGAGGTTGAAGGATCGCTTGAGCTCAAGAATTTGAGTCCAACCTGGGCAACATGGTGAAACCCCATCTCTAAAAGAAAATACACACAAAACTAAGCTTGATTACTTTTATATTTTCTCCAGAAACAAAAAGAAATCACACTATGCTGCCATACTCACCCTCCCCACACTGCTCCTCCAGCAACATATACCATTGTTTTTAGTTCCGAATGGTTACTACTTTCCTTATATCTGTCAGTAGTTACTTAACTCTTATTTTGATTACTACCTTATTTCTTTGATTTATTTTTCATTTTGATGCTATTACTGAATAACTCTTTCTGAGATGGTTGTTGTATAGTAAACCATGAGTCTGGCATGTCTAAAATTGTCTTCATTTCTTTCCATAAATTTGAATGTTTTGCTGTGTAAGTCATTCAAAGTTGAAGACAATGTCCCATCTTTTGACAGAAAGGGAAGGAAGGATATGTGCTCAGCCTGCCAGTTTGACCCACTTTTGAAAAGGGCTTTGTGGTCTCTACCAATGAGAAGTCTGGTGTCAATGTGATTTTCTTAACTTTATAGGAATTGTTTGTTTCCCTCTTTTCTGAAAACTTGTGCTTTCATCAGGCTCTACCAGCCTTGATACTCTGTCACTCACTGGGCATGGTATTTGCACCATCCTTTCATCCTTAAGGCTGCTAACTGTCTTCACATTGTGGAAATTATCTTTACTATTTCCCCAAATTTAAGAACATAGGCTTGGGAGACAAACAGCCTAAGTTCAAATCTCCACATCATTAGCTATGTGAACCAAAGGCAAATTGCTTAACCTCTTGGTTCCTCAGTTCCCTCATCTTAAGGATAGTAACAGTACCTCTCAGAGTTGTTGAGGATTGAATTAGTTAATTTAAGAAAAGGTTTTAGAAGAGTCCCTGGCAATAATTAAATGCTAAATAATTATTTTCTAAGTGATTGTTCAGTCGTTTTTCCCCCATGATCTTGGTTTTCCTTGAAGATCTAATAAGCTTCAGTTATCTCCTTCTTTTGATGACTGGAAAATGAGGTTAACTAGGTTAATGAGTGCAAATTACTGTCATGTGTTTTGTCTATAGTTATGTAGCATTGTTTACCCAAAATGTTTTCCCCTGAATGGGAGCTAGGTGTTCTCACCTTCCCCTCTCTTTTCTCTGATGTCTATCTTGGGCTTTGGCACCTCTGTCTACCTTCCAAGAATTCATCACAAGTTTTAGTTCAATGACCACTTCTTCTCTAATCATCCAGTTCTCTCTAAGACATACTCTTCTTAATGATGCACTGTAAGTCATGAAAGGAAAGTGGAACCAAGAGGGAAATAGACATGTGTGCTCAGTTAGCTCTCTGGACACAGACCCCTTTTGGGGCACCTCTGACCTCTCCTCCCCTCTCCTGCTCTCTTGGGCACCTTTAGAAACACCAATATCCTTACCATGGCTTCCGGGACCTTCCCGTAGATGGAGATTTGGTTCCTACATCTCTTCAGACTCACCTCCCACCACTCTCTTTCTCTCAAACTCCATGCTTTAAATATATTGAATTTCCACTTATATCTTAAATACAACATACCACCTTTCCCCTCTTGGTCTTCACACTTATGTCATCTTTTGACTAATAATTAATTCATTCCTTGGGCTCTGCACTTCTCTCTCAGTAAAATAAAACCTGAAAATACATTTCATTTAGAAGTGCTTCAGGATTTAAATGTTTATAATTATATTTAAATAAATAAATTCATTGATATCTGAATGGTATTCTGACTTCCTCAGTATAGTAAGAGTCACATATTCAAAAAAAAAATGTGTGGGAAGCAAATACTTAATTTTTACCCTAGCCTCTGTATACCCACTCAGACTTACAGGACTTTTAATTGCAGCCAAAGGATTTTTCAAATGCTAAGTAAAATATTAGTATATCAGCATAGCAGGAGGAGAGGGGGTTTACTAAGAATAGCAGCCCAGCTACCCAGCTAACACCTCTTTTACTTTGGAGCCCTGATAAAGAAAATGGTTTCTGACAGAGCCTCGCAAATTTTCATCAATTAATAGAAGAAATTCAAATCCTGACCCTAAATTGGAACACTTTTAATAGACATTTAAATAACCAGGGGCAATATATTTGAGCATGTGCAGTCTTGCTGATAACAGTTTGCCCTCTTATAGCTTAATACATGAGAGCAGGCAAACAGTTTGCCTTGGATTCCGGTCACACAGCCATTTCTTCCCATGCTACGGGGCTGGAATCATTTCCTATATCCTGCTATAAATATCACTTCTCCAGGACGTGTCCTGGAGTCTTCTTAGGTTCTACTCTTAACCCCCATTTCTCAGTTTGTTTCTTATGTTTCCCATCGCCCAGGAAAGCTTCACTTTCTGGAGACTTAATACCATCATAATCCCTGTGTCTTAAAAGACAAAACCTTCAATAAATGCTGCAGGTGTGGTCATGGAAAGGGAGGAAATTCACTTTAAATCACCATCTCTCTGAAAAAATAAAGTCTAGTCCAGAGGGACATTATATGCAATCTGGAAATGTCTTCAACAAAGTCACATAGGAAGTGGTGGTTTCTCATTGCTGCAAACACTGTTGTTATTGTTCACACTGATGGATAGTTTCAGTTCTCAGTAATATGAAATTCCACCAAATGGATATCCTGGAAAACAATCTCAAACTCCAAGAATAACACAAGTATAAGTTTACTGTCAGGCTATCTAAGGAGATTCAATCTATTGACTTCTTTATCCCCAGACACTACGGGCATTATATAATTAATTATCCACATGAGGCCGGGTATACTAGAACATGTTTGAGAGTGAAAGGAGCTTAAGTAAAAAAACAGGACTGCCTTAAAAACATGGAATGCCTCCTACCAGAGATAAGTACACTAACTGCAGAACTCAAGTCCCTACATAAATTGCTTGTCTTACTGCATATTGTGGTTCAAGGGATTAATCAATCCTACTTGCTCTTAGGAAGGAACAGTTATTCCTCACTCTTCATGTTTCCATGGGGAGGCACTTGAGTGTAACATGCCCTTCTGGCCCCTCTATCGTCAGGTGATGAGTGACTTTTCTAACTAAAGGAGTTAGTAGAGGAAACTGATTACAGTATATTCTGCAAACCACAATGGTTCTCTCTCTGCCTAGCAGGCCAGGCCGGCCCCATGGTGGTGCCTGGAAATGCCCAGAGCTGTCCATGGCTGGGGGTATGAATCCAACTAATCCAATCAGGGTGTCTGAGCAAGCCATTTGCACACAAATTTAAAAACACATTCTCCAGATGGTTTTATCAGTAATAAAGCTGAAATAAGATCTCTATTTGTGTGTCTCTTGGCTCTTAACTCTAAATTGGTTCTGAACTTCAAAGGGAAGTAATAGGTGTTACATGTCGACTCCTAAGACCCTCACCCTTGCTGTTTCCACTGCTGGCTGGAAACAGAGGCTAAGTAATCTAGGGACACAAAAGAAAGCAAGCAAGAAATTAAGTGGACTAACATCTCTCACTTTTTATGATAAAACACCTTGTGTTTTACTTTTAAAGTTACTTGAATAAAAGATTTTTAAAGGATTGAGCATCATATAAATTTTCACACATACACACAGAAATCCTGAATAGATTCAGCTGTAGGAATTTATTCCTGTTTAAGGATAAAAAGATTGCCAGGATGGTTGGAGAGAATAAATAAATATCTTAAAGTGGTTCTAAAAGGTGGGAGATTCTAGAAGAACCAATCCCAGAGAAGAGACACACCACCACAGGGAATGTGGTGATACCTACCCTGCACACACGCATGCACACACACACACACAATATACACAGACACACACACCACATACACAGACACACACACGACATACACATCCATGCTCACACATACAAACACTATTCTGAACATCATTGATCATCTAAATCAAAAATCAACGATCAAGCTGCTATCATTTGCCTCTACTTCTCTTGTGAATAACAGTTGAATTAGTGACAGACTTAGAAAGAAATCCTTCCTAATCGGCAGTTACTAAGAATGGAGTATAGTTGGCAAAGTTGTGTTGGTCACTTCTCCATGTCACATCACAGGGTGTAAGAATTTTCAAATGTCCAGTACTCCTATCTAAATGTTGTCTCTCTCATTGATGGGCCTGAAAAAAAACAAACATTTTTTAAAATGGTATAGCCACATTGGCAACTTTCTAAAAGTCCTAATTTTTTCTAGACAAATTGATAATTTATGCTACTTATTTTTAGTGTAACATTTCCTCAAATGATTAAAATGAAATCTAAACTATTTTCATCAGTTTTACTTCCAATTATTCTTTCTTTTGCTCTATTATTTCTTAGAGTTGTCAAGGGCAAATTAATTAGCAGCTGTTTTAATTAAGAAGAATTCTGATTTCTCCTAATAAGTGATGGCAGCTTTATAATTAATATTTTAACCTGCCTGCTGACCTACTAATTAGAATAGGAAATGGCTTTTAGACAGGATCAGTTGGCACTAGACATCACCACGCACTTACACACACATGCTCAAATCAACCTTGGGTTGAGAGAACTTTAGGTGTTAGTTTATATAAAGCTTCCAGTAAGTTCATACTTTTTAAATGTAATGATGATGGGGAAAGGAAAGAGTCCACTAAGAACTGACTCCAGATTTAGGTTCATGCAATCCTGGGGTACGTATCTTCCTGAGTCTTTACATTTTTGCTAAAACAGTCACCCCTGTTGGTCTAATTATAGTCCTCGATGAAAACAGAGCACATGCCATAAATGGGAGTGCAATGCTCAAAAAATTACCCATGTGGAAAGAAATGGGTAAATTTGACTTTTCACTGGCTTCATCGCTAACAAAATCATGTCCTTTTCACTGAGTGAAGGTTTGCAAATTTTGCCACAAGCAAAACACAGTTTATTGCATCCTGAGTAATGTCCCATGACAGAAAAATATTTCTACCTCAACTCAGTTTTTGTCTCACAAAATACTAAAACTTTATCAAGAGGTAAAATATCTAATCCCAAATTAACTTGTGTAGCAAGGAAGCTACAGGATAGAGAGCAGAGTTTCTATACTCTTCCATTAACTCCTCTGGAAATACAAAAGACAGGACACCTGGAACCTCCCAGAATGAACTAGGTACTGTCTTGGGGGAGTTTGGGGGCTTTCCATGCCCACGACAAAATGTAACATCTGGATCAGGAGACAGGAAACCAAATAACAGGTTCTCCTCTCAGCCCCAAATGAGTTATAACTGTAAGCCCGTGCATACAACTTTAGAGTTTGCTCAGCAGAACTGCCCCTAGCAGTTGGCACTCATACATAGAAATTACTTTATAGAGATTTTGGCTAAGGCCTGACGGTGTTCAGAGCTCCTGATTGAGGTTGCGTAAACCCACCGAGTGTCCAAGAAGCACAACAGAACAGGCCCTCACATATTCTACCACTATACTGCAAAGTTCATGAAGACATAGGCAGGTCTTTTTTGTTGCTGTTGTCTTGTTTTGTTTTGTTTTTGTAGAGACAGGGTCTTGCTCTGTTGCCCAGGCTGGAATGTAATAGCACAATCACAGTTCACTGCAGCCTGGATCTCCTGGGCTCAAGCAATCCTCCTGCCTCAGCTTCCCAAGTAGTGTGGACTACAGGCATGCGCCCCCACACCCTAGCTTCCTAGCTTTTCTTTCTTTCTTTCTTTCTTTTCTTTGTTTCTTCCTTTCTTTCTTTCTTTCTTTCTTTTCTTTCTTTCCTTTCTTTTTCTTTCTCTCTCTTTCTTTTCTTTCTTTCTTTCTTTCTCTTTCTTTCTTTCTTTCCTTCCTTCCTTCCTTCCTTTCTCTTTCTTCTTCTTCTTTTTCTTTTTTTTTTTTTTTTGCAGAGACCGGGTCTCACTATGTTGCCCAGGCTAGTCTCGAACTCCTGGTTTCAAGCGATCCTTGCAACTTGGCTTCCCTAAGCACTGGGATTACAGGTGTGAGCCACACACTGCCTGGCCACATAGCCTGGTTTTGTTTATACACACATGTCCCCAAATGATTAGGAAACCCTGGCACATAACCCATAGTAGGTATCCAATAAAGAGTTTCCATTTTGTTCTATTTTTCTATGCATGTGTCTTTTTTTTTTAATTAATGAATCTTAGAGAGATTACATGCTTCCTGAACCTGAGAGAACTGACCCCATGTATTCTGGAGATTTGCCCGTCAAAGACTGGTCCCACTGAACAACCCAAGATTATCTTTCCAAAGAAGTTTTCAAATAATAAGTAACATCCCTGGTTTGATGGTTTGAACTGACCTCAGGACTCTATGTTGATCCTATGGACAATAAGCCAGATAACAACAGTACCCGAGTGTAACCTGAAGAGCCTCTTCTTAGGGAAGGGGTGTACCTGGGTGATGGCCATACTGCGTGCCGCCATAGCTCAAGCCATGTGCCTGAGGCTGTGCATGAGGGAGAGAAAGAATGTCCACTCCCAAAAGAACTGATTCAGGCATGAACAGAACCATTGCACATCCTCAGGAGGTTCTAGCAAACCTGCACATCCATGTCTGCACTTAGACAACATAAACAGAGTGAGAATGCCTTCCCAGAGCACAGCAGAAGTTCAACTGGCAACGACCAGGAGAATTTTCAGCTCATCCTTTACAGAAAATGTAACTTCCATGGAGAGGACAGGAGAATCAGACAAAGACAAGCGGAGACTCTTTCTTTTCTGCACGTGCTGGTACCATTGTTAATCTAGGAAAGAAGGAAAGGAAAAGTTCCCCAAGGGCGGTTCGTCACAAACAAATGAAGCACGTACTCTAATTCAAAGTAGAAGAGAGGGCTTCCCCTCCTCCTATTTTCTAAAGAAGAAAGAGTTAATATTCTCTGTCACCAAAAATTAGCAATGAGGAGTATTTGCCGTCATCAAAAAACTATTTGCGAACTCCCAAAAGGAGAAAAAAATCATGGAAGTAAAAGATAATATATATATAATTAGTCCCGCCTTCCACTCCCTTCAATATGGAAGATATTGATGTCCTTTTCCTTAATTAAAAACAAAGGAGGCCAGGCGCGGTGGCTCACGCCTGTAATCCCAGCACTTTGGGAGGCCGAGGTGGGCGGATCACAAGGTCAGGAGATCGAGACCCTCCTGGCTAACACGGTGAAACCCCATCTCTACTAAAAATACAAAAAATTAGCCGGGCGTGGTGGCGGCACCTGTAGTCCCAGCTACCCAGGAGGCTGAAGCAGGAGAGTGGCATGAACCTGGGAGGCAGAGCTTGCAGTGAGCCGAGATCGTGCCACTGCACTCCAGCCTGGGCGACAGAGCGAGACTCCATCTAAAAAATAATAATAATAAATAAATAAAAATAAACAAAAGAAATAAGTAAATCCAGTTTCTAACTATATCCAAAGTCAAAAAGTAAGCCAGTGTTGCTTTCAGGTAATTTTGAAAAACTACCTCATTTGTCAATTTGGATAAGGTTTAGTTACAGAGATCCTTAGCTCTCTAAGCCAGTCCAATTCAAGAACACCATGGAAAGCATCCTTGGACCCCAACAAGGTTAAATCTACAATTGAACTAGATAAATATTTGCCTAGACAAAAATCACATAATGAATGGCTTTTTGCCCTACTTTAATAACAGAGAAGAAGGTATCGTGAAAGCCCAGCGATGCTCAAAACCCTCATGACTATCTGATTTGTCATCATTTCTTCCCTATATCTAAGCCCATACCCTAAACATTACTTTCTACCAGGAAGTATGACAGTTGTATTTCTAGTGATATACAAAAAGTATCTCTGCCATCATGAGAGAGAAAATGAACTTGGTGTCAAAGACATCCAAAGAAATATTTGATGCCCCAAGGACAACAAAAATATAAATTATTTCATAAATATATGATAGAGTGGTATGTAAGGAATCTGTCATCATTGGACAGCTCAGAATCACATAACTGAAGCTCAAACTGAATTTATGAGCTTAGCAGCCAAGAAGGAAACAACAAAGAATTCATCAAGGTTTTTAATGATCATAATTTAAATAGTCACATCACCTTTATGTAAAGGAAAAAGTATATATTCAAGTTAGGAGAGATGAGGTTAATTTAGACTCTGGTGTTTACTACATGCTTGCCCCTGGAAGAGTCATTTAATAACGGCAAATGTTTAGTGAGAACTTCATATGTTTTAGGCACTGCTCTAATAACTGCATATATTAATATATGAAGTTATCAACCCTCAAGATAATCCTACAAGTAAATATTTAAAGTCAACCATCCAATCATCAAATGAAAAGTGAATGATATAAATAATCCCATTTAAAGTCAGAGATTGTTAGATGGGATTTTTTTAATCCAATCTAATTGGATAAGGAAAATGTGGCACATATACACCATGGAATACTATGCAGCCATAAAAAAGAATGAGATTATGTCCTTTGCAGGGACATGGATGAAGCTGGGAGCCATCATTTTCAGCAAACTAACACAGCAACAGAAAACCAAACACCACATGTTCTCACTTACAAGTGGGAGTTGAATAATGAGAACACATGGACACAGGGAGGGGAACAACATACACCAGGGCCCATAGGGGGGTCAGGGACAAGGGGAGGGAGAACATTAGGACAAATACCTAATGCATGCAGGGCTTAAAGCCTAGATGTTGGGTTGATAGGTGCAGCAAAACACTATGGCACATGTATACCTATGTAACAAACCTGCACATTCTGCACGTGTATCCCAGAACTTAGAGTAAAATAAAATAAAAAACTTTGAAAAAGCAAAATCCAACTAAATGTTGTCTAGAAGAAACTCACTTTGAACAAACAAAAACATACAGCTTAAAAGTAAATGTATGAAAAACGATATACTGTGCTAACACTGAAAAGAAAGCTTATTTGGTTATATTAATATCAGAAAATATAACTTTTAGAGCAATAACTATTGCCAAAAATACATAATAGTAAAGAGAAAAATTCAACAAGAGACACATTATTTCCAAATAATAGGACTGAAATAATATAGAGTATGTTCTTTAACTGCAGTGGAATCAGAAACCAAAACTAGAAAATATCAAGAAAATCCTCAAATATTTGGAAATTAGGTAAAACACCAGAGGGTAGTGATGGGATCAAAGAAATCAAAATGGGAATATTTAAATACATTAAACAGAATGAACATTGGAACATGTCAAAGTTTGTGACATGAAACTAAAGCGGTGCATAGAGGAAATTTTTTAGCATTAACGCTTATATTAGAAAACAATAAATGTCTAAAATCAATAGCCTAACCTCCTACCTTAAGAAATTTGAAAAAAAATAGAAAAATTAAACACTGAATAATTAGAAGTAGAAAATAGTAAACATAAGAACAGAAACCAATAAGCTAAAACAAACAAACAGAAAAAAATAGAAAACACCAGCAAGTTAAATATCTAGTTATTTGTAAAGGACAATAAAATTAATAAAGCTCTAGTTACAGGTTTATGACTAACCTAGTTAGAGGTTAGTCATGAACCAAAAGAAAAAAGATATAAATTACCAATAGCAGAAATGAGGCATCAGTGCAGAGCCTATAGATATTAAAATAATAATAAAGAGTATTATGAACAGCTTTATGCTAATGAATTCAACACTTTTGATAAAACAGATAAATGATTTGGTATTTATAGACAAGGCACTCAAAAAATAGATAACAAGACATAACCTCTATAGTCTCAAAGGAAAACAAAAATAAAATTAATTTACTTTATAGTTAAAATTCTACTCATAAAGAAAATTCTAGGACTTACTAATTAATTCAAACAAACAATTAAGAAGAAATACTAATTCTGCACAAATTTTTCTAGAAAAGAGAAGATGCAGAACCATATCCTAATTTATATGAGGCCAGCATTGCCCTGATACCAAAACCAGACACAAACATCGCATAAAAGGCACCACAAACTAATATCTCTTGTGAATATATACACAAAATCCTTAACAAATTATTAGCAAATCAGGTCCAGCAATATATAAAAGCTAATATATATCATGACCAAAGGGGGTTTATATTAGGAATTCAAGATTGGCTTGACATTCAAAAAGCAATCAATCTAATTTGCTGTATTAACAAACTGAAAAAAAAAAACAAAACTACATGATAATGTCAATAGATACAATCAAACAAAATCTTATAAAATTTCAGCACTCATCCATGATTTAAAAACTGCTAATTGCAAATAGAAGACAATTTCCTCAACTTAATAAATGACATTACATCAAAGCTGTAGTTATTCTATTTAGTAGTCCTTACAGAATGACTGATTTTCCTTCCCCCAAAATAAAGAACAAGACAAAAATATTCTCACCACTTTTACTCAATGTTATAATGAATGGCCAGTGTAATAAGGCAAGTAAAAGAATTGAAATGCATATATGCTGGAAAGGAAGAAGTAAAACAATCTCTACTAAGAGACAACTTGACGATCTATCTGGTAAACCCAAATAATCTATCAAAAATCCACTAGAACCAATAAATGACTTTACAAAAGTCATGGGATACAAGGTCTACATCTAAAATTTATTTTATTCCTAAATACTGGCAATGAAAAATCAGAAAATAAAACTTTAAAGTAATACTGCTCATAAAATTATGAAATATCTAGTTAGAAATTAAACAAAGATATGCAAGACTGTATACTGAAAACTACAATGTATTGCTGAGATAAATTATTAAAGATCTATATAAATAGAGAGATACACTCAATTTTTTTAAGAGTGCAATTCTTTCCAAATTCATCTATATATTCAATGTAATTCCCATCAAAATTTTGGCAGATTTTTGGTAGAAATTGGCAAACTAATCCTAAAATGTACATGAAAATGCAAATGTCATCTAGAAGAGCCAAACCAATTTTGTAAAGAAAGAAGAAAGTTGGAGGACTTACACTACCTAATACTCACCAGAAAGCCATATTGTCACAAGAAAATGTGATGTTGGCATACTGATTATTATGCAAAAGAACAGAATGTAGAGTTCAGAACTAGACCTGCATAAATAAGGTTAACTGCTATTCAACAAAGGTGCCAAGACATTTCAATGGGGAAATAAACTTTTAACAAATTATACTGGAAGAGTTAGTTATCCACATGCAGAGAGAGACAGAGAGAAACATTAACTCTTACCTCACACATTATACATGAAAACTTATTTAAAATGGATCATCGACTTAAATAGAAGGGGTAAAACTATAAAATTTCTACTAAAAACATAGGAGAAAATCTTAATAATCTCAGATTAACCATGTATTTTTAAAATAGGATGCAATGCAGTCTGAAAGAAAAAGTGGTAAATTTGAATTCATCAAAATTAAAATATTTTGCTCTGCAAGAGACACTATTGGGAAAGTAATGAGATAACCTACAAAATATCTAAATATATAAGAATGTATAAACACAACTCAATACTAAGAAGACAAACAACTCAGTTTTTAATGGGCAAAAGATGTGAATACTTCACCAAAAATAATATGCAGATGCAAAATAACCATATGAAAACCATGCTCTAAATTATTATTCATTGAGAATGGAAATTAAAAAACTAAAGTAAGACACTGATATACATACAGTAGAATGGCTGAAATTTAAAAATACAGCTGACCCTTGAACAACACAGGTTTGAATTGCACAGGTCCATTTATATGTGGATTTGTTTCAACTAAACATGGCATAAAAATAGTGTTCATGGGATGCAAAACTTGTGTATATGGGAGGCTGAATGTTTGTATCTGCTGGTTGTGCAGGGCCCACTGCAAGATTTGAACAAGTATTTATTTTGGAACGCATAGGGTCTTGGAACCAATCCCTGGTGGATACCAAGGGACAACTGCAATACCAAGTGTTGGTGCTGGTGGAAATCCAAAATGGTACAGAATTTTCACAGTAGTATTTTTACTCACAATGGTCAAAAGCTGAAAGCAATCCAAATTTCTACCAAATGGGAAATGGAAAAATAATTTTTAAAATATCCATACAATGTAATACTACTCAGAATTTAAAATGAAGACAAGACTACTAAATAAATGCAACAGCATTGCCTCTCAAAAGAATTATGGTAAGTGAAGGAAGACAAACACAGAAGACTTCATACTATATGACTCTGTATTTGTAAAATTCTAGAACAGACAAAAATATATCAGTGGTGTATCAGTGGTTTTCAGGGGTCAGGAGTTGCAGGGAGAGAATTAATTGCAAACGGGCATAAAAGAACTATCTGAGGTGTCTGAAATGTTCTAGATCACGATTGTTGTGCTGATTACACTGCAGTAAATATTTGTCAAAAGTGGTCTCTTTGTACAGTTAAAAGAGGTAAATCTTATACAAGTTGAGATATACAAATTGTATCTTAACAAATCTGACCCCCCCAAATGCTATGTGATTCTAATAATTATTATGAGTAGTTTTTTCTCCTCAATACTTTGCATTGGTTTTCAAACTTTCTACCATGTATATGAATTACTTTATAATCAGTAATACAAAAGAAAGTATTGCCTTAGTAATAGTAGTTAAAATAATAGAAAGGATAAAGTAAAGGAATTAAGGTGAGTCACAGAGACACACACCATATATGTGTGAAGAATTGAGAATGCGATTTCCATTCCTGAAAAAATACCATGATAGATGTTTGGGTGGAGAAATCCTCCAAAAAAGGACACATAGATGACAGATATAATAGTCAAGGAATGATTTTTAAAACTTTTCAAATACACGGGAAGTAAGAGAATCATCAGAAGCCAGCCAGGGGAGTGGGGAGGAACAGATAAAGAAAACGCAAACAAAGCAAGCATGAATTTAGAGAAATGAATAAGGTCTGAAGACTGAAGCTTTCATTAGGACATTGTTAATCTCTGAAGCCCTGGGATCTATGTTTAAATATGCCACAGCTTCTCCAAAAATATGAAACAATGCTTAGATCTCTAAGAATAATATGAGGCTAGGTCAGGAATTTTTCAAATAGCCAGGAGTCCTCAAGGAGAATACCCTCAGATGGGGGCAAGTCATTTGATAAAAGTCATTTTATGCAACCAAAGTTTCAATTCACCAGAAATATATAAAAAGCCTAAACTTCTATACATATAATAACATTCACAATATGTTAAGCAAAAATTATCAGAATGTAGAGAAATCCTCTGTCACATGAGAACTTTCAGGATATCCCTCCTAGAACTTGATAAATCAAGCAAGTAAAAATCAGAAAAGATACAGAACACAACATAACAACAAAATTAGTAAATTTGAGCTCATGTACATGTACATGACAAGTACACTCAATAAATAAAGAATATACATCCTTTTCAAGCATCCATGAAACATTTATGAAAGTTGACTCTGTAATAAGCCACAATGATGTCTCAATAAATGCCACAGAATTGGTATCATACAGATTGCATTTTCTGTCTGCTTGGAACACAATTAGGATAAAATTCATTATTAAAAATATAACATTAAAATGTGTATATACACATATATATTTAGGAATTTTTAAACACAACAGAATATCTTGTGGGTCAAATAAGAAATAAAAATATAATGCTTAAAACTGAATGATGACAAAAATACTATTTATGAAATCTGTGAGATGCATTTAAAATTATATTTGTACCCAGACAAAAATAAATCATTCTACCAAAAAAGGTAACTGCACTCATGTGTTTGTCACAGCCCTATTCACAATAGCAGAGACATGGAATCTACCCAGGTGCCCATCAATGGTGGACTGGATAAAGAAAATGTGGTACATATACACCATGGAATACCATGCAGCCATAAAATAGAATAAAATCCTGTCCTTTGCAGCAACATGGATGCAGCTGGAGACCGTTATCCTAAGCAAATTAACACAGAAACAGAAAACCAAATATCACATATTTTCATTTATAAGTAGGGGCTAAATCTTAAGTACACACAGACATAAAGATGGAGGCAATAAACACTGGAGACTACAAGAATGGTGAGTGGGAGAGAATGGCAAGGGCTGAAGAACTTTCTATTAAATACTAGGCTCACTATTTGGGTGACGGATTCAACAGAAGCCCAAACCTCAGCATCATGCAATATGTCCTTGCAAGAAACCTGCACATATAGCCCCTGAGTCTAAAATGTAAATGACAATTTTAAAAGGTAAAATTATACCTGGAGGGTTACAGCCTTACACATATATATTTGAAAAGAAGGACTGAAAATAAGCTAAGTGTATCACTTAAAAATTTAGAGGAAGAAAAAAAACTATTGGAATACACCCAAAGAAGCTAGAAGAAAGAGAAGCATAAGGGGGAGAAATTAATGTCATAGAAAAGGATATTTTTAATGGCGAAAAGTTAGTTTGTTGAACAGACAAACACAGTTGTCAACTTTGGCAAGGTATATCAAGAAAACATATGGGAAGTGGCAAATGAACAATATTGGGAGTGAAAGGGGGATACTGGTTACTTATGGAGAAAGAAAAAATACAGAGATAGAGACATTCAGTGAGAGAGTTGAAGAAGCAGGGAGGAGAAAAAAGAGGAGAGGGTAGGTGAAGAGGGAGTCAAAGAGGGAAAGGAAGTGAGAAAAAGGGAAAAGCAGCACAGAGGAAGAGAAAGACACAGACAAAGACAGAGCCCCAGACACCTAGAGCAAGGGAGATGGTAAGTGACAAGGGCGAAGAAACAGGCTAGTGGTGGTTTCTGTTTTCAAGGCTCATCTGGTGCAAGAAGGAAATTATAATTGAGCTGCTAAACTATATACAACAGTTCTTACTTTCTTCATCACTCGTCTCATATGGAAATCTACACTCATCCTCTCTTTCCTGAGAACAATTCTCAAAGCATAGGATGGGGACCCACAGGGATAGTTAGATCTTTCCAAGGAATGTACAAAGTTGAAACAATTTTTGTAATCATCCTAAGACATTATTTGCCTTGTCTCACTCATCTTCATCCTCTCACCAGGGCACAGAGGAGTTTTTCAGAAGCTCCACGGTGTATGATGATATCGTTTCTCCTTTGACAAATGCAATATGTGCTTGTGAATTCTGATCCTTCACATCTTTCTCTGTGTTAATTTATACTATGTTAAATACAGATGACTGTGACCCACATACACACAAGCTCAGGTAACCCACCTGACCAGACATGTCCCCTGCTGTCTGGGCAGCACTCCTGTGTACTTTTTGTTCATGATTGTAGAAGTGCCCTAAGGCACTGCAGTGGCTCTTTTCGCAGACTGGACTCCACTCTGTTCTTTCCCAAACCCACACTCGCTCCACTGCACAATGTGTAGGTCCTGCTCCACACGCAGCCGGACTCTAATATATGTCATTGACTCCACAAAATTACACCCCATTAGCAGGTGAGATGCACTGACCACAGTGAAGAGGTAGATTGAACCCACATCTCCACAGGAGCTTTCTTCCAAACTCCCCTGTGAAGTTCTTGAAATTAAAATCATTTCATTTTGTCAAAGTTCCGTTTCATCGCTTCCAAAAAACAGCCTCCATTTACCTGGGTCCAGGTGCTTCTGCTGGGGGGGTGTCTATCACAGACCTGTCCTGTCACCTCGCCATATTTGACTCCCAACTCCACTGCCTTTGCCAGCCAGACCAGCAGTCTTCTCAGTGGTTTTGTCCCCCAGTCCCTTGGCAGTTGCCAAGTCACACTGCTTTCTAACACACCAACCCCCTAAAATTCTCCATCCGTGCAAGAAGCCTAATTAGTTAGATTCATAGAGAATAACCACCCTTTTCCTAAAATCCTTGCTAATGTATTGACCTGACCTAACTCCTCCTCCCACAGGGAGGAAGATGGAGGGCAGGAGGGAGTGAGGAGGGAGGGAAGGAGAAAGAAAGAAGTAAAGGAGAGTGGAAGGGGTGTTAAGGGAGGGGAGGAGAATACAGAGATCCAGAAAAAGCAACTGTGGCAGCACCCTGTGTCTGCTCACACCTCAAGCATCTTTGGGGTAGATTCTCACAGTTAACAACCAAGGAACAGAAATCATCAGTCAGTGCATCATTAAATGTATCCGTATTTACACACTCTATTCTCTACCCATTGCTTTGTTTGCTTAATTATCCTTATTAGGAATTATTAGCAAATCCAAACAATTTACAAAGCAGCCATTAGGCTGGTAACTACAGCAAACATCAGCACAACCAGGGAGTCCCCGGTGGATATAGAGACCTGTTAAATCAGCCATTCTACCGAAAATAGAAATGACAATGAGGAGGTAATCTACCTGAGAGGTCATGCCCTCTTCCCCGATTGTTTGTTATTTGTTCTGGGCCCCTGGGTAAGGTGTGTGTTTGTTTACTTGAGTGTAACCACATCAGACTGAGTTTGAGTTCCCTACCCTTCTGGAAAAGCAGGTACAGTGGCTTGATCTGTAGTGAATAGGGCTTGGATTAAAACTCCAGGAAACCCTGGCCTATCAAATGCAGAATCTTCTACTTGTAAATCACCATGACTTCTAAAATACTGCAGGTGTCATGGAGAGATCTAGTGAAACTGTAGATAAATGCAATTGAGTTCAATTTTAAATAGGATAATTATTTGTATGGGAAATTGTTACCATTGATGTATTAGATTAACTTATAATTGATAGAGACAGACCGACAATAGGAACCATTAGCAGTAGAGTATGCAGTGTGTGAGTTCTCTAGTCCTGGAACCCCTGAGGGATAGTGTTTAAGACATCAGATGCTGAGTTAAGGGGGCTCCTGGAACCAGCAACATGTCCCTCCCAAAGAAAGGAAAATAAGCTTGTTGTACCTAGTTTATCAAGAGCCCCACCCCCTTGTCTTAGGGAAATACAATATAGCCACAGTCCCTGCCACCAGAAAGGGTGTATGCACATCACCATTAAACAAGGAAACAGTGTTATGGTTAAATGCTACATGTGTAGTCAAGACAACAGCTACTATAATTGAGAAGGGACACATTCTGGGGCTAGATTTAAAGGGAAAGATGATTTTGAAACCTGGTGCTTGATCAAGATCTGAACAGGTGAGAACAGAATGGGTAGGACCAAGAAACCAGAGAACTCCCAGTGATAGGATTTTTGCAAAACATCTATAGGCCACCATCTAACTTGCTGGTGGGTTGCAGGGTGAGGGGTCAGGAAAGACTAAACAAACAAAATTGTCAAATGCGTAATGTGAGATGCAAAGGAGATGTATGAAAGCATGAAGTGCTCAATAAATGACAAGCACTTCAGTACAGCTGAACCTCAAAACTTGGAAAGAAAACACTGTTGCAGTATGCAGCTGAACCTCAAAACTTGGGGAGAAAACCGGAGGAGTGTGCAATGAAGCTGGAAAAGTAGCCTTGGAGAGTAGCCTCAAAGCATCAAATCCTGAAGGTCCATGAGTGTTGTGCTCAGATATCCCATTATGCTGAAACTTCCACAAAGACAGAGCTTGCTTCAGGGAAAATTCACAGGCAACAAAAACAGAATGTCAGCTTGGACCACTCCTTTTCCGGAAAGCCTCCTTGCCCCCTGCATCCCATTATACCTCTATTTCACCATGAAGACAAATGAAGTAAAGAAAAATATGGTATCAGAGCACAGCATACAGACAGCCTGCATGTGCAGTGGTGTTTGCTGTGCCCTGGATTTGAGAGGCAGCGTGTTTAAAGCATAATCAGGACTGGATCTTTGTGATCACAGAACAGTAGCAGTGACATAGACATCCAAATCAATTTTGTGGATATGGAAAGAGGAATGGAGAGAAGGAGAAGAGAGAGTTGACAGAGGTCACATGTTCAAGTTTAACTGGATTCCAAAGGCATTTGGGATGTGCTCTGGAATTATCAGATTGCAGGGGCATGATCAAAACCAGCATGAACAATATGATCCTGGATTCTGTTTGCAGAATAAATTGGAAGGCAGAGGGCAGCTAGGAGCAATATGGTGCTTTCAGCTAGGCCTGAGGTGGCTGTGGCTGAGAAGGAGGGAGAGAATGAGCTAGAAAATGTCGAGAAGTGTTTGATAAAAGATGAACTGTGAGGGACAAGAATAAGAAGAAAGAGGCCAAAAATAAATCCAAGTTTAAAAGACTGAAACAACCCTTTGACACGTTCGATAAGGGACAAGGTGAGGTTTTTAACCATCGGGTGCTAGCCCAACAATTAAAATATACAAAATCAAATCATGCTTTATGTGGAAGAGCACAAGGTGTACCCCAAGTATAAAGTGCCACTCCTCAGCTGCCCTCATGCAGCAAGTTCAGCAAACCCTCATGTCTAGCACGGGGCTGCAGCCTTTCATCAACAGAGCTCATCTCCACAGCCATCCAGGCCCCACTTCTCAAGCCTGATTCAGCCCTTGCACCTCTATGAGCCCAGGAACACACAGATCATCCTCAGCAATCATTCTGGTTCAGGCTGGATATCTACCAAGGGTGCTGTCTGCTCAGAATTTAAAATCACTGTTTTATCACTTTTTTCTACAGTTTTTTGGGATCTGTCATCCAAAAGATCAATTATCCCCCCAATTTTGGGCTATGATGAATAAAGTGGCTGTGATCATTTACATATAAGTCTGTGCAGACATTTGTTCTGTTAGATTTCCGGTAAAAGAGTGACATCTGATTTACTTCTTTATATAGAGATCCTGCCTGCCTGCTTGCCTGTCTTCCTTCCTGCCCCTCCTTCTCCTCCTTTCCCTCCTTTATCTCTTTTTCTTCCTTTCTTTCTAATAGGATCTCACTCTGTTGCCCAGGCTGGAGTGTAGTGGCACAATCATAGCTCACTGCAGTCTCAACCTCCTAGGCTCTCACCTCAGCCTCCTGAATAGCTAGCACTACACATGCACCCTGTCATGCCTGGCTAAATTTTTGTTTTTGTAGAGTTGGAGTCTCACTATTTTGCCCAGCTGGTCTCAAACTCCTG
Organism: Homo sapiens; assembly: GCF_000001405.40. NCBI lineage: Eukaryota > Metazoa > Chordata > Mammalia > Primates > Hominidae > Homo > Homo sapiens. The sequence goes on along the minus strand of NC_000010.11, from coordinate 37,415,303 downwards.
GCCTCAAGAGATCTTCCCACCTCAGTCTCCCAAGGTTCTGGGATTATAGGTGTGAGCCACCATGACCAGTCTATATGAACTTTATTTTTTTTTTTAAAAAAAAAGTAGTTTTAGTCCCACAGCAACACTGAGAAAAAAAGTACAGAGAATTCTCATCTACCCTCTACCCCTCCCCCAACATGCCCAACCTCCATTATCAACATCCCCCACCAGAGTGGTGCATTTGTTACAACTGATGTACCTACATTGACACATTGTCCTCACCCCGAGTCCATGGTTTACCCATAGTTTACATTAGGTTCACTCTTGGTGTGTACATGCTATGGATTCTGATAAATGGGCAGTGATACGTATCTACCATTACAATATCATACGGAACATTTCCTCCGCCCTAAAACTCCCCTGTGATCTGACTATTCATGCCTCCTTCCTCACTAAACCCTGGCAATCACCAACTCTTTTACTGCTTCTACAGTTTTGCCTTTTCCAGGATGTCATACTTGGAATCACACAGTGCGCAGCCTTATCAGATTGGCTTCCTTCACTTAGTATTATGCATTTAGGTTCCCTCCGTGTCTTTTTGTGGCTAATTTCTTTGCATCACTGAATAATATTCCATCTCTGGATGTACCACAATGTGTTTATCCCCTCACCTCCTGAAGGATATCTCAGTCGCTTCTAAGACTTGGCGATTCTTTAAAAAGCTGCTGTAATCATCCATGTGCAGGTTTTTGTATGGACATAAGTTTTCAACTCATTCAAGTACATGCTAAAGAGATTACTGCATCGTATGGCAAGAGTGTGTAGTTTTGTAAGAAACTGCCAAACCGTCTTTCAAAACAGCTGTACCATTTTCATTCCAACCAGCAGTGAATGAGAGTCCCTGTTATTCTACTTCCTCCCCAGCACCTGATGTTGCCAGTGTTTAGAGTTTTGGTGATTCTAATAGGCGTGTTGTGGCATCTCACTGTTGTTTTAATTTACAATTCCTTAATGGGATATGATGTGGAGCATCTTCTTGATTGCTCACTTGCCATCTGTATATCTCCTTTGGTGTAGTATCTGTTCAAGTGTTTTGCCCATTTTTAAATCACAGTGTTTACTTTCTTATTGTTGAATTTTAAGAGTTCTTTGCTTATTTTGGATAAAGTCCTTTATCAGATAGATCTTTTGCAACTATTTACTCCAAATCTTTGGCTTATTTTTTTGACAGGCTCTTCAGCAGAGCAGAAGTTTGTAAATAAAGTCCAGCCTATCGATTATTTCTTTCAAGGATCATGCTTTTGGTGTTGAATCTAAAAATTCATAGCCATAGTGTAGGTCACCTAGATTTTCTCCCGTTATCTTCTAGGAGTTTTATTAAGCTTGCTCTTTACATTTAAGTCTATAATCCATTTTGAGTGCATTTTTTGTGAAGAGCGTAAAGCCTATATCTAGATTTATTTTTATGCATATGGATGTCCAAGTGTTCCAGTTCCGTTTGTTGAAAAGACTATCTTTGCTCCATTATGTTGCTTTTGTTTCTTTACCCAAGATCAGTTGATGATATTTATGGTCTATTTCTGAGATCTTTATTTTGTTTCACTGATTTACTGGTCATTCATTTAACAACACCACTTTGTCTTGATTACTGTTGCGGGAAGTCAGGGACCCCGAATGGAGGGACTGGCTGAAGCCATAGCAGAAGAACAGAAATTGTGAAGATTTCATGGACATTTATTAGTTCCCCAAATTAATACTTTTATAATTTCTTATGCCTGTCTTTACTGCAATCTCTGAACATAAATTGTGAAGATATCATGGACACTTATCACTTCCCCAATCAATACTCTTGTGATTTCCTATGCCTGTCTTTCCTTTAATCTCTTAATCCCATCATCTTCCTAAGCTGAGGATGAATGTCACCTCAGGACCCTGTGATGATTGTGTTAACTGCACAAATTGTTTAAACAATATGAAATCTGGGCACCTTGAAAAAAGAACAGGATAACAGCAATGTTCAGGGAACAAGGCAGATAACCATTAGGTCTGGCTGCCTGAGAGCCAGGCAGAACAGAGCCATATTTCTCTTCTTTCAAAAGCAAATAGGAGAAATATCACTGAATTCTTTTTCTCAGCAAGGAACATCCCTGAGAAGGAGACTGCGTTCCCAAGGGGAGGTCTCTAAAATGGCCAGTTTGGGACTGTCTGTCTTTTACGGTTGTTAATAGGGGACGAAATAAGCCCCCATCTCCCGAAGCGCTCCTAGGATTATTGGGACAAGGAAATTCCCGCCTCATAAATTTTGGTCAGACCGGTTGTCTGCTCTCAAACCCTGTCTCCTGATAAGATGTTATCAATGACAATCCATGCCCAAAACTTCATTAGCAATTTTAATTTTGCCTCGGTCCTGTGATCTCACCCTGCCTCCATTTGCCTTGTGATATTTTATTACCTTGTGAAGCGTGGGATCTCTGTGACCCACACCCTATTCATACACTCCCTCCCCTTTTGAAATCACTAATAAAAACTTGCTGGTTTTGTGGCTTGGGGGGCATCAGGGAAACTGCCGACATGTGATGTCTCCCCTGGACACCCACCTTTAAAATTTCTCTCTTTTGTACTCTTTCCCTTTATTTCTCAGACCAGCCAACACTTAGGGAAAGTAGAAAAGGACTCATGTTAAAATATCGGGGGCTGAACTTCCCCCAATAATTACTTAGCTTTATAGGAAGTCTTGAAGTCAAGCATTGTCAGACCTCCACTATTGTTCTTCTCCCTCAGTAACATGTTGCTAATTCTAGATCTTCGACTCCCCATATAAACTTTAATATTAGTTGTACATACCCAAAAAAACATTTTACTGGGATTTTGATTGGGATTGTGTTGACTCTATACCTCAAGTTGGGAAAAGTGACAGCTTGACAATATTGAGCCTTTAAATCGATGAACATGGAATATCTCTCAATTTATTTATTTCTTCCAGATTTTTATCATTTTCTTCATATAGATATTGTACACATTTTGTTAGATTTATACCTAGGTATTTTATATTTGGAAGTGCTAATGAAAATGATTTTGTGTTTTCAATTTGAAATTTTACTTGTTCATTGATGGCATATAGGAAAATAATTAACTTTTGTATATAACTTTGCATCCTACAACCTTGCTATAATCAAGGAGTATTTTGTTGATTCTTTCAGATTTTCTGCCTAGATTATCATGTGTTCTTCAAACAAAGACAGTTTTATTTTTTCCCAATCAGTACACCTCTTATTTTATTTTATTATTGTATTAGCTCAACTTCCCAAAAGTGTTGAAAAGGAGTGATGAGAAAAGAACATCCCTGCCTCTTACCTGATCTTAGCAGGAAAGCTTCTAGTTTCTCATCATTAAGTGTGTTGTTAGCTATAGGTTTTTTTGTAGATGTCTTTTTCCAAGTTGAAGATTTACCATGAATGAATGTAGAATTTTGCAAATGCTTTTTCTGGTTCTATTTATATGATCATGCAGTTTTTCTTGTTTAGCCTGTTGAGATGGATTACTTAAATTGATTTTGGATTGTTAAACCAGCCTTACCGATGTGGGATAAATCCTAGTTGGTCATGGTATATAATTCTTTTCATAATTGTTGGATAAAATTTGCTAATAATTTGTTGAGAATTTTCTCATCTATGTTCATGAGAGATATTGGTTTTTAGCTTCCTTTTCTTGTAATGTCTTTGGTTTAATTTTAGATAGATGCTGACCTCATAGAGGTCTTTTTAAAAGAAAACAAAATAGCTTTTTATTTCATTGATTTTTCTCTATCAATTTTCTGTTTTCAATTTCATTGATTTCTTCTCCAATTTTTATTATTTATTTTCTTCAGCTTACTTTGGATTTAATTTGCTCTTCTTTTTCTAGTTTCTAAAGTGGAAGCTTAGATTATTGATTTTAGATCTTTCTTGTCTTCTAATATATGCATTCAATGCTAAAAATTTCCTCTGCTTTTCCTTTAAACAGTATTTTTGCTGTATTCCACAAATTTTAATCAGGTGTATGGTTATGTAGTTCAATTTTTAAAATTTCTTTTGAAATGTCTTTGAACCATGTGTTATTTAGAATTATGTTGCTTAATCTTCATGCATTTGGGGATTATTGTTATAGTTGTATTTATATCTACCATATATCTACCATATCTTTCTATCTTTGCTTTCAACTGTTTCTTCCTTTCATGGCTTTAACTGACCATTTTCTATGATTCCATTTTCTCTCTTTTCTTAGCATATTGGTTACACTTCTTTTTTACATTTTTTTGTGGTTGCCCTGCAGTTTCCAACATATACTTATAACTAACGCAAATCCACTTTCAAATAGTACAATATGACTTTACAAGTAGGGCAGATATCTTTGTTAAACAACTTTGATTTTAGGTTCAGGGGTATAACAAAATATTACTAATTCCTCTCTCCTGTCCCTTGTACCATTGCAGTCATTCACTGCACTTATACATAAGCTATAATCACTAAATTCAGTGTTGCTATCACGATTTTGAACAAACTGTTATCTGTTAGATAAACTGAGAATTTTTAAAGGTAAAAACTTCCATTTTACCATCACTTACTACTTCTCTAACATTGTGCATTCCTTTATGTAGATCTGAGATTCCTTGACCTACATCACATTTCTTCTTTCTAAAGAACTTTCTTTAACATTTCTTGTAAGACAGGTCTACTGGTAACAGATTCCATTAATTTTTGTTGGTCTGAGAAAGTCTTTCTCCCTAACTTTTGAAGGATAATTTCACAGGATACAGAATTCTAGGTTGAAGGATTTTCCTCTCAGTACTTTTTATTCCACTCTCTTCTTGCTTGCGTGGTTTCTGAAAAGACAGCTGCAGTTTGCATCTTTATTCCTCTATAAGTAAGGTTTATTTTTCCCTCCTCTGGTTTCTTTCAAAGATTTATTTTTTTATCCTTGGTTTCCTGCAGTTTAGATATGATATGCCTTAGATGTGGTTTTTTTTTTTTTTTTTTTTTTTGGCTTTTATCCTGTTTGTTGTTCTCTGAGCTTCCTGAATCTGTGGTTTCGTGTCACATATTAATTTAGAAAAATCTCATTCATTATTGCTTTGAATATTTCTTCTATTCCTTTCTCTCTTTCCTCTCCTTCTGGGGTTCCACTATGCATACTTACATCTTTTATAGTTGTCCCACTGTTCTTGGATATTCTGTTCCTTTTTTATTCAGTCTTTTTCCCTTTGCTTTCATTTTTGGAAGTTTCTCTTGAAATATACTGAAGCTCCAGATTCTTTCCTCACCCACATCCAGTCTGCTAATGAGGCTTCAACACCATGCTTCATTTTTGTTAGTTTCTTGACCTCTAGAATTTTTATTTGATTCTTTCTTAGACTTTCCATTTCTCTGCTTATATTACTGATCTGTTCTTGCAAATTGTCTATTTTTTCCATTATCACTCTTACCATATTAGTCATAGTTGTTTAAAATTACCAATCTGATAATTCTAATATACCTGCCATATCTGAATATAGTTCTGTCAGCTAGCTCTGTTTCTTGAAACTTTTTGTTGTTTTGGGTTTTTTGTTTGCTTGTTTGTTTTAGGGTTTCTTTTTTTCCTCTTACAATGTTTTTTTAATTTTTTGTTAGAAATTAGACATGATATACTAGGTAAAAGGGAGTCTGGGCTGGGCACAGTGGCTTCCGCTGGTAATTCCAGCAAGTTGAGTGGCTGAGATGGGAGGATGGCTTGAGGATAGGAGTTTGAGAACAGCCTGGGCAACATAACAAGACCCTGTCTCTACAAAAATAAAAAAATAAAAATATTAGCCAGGCATAGTGGTACACACTTCTGGTTCCAGCTACAAAGAGGACTGAGGCAGGAGGATCACTTGGGTCCAGAAGTTCAAGGCTGCAGTAAGCTATGATAGTGCCATTGCATTCCTGCCTGGGGGACAAAGCAAGATCCTATCAATTTTTTTTCTTTCTTTTCTTCTTTACTTTTTAAAAATTATTATACTTTAAGTTCCAGGGTACATGTGCACAACGTGCAGATTTGTTACATAGGTATACATGTGCCATGTTGGTTTGCTGCACCCTCAACTCATTATTTACATTAGGTATTTCTCCTAATGCTATCCCTCCCACAGCTCCCACCTCCCAACCTGTCCTGGTGTGTGATGTTCCCCACCATGTGTCCAAGTGTTCTCATTGTTCAATTCCCACCTATAAGTGAGAACATGTGGTGTTTGGTTTTCTGTCCTTGTGATAGTTTGCTGAGAATGATGGTTTCCAGCTTCATCCATGTCCCTGCAAAGGACATGAACTTATCCTTTTTTATGGCTGCGTGGTATTCTGTGATATATATGTGCCACATTTTCTTAATCTGGTCTATCATTGATGGACATTTTGGTTGGTTCCAAGTCTTTGCTATTGTGAATAGTGCCAAAATAAACATACGTGTGCATGTGTCTTTATAGTAGCATGATTTACAATCCTTTGAGTATATACCCAGTAATGAGATTGCTGGGTCAAATGGCATTTCTAGTTCTAGATCCTTGAGGAATCACCACACTGTCTTCCACAATGGTTGAACTAATTTACACTCCCACCAACAGTGTAAAAACATTCCTATTTCTCCATATCCTCTCCAGCATCTGTTGTTTCCTGACTTTTTAATGACCACCATTCTAACTGGTGTGAGATGGTATCTCATTGTGGTTTTGATTTGCATTTCTCTGGTGACCAGTGATGATAAGCATTTTTTCATGTGTCTGTTGGCTACATAAATGTCTTTTTTTGAGAAGTGTCTGTTCATATCCTTCGTGCACTTTTTGATGGGGTTGTTTTTTTCTTGTAAACTTGTTTAAGTTCTTTGCAGATTCTGGATATCAGCCCTTTGTCAGATGAGTAGATTGCAAAAATGTTTTCCCATTCTGTAGGTTGCCTGTTCACTCTGATGGTTGCTGTGCAGAGGCTCTTTAGTTTAATTAGATCCCATTTGTCTATTTTGGCTTTTGGTGCCACTGCTTTTGGTGTTTTAGGCATGAAGTCCTTGCCCATGCCTACCTGCTGAATGGCATTGAGGCTAGGTTTTCTTCTAGAGTTTTTATGGTTTTAGGTCTAACATTTACGTCCTTAATCCATCTTGAATTAATTTTTGTAAAAGGTGTAAGGAAGGGATCCAGTTTCAGCTTTTTACATATTGTTAGCCAGTTTTCCCAGCACCATTTATTAAATAGGGGATCCTTTCCCCATTGCTTTTTTTTGTCAGGTTTTTCAAAGATCAGATGGTTGTAGATGTGTGGTGTTATTTTTGAGGGCTCTTTTCTGTTCCATTGGTCTATATCTCTGTTTTGGTACCAGTACCGTGCTGTTTTGGTTACTGTAGCCTTGTAGTATAGTTTGAAGTCAGGTAGCATGATGCCTCCAGCTTTGTTCTTTTTGCTTAGGATTGTCTTGGCAATGTGGGCTCTTTTTTGGTTCCATATAAACTTTAAAGTAGTTTTCTCCAATTCTGTGAAGAAAGTCATTGGTAGCTTGATGGCGATAGCATTGAATCTATAAATTACCTTGGGCAGTATGGCCATTTTCATGATATTGATTCTTCCTACCCATGCACATGGAATGTTCCTCCATTTGTTTGTGTCCTCTTTTATATTGTTGAGCAGTGCTTTGCAGTTCTCCTTGAAGAGGCCCTTCACATCCCTTGTAAGTTGGATTCCTAGGTATTTTATTCTCTTTGTAGCAATTGTGAATGGGAGTTCACTCATGATTTGGCTCTCTGTTTGTCTGTTATTGGTGTATAGGAATGCTTGTGATTTTTGCACATTGATTTTGTATCCTGAGACTTTGCTGAAGTTGCTTATCAGCTTAAGGAGATTTTGGGCTGAGAGAATGGGGGTTTGTAAATATACAATCATGTCATCTGCAAAAAGGGACAATTTGACTTCCTCTTTTCCTAATTGAATACTCTTTATTTCTTTCTCTTGCCTGACTGCCCTGGCCAGAACTTCCAACACAATATTGAATAGGAGTGGTGAGAGAGGGCATCTTTGTCTTGTGCTGGTTTTCAAAGGGAATGCTTCCAGTTTTTGCCCATTCAGTATCATATTGGCTGTGGGTTTGTCATAGATAGCTCTTATTTTTTTGAGATACGTTCCATCAACACCTAGTTTATTCCTATTTAAGGAAGTCTGGTAATGAGGCATGTAATGATGTAGTAGTAAGGGGCAGAGGGAAGGAAAGTGCTGTGTAGTTTTATGATTAGGTTAAGGTGAGCCTGTGCCCCTGGTCTGTGGGTTTTACCAGTGTTTCTCAGTTTTCTCCCCACTTATGTGAGACAGGATTGCTAGAAGGGGCTGGAAATAGGAATTTGCCTTCCCTCAGGTTGGTTAGGCACTGGGAAGATAGTTTCTCCTGTGGGCAGGCCTTTTCAAGAACAGACATTTCTGACATATTTCAAAATGGTTACTTTTTCTTCTCTGCTGGAAGAATGAGAGGATTTTTCTCAGACAGTCACTGTGAGAACTTAGAAGAGCTGAGCTCCTAGAGGTGAAGCTCACAAAATTGCAAGGATTGGAGGGTGCCCCTATGACTGGGCCCCCTGGAGTTCTTGACTCTCAGACTTGTCCACACTGAGCCTTCAGCAATTCACTAATTACAGTTCAGGTTTCCATGCCCTTGTGCTTGTTTCCCCGGATGTTTCTGCTTGTGGCTCTCCACTCTGGCAGGTTGTAATTCTCTGTATTTTCCTGTCTGTCTCTCCAATCCAAGATGCAGAGGCTTGCCCTACGTCCTCCCTTGTCTGAAGGTTCTACAAAGAGTTTTTGATTTTCAGTTTGTTCTGCTTTCTACTTGGTATTAGGATGGGGCTATGGCATGACTTCCAAGCTTATATACCAGACTGGAAATCAGAGGTCTGATTTATTTTCAGAATGATTTTTCTTAAGGCCCTTCATAATTTTCCTGCTATAACCTTATTAAAGATCAAGATTGAAATTTGACATTAAAGAATATTCTTTTCAGTACCTGTTCATTTATTTTTGAGATCCATTGGGCAAAAGATACTGGTCTATTTTAACTCCTATTTAGGCCTACAAGATTTTGCTTCACAATTTTTAAACCTAAACAGAAACAACTTTCCCCTCACTTTAGGCTAGAATTGTCTATATTGCAATTTCTGCAGAAGTAGAGCCAAGCCTTCATTTATCAAAGTTTAAGTTCCTATGGTGAAATCAGGGGGTATAAGCTTTCTATCTTTAATACTATTCTCCTACAACATTATCGATAATTTTTCTATAAATGACTACTAGGTTTTAATAAGAACCAAACAATTAACACCTTCTTATAAAAATATAATAATTTCTAAACAAAGGTTTTTGAATATACTTAAAAATAACATAATTTCATTATTCTGTGCAATCAAAATAATAGATGGTGAGTAAAACTGAATATTGTATATCAAGATTATCCAATAAAAAACAGACAGATAATACTAAACTAAATTAATTAAAATCACGGAAATGCAAATGGCAATATTTTTAAAGAGTTTGATTTGGTTACCTCTGAAAAGAACTTCTATAAATACAGACAAATCTCTTGGGTTATACTACATTACAAAACAGAAGCAGTGTTCTCAATTGTCAACATTTACCAGTATGTAGTTTAAAAGACTAGATCCAGAGTAAAATGTGTCCACTTTCAGAAACCCACACAGAACTATGTACTAGATAATGGATCTTTTTCCCATAGATACCAAGACAGCTCACGTTCATCTTCAGGATTAACGTATCAGGAATAATTACAGGCACTTGTTTCTGTCCAGCCTCTTGGATCTGAACATTGTCCTTTTTTTTTAAATGTACTTGAGGGAATACTTCAGAGAGAGTAAGACTCCTGTGCCTCAAGGATGATATTATTTTTTAAAAGGTTTTTCTTACTGTTAGTTTTAGATACTGAACTCTTTCCATATCAAAAATTCCTGGATTCTATTTTCTTTTGAAAAAGTTACGAATTGTGTCAATGCTCCATGGAGAAGTGTACGCAAATAGCTATCAATCCTGCAGCTCCTAAAATCATACCTTACCCTGGACCAATGATTTTTAACCATACTTTAATTATGGTACCCTTAAAGAGCCTTTTCAGAGATTTCGTTTTTCCTAATTGCAACCCCACACAATCCATAACATTTGAACGCTGGTGATGTGCTCTGTAGCAGTGCTGTGTGTTGTGGACCCCTGGAAGCCTACGCACCATTGAGTATTTGATATTTTTTTTGCCCCATCCTCAAGGAGCAGTTGTTGCTCCTTAGGGGTAAGTCGCCCCTGCTGAGAATGCATGCTCTCGATAATGCTGCTTCACATTGGTCATTGTGGAATATTTTTATAAAAGAGAGGATCCATTTCCAGCTTCTTTTCTGCAGGAAGAGAACCTGTGGTTATGTCTTACTCCCCCATTTTGTACAATCAACTGCTGAGAGAAGGTCAGAGATAACTGTCCACCATGTTAATTTCCCCAGGACTAGGGCAACAGTGAGGGGGAAAATGGAGCCTTTTCTCTGGTCACGCTCCTGAATTTTGTTTCAGTTCAGAAAACTTCATATAATTGGGTCCTCAGAGGCTGTAGCTGGATATAAAACTCATGGAAGGGCCAGGTGCAGTGGCTCAACGCCTTTAATCCCAGCACTTTGGGAGGACAAGGTGGGCGGATTGCGAGGTCAGGAGATTGAGACCATCCTGGCTAACGCGATGAAATGACATCTCTACTAAAAATACAAAAAAATTAGCTGGGCATGGTGGCGCGTGCCTGTAATTCCAGCTACTCAGGAGGCTGAGGCAGGAGAATCGCTTGAACCCGGTAGGCAGAGGTTGCAGTGAGCTGAGATTGCACCATTGCATTCCAGCCTGGGCAACAGAGGAGACTCAGTCAAAAGAAAAAAAAAAAAAACACACCTCATGGAAGAGGTTGGCCTAAGGCTAGGCCACTAGTTTTGGGCCTAACCCAGACCCCAAACTCACAAATATAAACCTAAGAGGGCAAAGCATATTCCAAGGCTGACAGAAACATGCGTTAAATATTTTACCTCAGGTAGAGGTTGGTGCTGACCCAATACATTGATTACAATGGAAACTGCTCAGGGAAATGAAGTTGTTGCTGCCTTTCCCAACCCATACCAACTCACCCTTCCCATGCCACCCACACATTTAATCTCCTCTTTGTTTTCCTGAAAACCTGACAACCACATGGTTTCTACTGTTAAAGTTAAGATTTTTCACCTTCAGTGATGATGGCTTCAGTTGAGGGCTAGCCATTTCCTGTCCTGAGATCACTATGTATTCTCCCACGCCCAGAGCTCTGGAAACAACTATTACTAGAGACACAGAGAATGACTCACCCACTTAGGTAGAGTAGATTAAGGCTTCTACCTCCTTCCCGGGGGATTTGGGAGCTACATCACCACTGAGTTTATACTATTAAATAAAAAATATCACACTCATCCCACAGCTATGATAAGAAAAAGATGTGTAGGGAAAAGCAACCTCTATGTAAATAGTATCACCAACAAAAAGAGGATTAGATTTTAGCTGCAACAATAATCAGTGGTGTCAAAAGAGTCACATTTTACATTTCACTTCCACGTATTTCAGCCTCATAACTAGATTTCAAAGTTCTACAATGTAATTCTATCACTTGTAATTGCCTATCGAAAGCCAACCCAAGAGGTCATACCTTTCCAGCAGGTATATACCTATCCTGTGTCCCCTTTTTTCTGCTCCATGATGTTGTCTTCAAAGTTCTAAAATAAAAACAAACCAACTCACACACCCACAACCATCCTGTCTTGTGCTTTGCTATGATTCTTTCAGCCTTTTCCACTCCTACAAAAGCCTTGCCCAATCATCTTAAATATGACCTTGTACAAACTAATTGAGCATCCAAAAGAACCAGAAAATCTGACTCCTTGAGACTCTATATATTTTGTTCATCAAGGGTTAATGGAAATATCTTGGAAGAAGAAGAACTGAGTAGAATTCCCACCATGGTAGAACTTCATTATTAGATATTAATGCTCTACAGACCCAGTGTGAATTGACTCATTTTATGATTTAGCAATTATAATGAGAACACTCAAAATTATATCCCAAGAGTTACTCTACTTCACTGAGTACAGTTAGATGATGTAGTTGAGTTTTAATCGAGTGAATTTGGAATAGGGAAGTATATTTGTTAGACGTGAAATTTCACTTATGGGCAAATTGCCTCTGTAATAGGATCCTGCCTTCCTCATTCAGAATAGCCCTCCTTTCTCTTCCAGCCTTTTCTGACCCCTCTGTTGCAGGGGATCCCAATTAGACTGGGAAAGCTATTAAAATGAGCAAAAGGGTCAGAGGAAATGAGGGAGAGATGAGACAAAAAGGGAATGAGAATAAAAGAGAGGGGAGACGAGAGAGCACTTCCCATACTTCACCCAGTGGGGATCTTTTGCCAGACATTGATTTTCACTCCAAGTCGCTTTAGCAAATATGGGTCCTTTTCACATGCTACCTCAAGGGATTTCATCTGGAACTTTGAAATACCTTGCTAGTGCTGAATTTCACAGCTTTGCTACAAACAGAAACCTGGTATTTATGATTAACATTCCTACAGAAGCTCCAGGCCACAGACTGTCAGTGATGACAAGCACAGAAAAAATAGTCAGCAGAGCTGCGAGGGGCCATGTTATGCCAGCACTGCCCTTAAACGCCTCCCTGTCTAGGCCACACATGGTACTAATTGTCTTGGTACAGTTATCTTTTTAGATGTGTATTGTTTTTCTTCCCTAAATTGAAGTTTTTTGAAGGCAGGGACTAGATTTTATTCACTTACATATTTCTTACAGGGCTCAACAAACATTACAGTAAGTACATAATAAATAAGTTATTAGCTGATAATTAACAGTGCATTCTCCTAAAATAATACACAGGAGTTCAGGATATTGAAGTCATCTCAATCAAATAACCTAGTAGGCAACCCTTTTGACATGCTGCTCTTGATCTTACAGATTTCAATAAATAATAACAACCACCTCCAAAAATAAAAGAACAAGATGATTTGGGGGACAACAAGGAGTGGCCAAAAAGGAAGGAAGGAAGGAGGGAGGGAAAGAAGGAAGGAGGGAGAGAGGGAGGGAGGGAAGGAAGGAAGGAAGGAAGGAAGGAAGGAAGGAAGGAAGGAAGGAAGGGAAAGAAAGGGAGGGAAGGAGGGAAGGAAGGAAGGAAGGGAAAGAAAGGAGGGAGGGAGGGAGGGAAGGAAGGAAGGAAAAGAAAGGAGGGAGGGAGGGAGGGAAGGAAGGAGGAAGGAAGGAAAATAAAGGAGGGAGGAAGGGAAGGGAAGGAAGGAAGGAAGAAGGAAGGAAGGAAGGAAAGGGAAAACAGTTTAAGGCTGTTTCTCTTTAACCTCACCACCTACTTCTAGACCACAGGCCCCAACCCGACACCAAGAAGATGAAATTTCCCTTTGGGCCTTTATCACGGGGGCAGAGATATCTGACTAAGAACAAGTTGAGGACTAAGGAATAAAAACCTTCCATCCCATTCCTTTTGCTTATTTGCAGCTGACAGGAAATCTCCTTAACATCCTGTTTGGATATTCCCTATTTATAAAGGTCAAAGAAGGAAACATGCAGTTCTGAAAGTATTTGGCCTTCCCCATATCGCTAACAGAACTCCTGGAAAAGTACTCACCCAAACGTACTCTAGTCTAGCTTAAAGACAGTGCGTTTGCCTCAAATGCTACTATCTTTTTTTATCTCTACTTGTTTCCAGGCTTGAATACCTGAGAGAGTTCCCTCTTGGCTTTATGTTGTAAACCTGTCAATGGCTGATTTAAGACCTAAAAGGAGGCAGAATCCCAACAGTTGTACAAATGCAGATCTAGCTGGAGACTCTCTCCTGAGGCTTCCAGTAATATTCACTTGGGGTTCTGGGAAGGCTTAGGCCAGTGCTGGAGGCAGATTAGAAAAAAAAAAAATCTGAGAACTGAAAAACCTGTCGTTGTAGCTGTGTGTTTCCACATATCTATAAATGCATGAATATTTTTAAAAAGGCCCTGTCTACAAGCTAAGAGGCTATGGGAAGAAGTGATCCTATTCTCTTGCTTTAAATATGTCAAATAAAACATATATATGTGTATCTTTTGATAAAACGCAAGGGTAAAATAGTTTTTCTTCTGTTTGCAAATGAAGGGGAAAAAAATAAACCAAAGTGAAAGACCTGGCACTTTGTGTTTTTTCACTGAAGCCAAGCTATGTCGATCACAGGGATATCCCTAGGGCCAGGAAGGCAGAGCTGTCCAGCCTGAAGCCCAGCAGGGACTCAGAGGGGCAGCCTGCAGGGGAGCTGTGCACCCTTGAGGCCAGAGTCTCAGAAAATGCCATGCATCCAGGTCACAGAAGCTTGGAGATGCAAATTATTGCTATTCTATTGTGATTGGCTCTGCAGAAACAGAAACTAAGGGTGGGTGGTGATTGAGTTCTACCCTCAGAGATAAGAGCTGGGACAAATAATTCCATGGGGTTTCCAGGTTGGCAAGGCAAAAAGAGATGAAGGGGAAAAAAGTAAGCTGAGTACCTGGGGCCAGAGAAAAGGTTTTGCATTTCTTTCAGGAATCTGTGAGCAGCTAGTTTGCTCTCAAATGGTCCCAGAACTTAATGTTACAGTATCTTTGTGGGGATCTAACCAGAGAAATATCTAGAGGCAGCAAAGCATATCTTAAAATGCTTTAAATCACTCAAGGCAGGAGGTACCTGTTTCGTCCTTGTGAAGAAGCATCTCATGCACCTGTTCATGCAACAGTGTTCACTGAGGCCCTGCACTGTGTCAGTGGCTGAGATTCCAGCAACACGAGCAAAGCTCACAGAGCTTAGCCCCCATGAATCTCACCATCCATTAGGGAAGGAAACCCAGTCTAATCACACCAAGAATTGCAAGCAACTTCTATAACAGAAGAAGGGTAAGATCTTACGAAAATATATAATAGGTCTCATAAACAGTGTCAATTGTAGAGAAATCAAATGTGCATATGAGGATGAAAAAGAATATGTCTCAAGATGAGGCCGTACCCTTCACGAAATTCTGATTTAAAGTGGTATTAGTGGGTTTTGTTAGGTAGCCAACTATTGTCAAATTCTTCCACACTAGTTTTTTTTTTTTTTTCTTTCTTTTTTTAAGACACAGTTTCACTCTGTTGCCCAGGCTGGAGTGCAGTTGCATGATCTCGGCTTACTGCAACCTCCTCCTCCTGGGTTCAAGAAATTCTCCTGCCTCGGCCTCCCAAGTAGCTGGGATTACAGGTACCCGCCACCACGCCCGGCTGATTTTTGTTTTGTTTTGTTTTTTGTATTTTTTAGTACAGATGGGGTTTCACCATGTTGGCCAGGCTGGTCTCAAACTCCTGACCTCAGGTGATCCGCCCTCCTTGGATTCCCAAAGTGCTGGAATTACAGGTGTGAGCCACTGCAACTGTCCAACACTAGTCTTTATAACACTAAAAATTTTATAATTTTTTATAATTAAAATTACTCTAAGTAATTTTAATTTTTTATAATTAAAATTACTCTAAGCTGCCCACCGCCCACCCACATACACACATAAATCTAATCAAGACCAATGACTACTGTTTTAATAAATGTTGGCTATCAGAAGATTCCAAGATCACATCTCTGGTGTACCTTGAACTAATTAACAATTTAGCTTGAGTAGAGAAGTTCACTCCAGGCACTTTTATAGTGAAGACAAAGTACAAAGTTCTTTTGCATATCTTAACTCATTTTTCAAAAAAAAGGATGTCCTGAAGGAAACTTAATACCAGAAATGATTTGAGAGAGGCAGAATTTAATTTTAACTCTCACATTTTATATCTTGAAAATGGTGAATGAATCCTGATTGAGATCCATAAAAGAGATACATACACACATGGCCCATGATAAAAAGGAACAATGAAAAAATAGTATTTCTTGCTTTAGTTGCTTAAGATGGTTGAGGTTTTATTTTAGATGGTTGAGGTTTTATTAGGTAGTAATATCAAGCATTTTAAACAGAAAAGATCTGAATGACTTTTCTCCATATTTTGTTTTATCTGTACAAATAGTTCCTTATAAAAGTATGCTTTCAAATGATGGTAAAAGTGTTATTCACAATAGCAAAGACATGGGATCAACACAGATGTCCATAAATGGTGGACTGGATAAAGAAAATGTAATACATATATACCATGGAATACTACACAGCCTTAAAAAAGAATAAAATCATGTTCTTTGCAGCAACATGAATGTGGCCGGAGGCCGTGATCCTAAGTGAATTAATGCAGGAATAGTAAACCAAACACTGCATATTCTCACTTAGAAGTGGGAGCTAAACATTGGGTACATGTGGACATAAAGATGGCAACAATAGACAGTGGGGACTACCAGAGGAGGGAGAAAGGGAGGGGGTGTGGGCTGGAAAACTACCTATTGGGTACTATGCACACGCCCAGGTGATAGAATCACCCATACCCCAAACTTCAGCATCATGTAATATACTTGTGTTACAAACCTGCCCATGTATCCCCAGAATTTAACATAAGTTGAAATGTTTTCAAAAGGATGCTAAAATGTATTGGCAGCTACTGTGGTAGACAGCAAAAATAGCCCCAAAGTTCCACCTGCCATTTGTGCATACTCTGCCATGTACCTTTGTCTCAACATCATACTTTGATTCTATCACCCTAGCTGAGGACTTCCAGGGCCGGCAGGCAGCCAGCAAATCCATGACATATGAACAAACCCAGCCAAGACCAGCAGGGTCACCTACCTGCATCACAGACACATGAGCAATGACAGCTTTTCCTACATCCCAGACCCATGAGCAAAAGAGCTTACCAATGCATGCAGTTGAGGATTGTGGTGGTTTGCTATGCAGCAACACTGTGGCAATAGAGAGCTAAAGCAACTACCATCCCCAAATAATCATCCTCTTTCCAGCACACTCGGTTCTCTCACCTTCATGCCCTATGTTACTCTCCTGAAAAATTCCATCCATGGATTCATCTAGCTTTCTGCTTCCCCCACTGCTACACCTGTGTGGCTAAGCAATCCTGTGAAAAAAATCACAGAACCATTCAGACAGGGGCTACTAGAAACTGAGGATATTCTAGCTCAGTCATTATCTCACACAGATGAGCACCTCTGTACCATATCTGTGATGAGGTCCCTCCCTGATTCTCCTGGGGAGCTGCTTCAAACTTTCCCGGTGTACCTAAAACTTCCAACCCTCTCTCTATAGCCTTCTTCATCCAAACATGTCTCTGCCTCCTTTTTCCTTAAAACTGCATTAGACTCATATAGTCCAGTTGGGAGAAATTTCTTATTCAGTAAAGCACAGCACACCTCCAAAAGTAATTGTAAAATAACTTCAGTCCTTCACTTGCGTTTCTCTCAGAAGGTGAGAAGGAAATCCAGACACATAAATTACTGCTGCACTTAATCCATTTCTCTTTTCTCACTTTCTTATTTTGTATCCCTTAAAAAACAACTTCTGAAATTCTCGCCAATCCCCCAAAAACTCATCTGCACTAGACAAAAACTGCTTCCTCCAGTTCTTTTTGCCTGCTAGTTAAAAATATACAGTCTTAGCCCCAAACCTAGACCTGCTGAACCCAAATTTCTATGGAAGAGGCCAGGTAATTTTCGTAGTTTAAAAAGACCATGGGTAATTCTTATAATCAAGCAGGTTTGGAAAGCACTGCTGTCTTGAACTCTTGTTCTCAGCTTGGTTGCACACTGGGATCTCTTGGGAAGTTTAAAAAACCCCTGATGCTGGTGCCTGCTCCCCATCCCATGTTCTGGCTTAATTGGAAAGGAACAAGTCCTGGACATCTATACTTTTAAGGCTCCCCAGGTGACCCTAATGTGCAGCAGAGTTTGAGAACCACTGGTTTTCTGCAACCTCATGCAAATATTGTCCCAGATGTAGATGGGAGAAACACTGCAGGCATAGCTGAGGATATAATTGGAAGAAACCAAAAACCCTTATTATGCAAATATTTGCCCTAATAAGTCTGCCTGCAAACAAATATAACAAAGCCAATTTTTCTTCAAAAATAAGGAGTCAGCATCTACTAGGTGTGTCTGGTAGACCTCTTATAATATTCCCCATGATCCCATCTCCCCCTTTTCTCTCTTCCTCTCTCTTCCTTCTCTCTTAGAGCATTTACGCTCTAAGTTCTTCAACCCTCCTGCTATATCCTTCCTCCAGTTAAAGAAAGCTCCCTGAGCTGATCAAAATGCAAAACAGAATCGTTTCCCCGTTTTTCCCTCCTTCCCTGTGATAGTTGGGCACGGTGGCTCATGCCTGTAATCCCAACACTGGGAGGCTGAGGCAGGCAGATCACCTGAGGTCAGGAGTTCGAGACCAGCCTGGCCAACATGGTGAATCCCCGTCTCTACTAAAAATACAAAAAAAAAAAAAAAAAATTAGCCAAGCGTGGTGGTGGGCATCTGTAATCCCAGCTACTTGGGAGGCTGAGGCAGGAGAATTGTTTGAACCCAAGAGGCGGAGATCGCAGTGAGCCGAGATCATACCACTGCCCTCCTGCCTGGACAACTGAGCCAGACTCTGTCTCAAAAAATAAAAATAAATAAAATAAAATAAAATAAGGAGTAAATGAAGATCACAGATTTCCTACTTATTTTCAGAGTAATTCCCAGAATTAGGGGCATTGGAGGAAGAAGGAGAAGGAAGAGAGAGGAAGAGAGAAAAGGGGGAGATGGGATCATGGGGAACATTATAAGAGGTCTACCAGACACACCTAGCAGATGCCAAAATTTATTATTTTATCTTTGAAACAAATACTTCAGAGGTATTTTGTCACAAAATATACAAAAAGAGTTTGGCTTTTATTTAAAATTTATTTTTGGTAACAGATCTAATCTTCCACGTAAGCCTCTTTACTGGAGAAGAGTAGATGGGAGGGCAGGTGGGATCTATTTAGACAAATCCGATATATTCAGAATGATTCAGTAGGCAAAGAATTCCTCCTGGTAACGAATCTGTGTGTCAAGGTCCTTACCTTGGCTCTCACTGTCCTCAGGATTATGGAGGGGAAGATGATGCAGAATTCGCACATGTCTTCTGGATCATGGGGGACTTTGCTGAGTGTGCCTGCCATGGTCCGATCTCTGATTGATAGGAGTGACTGCTGAGATCCTGGATCTGACCACTGAGATATGTGGCCCAGTGCCATTCACCCTCGCAGGGTAACATTCTGGCTCCATGGGCAAAGCCCATTGTCCTAATTGTCAGCCTCCCATCTCAGAGTCCCTCACACACATGCTTGCCTCTCCATTCTGACCCTAACTTCAACAGTCAGAAGCTTGGCCTCCCCTCCGTGAACACACACAAATTTCTGAATTCTCTGCAACCCTGCCCATGCCAGGGGGAGCCTAGAGTGCCTATTCCACCCATCAGTTCCCCATGAGATTAGGCAGGCTCTGACCCAAAGGCTGACATGTCTCTAGGTATCGTCAACCTTCCCCAAGCCTTGTCCACTCACCTGGCATGTTAGAGCTCCTTCATACCTGCATGGATGTTTCTAAAAGCACTTCTCACTTGATTCTCCTCACACACCAACACTCACTGAAGTGACCAGACTTTCTTGAGTTCTCCTTGCCTTGTTTGATCTATCTAATCCCTAATGTTAATGGCAGAAAAGATGTAAGGAGAGATATCAGCCTAAATGTAAGACAGCTTAAGTCATCAGATATTTTAACAACAACATTTCTGACATGCAAGCATTTCTACTAGTTATCTTAGAAAAATAGTGTGCAATAAATAGAGTTAACATTGTCCAAATGTTGACTGTAACCTAATCTGGCTACATAATTTGTGGGGCCCAGTGCAAATGAAAATGAATCTGGGATACCTTGTTCAAACACTATTAAGAATTTTAAGACAGTGAAGGAAAGTACTCATTCATGTGTGGGACCCCTGTGCACACTCATGAAGCCAGCTCTGATTGCAATCCTAGAAGATCCATCACCTCTAGACCACTTCCCACTAGACTTGTCCAATCTCATGGTGGGTGGTGGGGACCTAAAGAAATCAACCTGTGGAATTAAACACATGGTTAATTTTCAGATGCTAGAAAAAAGGATCCCCAAATCATTCAACACAACTGTCTTATTTTTGAAGATGACTTTCAAAAATAGGCATTTACGCTCTAAGTTCTTCAACCCTCCTGCTATATCCATCCTCCAATTAAAGGAAAGCTCCCTGAGCTGATCAAAATGCAAAACAGAAGTGTTTCCCCTTTTTTCCCTCCCTCCCTCCCTCCCTGTGATAGTTGGAATAAAGTATGTAAATCTCAGCACACCTTTACTTTTATCATCCAGCTAATTATAAGGCTGTTATGGAGAAGACTGTTGAATTCCCCAGATTCACTCTGGGCATAACAACCCCTTAAATTATAGAGCAGATGGCACTTAATGAAAAAGGAGAATAATTTTTTTAACAACAACTTGCACCAGTTTCTCCTCCTATTCACATCCAGGATACAGCAAAAGAGGAGAGTCAAGTTGCAGCTCATTCAAATTGTGTTGTCTTAAAAAACTGCTTACTTCCTTCAAAGCAGACTTGAACGTGTTATGTATGTTATCATAACTCCTATTCCACTAAGAGTGTCTTCCACTCCAGAACATATGATCAAAAGATAAATCCACTTTATAGGATGAGAGAAAATTAAGTCATAGAAACAGCACCACTATTCTTTGTTTAATTATATCAATATACATTATATCTAGCATGATAAGAGGTGCATGAATGATATAAAATGAACTAAATGGGAATAGTCTGTGGTTCTTTTAGCCATCATAAAGAGCTTAGCTTGAAGCAATGGGTGAATCCATCAATAGGTGCTTCATCTTGGTGCAAACCTTAATGCACTCCAGATCTACAAATATCAATATTACCAACAATGAGATTGGATTCATTATTGTCAGGAAGACAGACTGTTGATGTAGCATTGGATCACCAAATTCTAAATCCAGATTACTATATGGTGATAATCACAAGAGAAGATAGCCTAGATGTCTCCACCATGTAAACAACACTAAGGTTATTGTATATTACAGGAAGGAGCAACAACAGCAGCCAATGTGTATTGCATTAAAAGAGGCTTTTTATATATTCAGTAATTTAATCTTTCCAACAACCCTATGAGGTAGGCACTATTTCTGTACCTATTTCACAGATGAGGAAACTGAAATACAGAAAGGTTGATTCACCTGATCCAGATCACACAGCCACTAAGTCAGAGTCAGAATTCAAAGAGTCCAGCTCAAAAGTCTGCATTCTCATCCACAGGCTATACTCTTCCTTACACATAAGAAGACAAATCTAAACAGTATACCAACACAGCAGAACATTCACAAATCTAAAATTCACCTGGCTGAACATCTTTATCATTTTACTTAGAACCAACAGCATGGCCTTAAAATATCAGTCAGGCCGGGCATGGTGGCTCACATTTTTAATCCCAGCACTTTGGGAGGCCAAGGCAGGAGGATTGCTTGAGGACAGGAGTTCAAGATCAGCCTGGCAACATAGTGAGATCTCATCTCTACAATTTTTTTTAATTAGCTAGATGTGGTGGCCCAAACCTGTGGTCCCAGCTACTTGGGAGGCCGAGGTGAGGGGACTGCTTGAGCCTGGGAGGTCAAAGCTGCAGTGAGCTGTGATCACACTTCTGCATTCCAGCCTGGGTGACAGAGCAAGAACCCCCCTCCCCACTCTCTCTTGACCTATATCTATATATCTATTTATCTATCTATCTATGTACCTGTCTATCTATCTGTATAGATGTACCTGCAATCATAGCCAAAAGCACTTGGCATTTGAATTTGGATACAATAGCATTGTTAATCTGGTTTTGCACATTACGTTCTAATCATAAACAATGAGTTGGTAAATGATTGTAACTTTGTTTTATAAATATGTGAAGACATGAAGACAGTTTTATAAACATGAAGACATCTTCAAAATAATGCGAGCAATTTTATGATCATTTAAACAAATTAAAAGAGATAAACAATTAATTAAGTGTTTTCACATACAATTGCCAATGACTCCTTCCCTGCACATCTCACTAGCTTGCACGCTTTTACCAGATGCTAAAATGTGCAAGCCAACTCTCAGCTGGCTCTGATTTTCCAAGTTAGCGGGGGATCCAAATCATCCTGAGAACTGGGGTCAGCTGCTTTACGAGGGATTTAAATCACGACAGAGAACTGCCCGGTGTAAAACAATTAAGTCTCACCAGTCATGATGGCCACTTAATGTGCCTCTGTGTGGCAGAAAAGGGTTCACTCTACCTGTCTCAAATAGGTTGTGATATGCCATAAAGCTAATGTAATAAATAACTGAAATGCTGAAATATTCCAGCAGGAAGGCTTTTTTGCTGTGTAATACCCTACTGTACTGTCATAAACTGAGACAGTGGTTAGAAACCTGCCCGCTGATTGGTTTACTAAGGGATGGGAAATATGGCACCTCTTTTTATGGGAAAGAGTTAAGATGCTGTTTAAGAGTGGAGGACATTCATGCTGGTATTAACATCCGTTTATCAGGCACAACGGACAGGCCCTGTCTCCCATGTCAGGCACCTAGAAGGCATGGCCCTGAGATTGAATTAATGGTGAGAAGGAGGAGGTCCTATATTACACAAGAAATCACAGACTCTGCTATTTAGCCAGCAAAGTTGAGTGGTCTCTGTAGATGGTAAATTAACCCAGTGGATTGGAAGAATATTTCTGTGCAAGAGATTTTATTCATGAGAATAACTGGATATTGAAAACCCATCATGCATGGTATCTTGATTTGAAACTATCAACTGCTATGTGAAGCCCTCTTCCTTTCTGCCCCCTCTCCTCAGTCCTGTGTGTCTTTGCTCAGCCAATTATGGAGGTGCCAAGATGGAGCAATGCCCAGAGCCCGGGATCCACTGGGTTGTGATTTGGGGTTCCCAAACCACATAGGTTGGGGCAAAAACCCTGCAACTTGAGAAGCCTGTCCTGATCTGCATTGTCCATTGAGGTCATTAAAGTGACCCTGGGAAGAAAAGGAATAATAATTATTTGGAGTGGGGGTAAGAGATAAAAGAACAGTCTACCTTGAAGGCAGAAACATGAGCATCTGCTGTGAGGTAGCATCCTCTAGGCATTAACAGAGGACCTACCTTCTCCAGTTCCTGCATTTTGCCAGTGTTCTCCTTCCACATCCACATTACAAACATATCATTTAGAGAGGAAACACCAGACAAATGCACTGGAAATTCACAAGTTATAAGGTAATTGCATTAGCACATAGAGAAAAGGGAATCTGGGCTCTTGTAGTCAAGAGAATAACAAAGGTGCACCAAAGCCCCTACTGGGCCTGATTATTATGCAGAGGCTTCTTAGATTATGTATAATTGATATCCTTTTTCCCTCCAGCTAACCAATGGCAGCTCTCAAGAGTAATGCGAATTTTCCTGCATCTTACCATCCAAGCAAACACTGGAAATTGCTATCTTTCTCTCTGCTTAATAATTTTTAAAGACCAAAAAAGTGACATTTACACTTTTTAGAAACACAATGACTGCACGGTTGGTGTGGGTTTACTGCTTAATAACAATCATTGAGTCAAACAGTTGAGAGACAATGGAATTCAGGACTTGGTTAGCCTCTGAGAGAGAGAGAGAGAGAATGTGTATTATGTGCTTGATAGAAATACACTGAACAACAGTCATTCTTTAAGGCAAAGTGCTGACTCTAATAAGGCCCCCTCTTTTGGGGCAAGGGAGGGTGAGCAGTCGCTCAAGTTAGTGAGCCCTGTACATTCTAATCCCAGTTTACATTTAAAACACTTCAAATGGAGCCACTAGGACTCAAAGTTGCTAAATACACCCATGCCCTCTTATCGCCTTCCACTGGGGGTGGTTCTTCGGTGTTTTAAGTCTTGGAAGTTAATTTTTGAGGAAAAAAAAGTAATAGACATGTGACAAAAACAGGAAGAAGGGACACAGTTCAGCTGGGTTGTAGCTCTAATCTCACTTTATCAGCTGCTTGAAAGAGGGAAATGAAGGACAGAGCGGTAGGAAGTCTGCACACACCAACCTCATGGAGACCAGCTCAGCCCCCAATGCAGTCAAGCTACCTAACCTCCTGGAAACATAAAGATCGGCGTGTTACTTGGAGATTGGAGTGTATCAGCTTGAACACACCCACCAGAAGCTAGCATGACAACCAGTTCAGTGGAAAGGCAGCCCCAGCATGGCTCAATACCTAGGGAGTTTCCTGACAGTACAAGATCTTCACCCATCACCACATTCAGACACAGCTCCTATGGCAGTTTCCAAGATAACAAAGAAAGTTTGCCTTCAAATTGGAGATACTCCTTCATTTAATAAATTTTGTTGAGCAAAATTTATTATACGCCACAAGTTGTCCAGAAGCTAACTGCGAGTGAGCAAGATCAGGCTTACTCTCTAGTGGGGGGAAAAGAGGAGTGAGCACGCATTTGGAATCAACTGGGAAATGTGCTAAAATAGAGGAGGTGTGGGGTGTGTTCAGAGCACAGGGAGATGAAGCCTGGACCCCGGCCACCTGCATAATCAACTTGTACTCCAAGCCAGGAGACCCAGAAGACCCCTCATGTGGCAAGAACAGCTTGAGCTCAGGACCCAAACTGTGGAAATAACATAAGACCTGGGGAAGAACAAGGGTTTTCCAAACTGAGTGGGTTCAGCCTACAAGGCTGCCTCCATTGTGCTGTGGAAGAAGGTTCTGGCAAGACATGATACTTTAGTGGTAAACTACATACCCCCAAAGAGTTTCTTACCCCTTAATTGCTCTTTATAGATTTATTGTAAGTTTTACTTAATTGTGGCTGGGTGCAGTGGTTCATGCCTATCTATAATCCCAGCACTTTGAGAGGCTGAGGTGGGAGGATTGCTTGAGTCCAGGAGTTTGAGACCAACCTGGGCCACATAATGAGACTCCATCTTTACCAAAAAAAAAAAAAAAAAAAAAAAAATCCAGGTTTGGCACATGATTGTCATCCCAGCTACTTGGGAGGCTGGGGTGGGAGGTTTGCTTGAACCCAGGAGTTCTAGGCTACACTGAGTGGTGATCACACCACTGCACTCCAGCCTGGGCAACAGAGGAGGACCCTGTCTCAAAAAAAAATAGTTAATTGTATTTCAGTTGATAACATGTTGGAGAACTTTGGCTCCAAAAATGACAATGTTGTACGAAGTGCAGCTGTGCACATGAAGAGAGTGGAAGTTGGAAATGGGGGAGAGTGATTCCAGCATTATTTTTATCCCTACCACTAATGCTTGGCTCAATTCAGCTGCATGACGTGGTGGAGAAAGAGCTAAATTATGAGAAAAAAGATAGAAAGGACAATTATATTTTCTTCCCCTTCAATATTTGTACTGGGCCTTACAGTAACCTGAAATTCCTGATTCTTAGTCAACCTGAAATTTACAAGTAAGTTGGGTCATTAATCTTAACCATGATGCTCACCAATATGGATGCACCTTGAGGAAATCCTAGCATTTTGTGCTTAGAGTTGGACTCTGAAGAAAATAGCCATTCCCTCGTGCTGCGACAGTTCCATTCCTAAAGCAGACTTACAACTAGGTCTAAGGCTGGCCCTAGTGAGAGGCCTGAGTGAGAGCAGGGCTCTTTGAAATTGCAAGGAGAAGCAGGTCAAACCTGGCCAAGGTTTCCCCAGTCAAAGTACTTTCCTTTTCCAGGAATCCCTTTAGGGAAGAAAAGAAGAAGAACCCTGAAGCTTGCGAGATGCTTAGTTGCCAGTTTTTCTCCAACTCTCCAGCCTCCCCAAAGTCTCTTCATCCTCTGCAACCCCGAAGGCAGAGCTACAGAGCATATGAAATCTCAGCCATGCTACAAAGTCAAAGCCCTCGAGGAAACAGCTCAGGTGTGTATTTCAGTATCTTTCACTCTGTCTCCTTTGATACAACACCAAAAACCAAAATATGGTCCATGAAAGCAAAAACTGCTGAGTCGAACTATGTTAAAAGTAACATTTCTGAACTGCAAAGACACTGTTAAAAGAATAAAAAGAAAAGGCACAGAATGAGAGAAAATAATTGCAAAACACATAACGGATAAGAGACTGGTATCCAAAACATGCAAAAAATAAAAAATAAAAAACACTTAAAACTCAAGAATAGGAAGGGCGTGGTGTGGCTCACGCCTGCAATCCCAGCACTTTGGGAGGCCGAGGCTGGCGGATCACGAGGTCAGGAGATCCAGACCATCCTGGCTAACGTGGTGAAACCCCGTCTCTACTAAAAATCCAAAAAAAAAAAAAAAAATAGCCGGGCACGGTGGCGGGTGCCTGTAGTCCCAGCTACTCAGGAGGCTGAGGCAGGAGAATGACCTGAACCCGGGAGGCGGAGCTTGCAGTGAGCCGAAGATAACGCCACTGCACTCTCGCCTGGGAGAAAGAGCAAGACTCCTTCTCAAAAACAAAAAAAAAAACCAAAACAAACAAACAAAAAAAAAACCTCAAGAATAAAAAATAAACAATCCAACTATAAAATGGCAAAGGATTCAAACAAATACAAATGTAAAAGTTGTAAGGTCTCACTAAAGAGCATAAAAGTATGGCACATAAGCATATGGAAATATGCTCAGCATCATGTGTCATTAGGAAATAGAAATTTAAAATAACAATGACATACTGCTACACCCATATTAGAATGGCTAAAATCTAAAACACTGACTACACTAACGCTAGCGAGGATGTAGAGTAACAAGAGCTCTCATTTATTGCTGTTGGAAATGTTTATACATTCTATTTACATATTCTATAGTTTTATATATTCTATTGGATAATTTAAATGTATTTTCCTTCTCATATTCTTCCTATAATTATATTTGTATTTTTATATTTTGTCTTTATTTGGTGATATTCATTCTGCTCAATATTGCAGTTTACTAATCTTTTTATCATGTGAGTCTAACTTAATATTTAACCCAAATATTGTGTATTAAACTTATTTTTTTTTTCAATTTCTCTTTGGCTCCTTTCCCAAATATGCTTGTTTAGTTTACAATTTCTTGGTCTTTTCAAATCATTTTTTAAAATTTTCTATTTTACCCATTGCGTTTACTTAAATATTTTAAGTATATTTAAAATAACTAAAATGTATACAATTAATTTTTTTCTCATTCTTTAGAGTGGTAGCTTATTTTCTTCTGTGTTTTATATTTTATGATCTGCTTCAGTCAGTACTTTTTCTTTGTTTATTTCAAGAGGGTAAATTGGGCAATCTACACAAGTTTGAGGTCCTTGCAATCAATCAAGACCCGAAGGGAGTAGCGGTTTCTCAGTTTTATTACTCCTGTAAATCCTTCTTCTAGTTTATTTCTGGTCTTGCAGAAATATTTTTCCTACCAGCTGCATTGGACATGGTGAAGTTTTTTTGTAACTTTTGAAGATTTTCAGTTTTCTGCATTAAATAATACTTTGGAGTATATACAATTTTTTTGTTCTACATCATATATCCACACTGCACATAGATATTTTCTGGCAGAACAATATCCCATAAAAAATCTTAAGCTTCTTTAGTTAGAATACCATAACCTTCATATGCTACATGGTAACATTATTTGTAGAGTATAGATATTTTCTTAATACTTAAAAAGTATATTTATATTTTGTACAAATTTCTTGAGTAATAACCCTCCTCTTTAATTAAAAATATATGGATATATACCAAATCATGATCTTTCTGTGACCTTAAGACAGAACTGGTAGAATTAATTGAATAGCTTTTGGTTCTTTGCCTCCAGTCAAAATGCTTTCTTAGCAATTCTCTGGCTCTATAAAGATAATCTCAGTTTAAATTTTCTATTTACTCCAATAGTTGCTTAAAATAATCTTACAGGAAATTTGCACGTGATTAGATATTTCTTATTGGTTATACTTTGAAACTTTCTATTGTCATTTCATAGTACTTAGATAATATTATCTGTAGCACTTCATGTTTTGTCAAGTTATTGATACATTTTTCAAGCTTTAAACCTTGTTTAGGGCTCATAATTGCTGTTCCTTTGTGTATTTAGTCAAACTTCCTAATAAAGCTATTCAACACTCTTTATAGTTATTTGTTTTATGCCAGAACAGTTGATTTCTATAGCATTTTTAATAGTTTAACCGTCACCGAAAGGAGCTATCTCAAAAATGCAAATTAGGCTAAACATCCAAAAATTAGTCAATGTAACACAGAATAACAGTAAAACAAAATACAAAAAAAAATTTGATACACACAAGAACATTTAACAAAACCAACATCTATTTATAATAAAACCCAAAGCAGTCTAGAAATGCAAGAAAACTTTCTAGACTTGCGAAAGGGCATCTATAAAATGTGCAGCTAATGTCACATGTAATGGTTAAAACCTGGGTTTGGGAACGTTACTTTAGAAACAAGACAAAAACGTCTGTTTCTACCACTTCCATTCAACATTATACTGGAGGTCTTAGCCAGAGATATGATGCAACAAAAATAAATTAATGGCTTCCACCTGGGGTTTGGAAACTTTACAGATCACATTATCATGCAAATAAAAATGTCTGAGGAATTTTTAAAACTCACTAGAACTAGTAAGTGAGTTTAGCAAGGTGGCATTATTGAAGATCAGTACCATTTTTTTTAAGATGGCTAACTAGGAGCATTTCAAGCCAGCCTCATCCATTTAGCACCATAATAGCATATAGACAATCATACATTGAGTACATTATCCAAGAGAGAACACAAGAGTTTAACAGAAGTGACAGGAGACTGCAAAAACTAGAAAGGAAAAGAAAAACAGCCAGCCTGTGTGACCAAGACCAGCTGGAAATCAGGAGTGACTCTATAATACAGGAGAAAGTAAGCAATGGCTTTTCTGTGGTCCATTTTCTCACTGGGGAATCATACAATCTAGATCTTGGGAGAGCATTTTGACCCTCTCAATCCCTGAATCTAGCATAGGGAGCAGTCAGGGGACTGAGACAAGGAACTGCTCAAGGGAGGGAAAATGCTTTTAGTTCCACACCCTTCCTGAAGCCTAAGCAGCTATAGCAAGATGCCATTGTTAATCCTAGCTCTTAATAGAGTGTTCATGGTCCTTGTTACCAGGGTTGCCAATCCCAGGCATTAAGGAAACTCAAGCTGCTGCTCACGGAACTGGGGCATGAGCAGGGAGAGGGCTAACACAACCAAGACTGAGAAACAAGCATGGCATGGAGTGCATCCAATGGCATTGAAAGTAGGCATTACCCCCAGGACTTGAGCAGGGTGACAGTTGTCAC
This sequence comes from Homo sapiens, assembly GCF_000001405.40. Taxonomy (NCBI): domain Eukaryota; kingdom Metazoa; phylum Chordata; class Mammalia; order Primates; family Hominidae; genus Homo; species Homo sapiens. The sequence goes on along the minus strand of NC_000010.11, from coordinate 37,385,938 downwards.
AGTGGCTTGGTCTTGAGCTGGGGAGGGGCTACTATGACCCAGGGTTGAACTAAAGAACAGTATAAATTTCTCATGTTTGGCAGAATAGTCAAGTTGTCTGTGACAGGTGAAAGGAGGGAGCAAGCCCCAGTGGGGCTGGGCATGAGAGGGATAAAAGTTCCCCATCCACCAGTCAAAGCTGTGGATGCGGAGACCACCATCACCCTCCCTGTGGCAGGACCTCAGGGCAGTGACAGTTGCCCCTCACCCAAGCATTTCACCAGCCCTGGGAGGATTGCCTAACTCCTACCAATTACATCTGTGCAGACACTCACCACTGGGGGAAGCTGAGGGCAATTTAGCTCCACCCAGTATCATCATTTCCTTGAGATAAAATGCAAGATCCAGGGTCGTGGGGAGGTTCCCCAACCTAATCTACCAACTGGGACAACCAAGTCTGTCTTTTGGGGGTATTGAGGTTGGGTGTAAACACCCTACTGCTACCACCTTATATTGCTTTTACCTGCAAGTTCCAACAACTGGCCTAGAGACTGGCCTACACAGCCCATTGCAACCATTGCCAACACAATTGGGACTCAGAAGACTACTTGAGACTTGGAAGAGCATTTCATCACCACTGCTACCTCCATTGCCCATGCCACTATGGCTGTCTAGAAGTTTGAGAGTCCATTCACCCTCCCAGTACACTACAACTACAACTGGCATCTGAGTAAGCTACCCTGCTGGTGGCCTGCCTGGAGTCACCAACACAAGTGCCAGCATATGTCACCCTAGGGCAAAAGGATAGATAAGCTTAGTTCACCGGCGCTACCACTGAAACCCAGAAATGGGACCATACAGCATTTCAGTGTAGCCAGCACAACTTCACTGTAGTCTCTAGCAATAACCACACTGTAACACACTGAGGAAACCACAGATGCCACTAATGATATTCACAGCCAAAGAAATCACACAGACTTCACGATTGAATGCAAAGCCAACAAACCCCACCCAACGAACATTATAGTCACATCTTCAGGAAAAAAATCCTCACCCTTAAAGAAAGTAAATTCAAAAATAAAAAGTGACTTTCATATCAGATGCACAGAAATCAATGTACAGACACAAGAAACATAAGAAAGCAAGGAAATATGACATCCCTAAAGGAACATAATATGTCCTTAACAGAAGATCTTAACCAAAAATAAATCCTCAAAATATCAGAGAAAAAATCCAAAGTATTGATATAAAGTCAACAGGTTCACAAAACTTCTTACAACCACATAATGTGTCATATTTTCTCCAGCTCTAATAACATCTTCCTCATTGTTCTCCAACCTTTCACCATCGGTCTTTTCATGGCTCTTTCAGCTTCTGCCTACTACCCAGTACCAATGTCAATGCCACATATTTTTGCTGCAAAAGCACTCTCAACTTCCTTGTGCCAAATTCATTTCTTGTTATCTACTGCTGCATAATAAACTTCCTCAAAACTTTCTAATGGCTTTAAACAACAGGTTTTTAAATATATCTCACAATTCCAGAGGTCAGAAACTCAAACAGGGCTCAATTGGGGTAATAGATATATTTTTTCCACGTGATAGTAACAAAGCTTATCCTGTGGTATTTAGATGGTATCTGGGCTGGTCTGGGCTAGTCAATCACATATCTGGCACTTTGATGGAGAAGGCTGGGCTCAGCTGGGAGCTTCAACTGGAGTATCTACACATGGCCTCTCTAGCATCACAGTCTCAAGGTAGCCAGACTTCTTATGTGGCAGCTCAGGGCTTTCAGAGAGTGTTCCCAGACAGCTGTGCCAAAAACACAATGCCTGTTTTTTTTTTCTTTTTTTTGAGATGGAGTCTTGCTCTGTCACCCAGGCTGGAGTGCAGTGGTGCAATCTGGGCTAACTGCAAGCTCTGCCTCCCAGGTTCACACTATTCTCTTGCCTCAGCCTCCCAAGTAGCTGGGACTACAGGCACCCACCACCACGCCTAGCTAATTTTTTTTTGTTTTGTATTTTTAGTAGAGACGGGGTTTCACCATGTTAACCAGGATGGTCTCCATCTCCTGACCTCATGATCCGCCCGCCTCAGCCTCCCAAAGTGCTGGGATTACAGGCATAAGCCACCTCGTCTGGCCAGATGCAATGCCTAAGACTTATGTTCAGAAGTCCCAGTATGTGCTATATCCTAATGGTCAAACGATACACCAAGGCCACCCCAGACTCAGTGGGAAGAGAATTATAATGCATCTCTTACTGAGAGAAACAGAAAAGAGTTTGTGGCCCTATTTTAACATCTTGATGTATAATTGCCATACAATAAACTGCACATGTTTATAGTATAAAATTTGGTTAAGATTTGACATATGTATACCCATAAAACCAACACCACTATCATGATAATAAACATATTCATCATCCCCTAAAAAATACAAAACATTAATTTTAAAGAAGCTTAGTGAGATGCAGAAGAAATCTGAAAACCAATAAAAGAAAGTCAGAAAATCAATTCAAGGTACAAATGAGAAAGGAAATAGATATCTTAAAAAAGAAAAGAAAAGAAAAAACAGAAATTCTGAAAGAAAAAAAAATATTGGAGGAAATACAAAATGCATTTAAAACCTTCAAAAATAGGCTATACCAAGGAAAAGAAAAAATTCTACAACTTTGAAATAATCCAGACAAAATTTTGCAAAATAAATGTTTAAAAGTAAGTGAAACTCTTTGAGACATTTGGGACTACATAAGGCAAACCAATTTATGAATTATCAGTATTCTCAAGGGTTAAGAGAATTCAAAAGGCCTAAAGAACCTATTTAATAAAATAAAAGATAAAATCTTTCCACATTCAGCAAGAGATTTAGACATTCAGATATGGAAGGCTCAGTGATCCCTAACAAATGAACGCAGAAAGGATTTCACCATAGCACATTATAATCTGACTGTCTAAAATCAATATGAAAGTGAAGATTATAAAATCAGAAAGAAAAGTGCACCTAGTCACCTATGAAGGAGACCCCATCAGACTAACAGTGGGCTTCTCAGCAGAAACCTGTCTCAGCAGAAAAGAATGGGATAGTATTTTCAAAATACTGAAAGAAAAAAATGTCAGCTAAGAATTCTACATTCAGCAAGCCTAAACTTCATAAATAAAGTCGAAATAAAGTATTTTCCAGACAAGCAAATCCTGAAGAAATATGTCACCACTAGACTGGCCCTACAAGAATTGCTCAACTGAGTCCTAAACATGGAAGCAAAAGGACAACTTTTACAACCAGGAAAACACAGGAAAGTATAAAACTCATTTGGTAAACCCACAAGCTTTGTAGCATGTGGAAAATCATTATTGAGATACGTGACCAGAGATTTCATCCCCTCTCCTGGGTCAGTGTAATCAGGCAGTTTCTCATCTTAGCCACAGCTTCCCTTTCTGGGCCCTTTTCCAGAACTCCATGGTCCGTGTGAACCTTTTACTCTTTTACTTCTTTCCAAATCTTCTCTGAGAAGCGTCTCTTATGTTTATCTTATACCCACTGGGGTGACTTCAGTCAAAGGGTCCCCACTCTGGGGTCCCTGGGAGCCTACTTCTTACTGACCATGAAATTCTCAAAGAGGAACTGCCCTGAGGAGGTGCCTCCTTGGGAGTGACACAGGAAGCGCCCTGCACTCATGTTTCTTCCCAAAGGGGGACCTATTTTCAGCTCAAATCCTAATCAGAAAGTGACTCTTCTCACCAAAAGAAGTGGCAGAAAAATCTTCCCTTTGCCCCGTGCTAAGAGTGGGCAGAAAGCTCAGATTAAGAAAAACAAACAAACAAACAAAAAAAAAAAACAAGCAGAACAACACCCTCCATTGTTTAACAAATAGAGCCAGCAGCCAGTATTTGGCAGAACTTATTGGAGGGAATAAAAGCCTCCAAAAAATATCAATGGATAATGATTATTCTTAAAGTGCCCTTTGAGCAGTTGCATTAGTAGACGTGGAAAATAGTCTGTAAATAGTAACAAGGGTCCTGATGCAAGGAAGTGACTGTAACAGGGACAAAGTGTTGAACTCCTTCGCCCCTGGGCTTCTAAGGGTGGAGTATTTCTGATTGCTGTGTCAGATCTTGGGCTCTTTCTTGGGGAGAATTCAGGTAAGGGATGCAATGGAGAGAATGCTAAAGAGGTTGGAGAGGTTTTTCTCTACGTAATAAAGAGCTAAGAAAGAGGAAAGGCTGAAGTGAGGAGATGGAGAGACGGGAAAGAGAGAGAGGAGAGAGAAAAGCTGCCATGGAGGCTGAGGGAGTTTGCGGGGTGCAAGATATCTAGGAATAGATTATTTAGAAGAACAAGAAGGGATGAGGGGATTTTAAAGAGATTTTCTTTGAATTAAGAATGCACAGCCACCTTTTGCATTTCACCGAAAGACAAGTCACAAATGGAAACATGTTTAATCATTGTTTGCTTGCCAGACGTCATTTCTTTGCTGCTAAAACCACAAAGCACCTCCTGATCCACCTGGATTAGACAGCCAACCTTACATGGGATGGCATGGGGTACACCCAAGGACATACAGGGCCCAGAAGAAGAACTCAAACTAAGTTGACACAGAGACTCTCTCAGCAGCTGCACTTTTTTTTTTTTTTTTGAGACAGTCTCACTCCTCACTCTGTACCCTAGGCTGGAGTGCAGTGGTGCAGTCTCAACTGACTGCAACCTCTGCCTCCCGGGTTCAAGCAATTCTCCTGCCTCAGCCTCCTGAGTAGCTGGGACCACCACACCTGGCCAATTTTTGTATTTTTAGTAGAGACGGGGTTTCACCATGTTGGTCAGGCTGGTCTCGAACTCCTGACCTTGTGGTGATCTGCCCACCTCAGCCTCCCAAAGTGCTGGGATTACAGGCGTGAGCCACCGCACCAGGCCAGCAGCCACACTTTTAAGAGTTCTTATTCAATTCTTACTGAAGAGAAACTGCAAGGGCCTCACAGGGCCCGACTGAGCAGCGTTCAGGGTTTACAGTATAAATGCATGTCAATGTTAGTTATATAGGAACCTGCATGTATTTCCCATTCTAGGGTGTGGAGTGGGTGATTCTCAACAGATACTTCAGTTATCTCTAGAGTCCCTGGTAGGTATTGCTGAGGCTGAGCCCTGCTGCCCCTGGCTGGCCTGTGAGAGCCAGGTTTCATCAGCGGAGAGCAGGAAGCTCCATGAAGCACCCCTCAGAGAATGTGGGATTCAGGAGGCATGTTTCATGCAAGGCTTGCTATACATGACACTTACACTTGAGTCCCTACCTTAGAAAAAGAAAAACTCTGTTCCTAGTAAAGGAATGGCGGCAACATAGACCCCATGGGAGAAGGAGTCTTCTTTAGGCCACAGAGTAACTTGCTTTGATGCTGAAATCAGGCCTGGTTAAGGCTGGGCTGCCTATTTCTGCTACAGAGAAGGATGAGCCTGACCCTTTTCCTCTCTCCATGGAGACAGCCCTTCCCTAGGGTGGCTTCCTGGATCCTTCATAGAATCTCCTTTCCTCTACCACCATTTTTCAGCCCAGCTTATATACATTTCTATTCCTCTGCCCAGCACGTCGCTATGGACAGGACTCAGTGAGGAAAGCTAAACAGATTGAAAATGTAAACAAAACAAAACAAAACAGAAAAACCTACCTCACACATGCACACACCCCTGAGTAATCATGCTCTCTTTGTGTTCTCATGCATGGTGGTGCCCAAAAGGCCATAGAAATTTGACTGTTGAGGAAACTGAATCCAGGGAAGCTTAGTGACTCACTCAGAGTCACACAGCAGGCTGTGGCTGACTCAGAACTTGAGCCAGCATTCCAGACTCCTTGTCCACTGCTCTTCCTGCTCAGATCATGTATGGACACATGTAGTGGTGCAGGATATGCCTCATTTTATCATCCCAGAAGCTCCTCTTTTTGCAGCGAAATGGAACTCATTCCAAAACATAGGAAGACTGAGGATACTCCCTGAAGATGCCAAAACCTCACCTCCTTCTGGTTGCACTATGGAGCTGGACAGTGAGGGTTCCTAGTGGCAGGACAGTTTAAAGTCAGGCAGCGACGCCATTGGCACCAGTTGTGTGGTCTGTACAAAAGGGACTGGAAGGAAATGGAATAAGTCTCAGTGCTTTCATCTGCATGATGGGCATATTAACAGGCTCTATCACACAGGTCTATGGAAAGGATTGAGATATAAAAAGATCATACATTTATTTTTCTTAATTTTCCAATGTTTTATTTTTAGTTTATATGTATACATAGTAAGTGTATATATTTTTGGGGAGAAGATCATGCATTTCCTAGGACAGGACTAATACATTTAGCTGTGGCTATTATCAAAGAGCACCAAGACCTTAGGTGGGGCAACCAGACTGGCTATGGGGCTTGATGTAAGCCAGACCCATGACCCATAAACTATTTCAGGTAGGAAGTAAGCAATACTATAACTTGGACTCGAGGGGGAGCAAAAGGGCACCCCTCAATGGTGATGGCTGCCCACTTGGTCTCAACACTGTAAAACTTGGGACTTGCTGCCAAGCTCCACCAGGCAGGGGGCAGAGGACACTGAGTCTCCTCCAACTGAGTCAGGAGTGGCTCAGGAGCTGACACTGGCCTAAGCTTGCAGCAAAGGGCCCCTACGTACCAGGCTAGGCAGCTCTGGAGAAAGCAGAAGTGGATAAATAAGGTGTGGACTCACCAAAGACAGTTCCAAAGTCAATTTCACTCTGACACACTCTCTGTGATCTTCCACAGTCAGCACAATGCCTGCCCCCTGTGGGTGTTGTATAAATATTTGTTGAATGAATGAATCAATCATTCAACAGACCAAGGCCAAATCAGAACCCCAAACCCTAAGGTCTTTATACTCTCACTGTCCATCCATCGATCTTCCTGTCAGAAATCAGAATATACCTTTGCAATACCCTTTGCTAGCCTTTCAGTTATCTTTTGAATAGAGGCTCTGAGCCTTGAAAATATTGCCTGGGAAATATTAACACCCATTTGAGTATCTCCCAAACACCTCAATTAACTATATGGTGCTGTCTGGCCAGGACCTTATTTCAGTATAATGTGAACCTGAGACAGCAGCACGTCCTAGTCGCATCCTTGAAATGCCTAACACCTTCATTCATGCTTGGCCCTGGATTGCGGGGAGATCTGCAAACCTCATCAGAGCGTGGCTTCCCAAGGGCCAGGTCACAGGGCACTTTGCAGCCTGAATTCATCCAGGACTGCCTCTGGCTGAGCACACTAATTTGTTGACCAGGTTGGGTGCCCTTGGCAGCTCCAACCACCACGTAGATACTCCAGTCAGCTTTTCTACCTCAAAGAATGGAGGTTTTCAAACTCTGTTGGCCATGATCCACAGTAGGAAATACATATTGCAGTGACCCAGTGCATATATGCATACAATGTATTTTATCATTCTCACATACACATTTTCCCCCCACATTTGAACATCTCTGAAATTTGGATATGTTTTACAAATTATGACATCTTGCCATTAATTGGCAGCATTTTTTTCTTTCTGGGTGATACATAAAGTTTTGCATTTTCCAATAAATGATGACTGTGATTCAGTGAAATATGGCATATGTGTAATTAAAAACCACTTTTTATAAAAACTATCTTTGCTGCATGTTGCTCTATGACATTTTCTGTGTGTTATTTTATTTCTTTTCCTTTTAATGCTGTTCACTGCTACCCATTTAGTCAACTTGGACCACCCTCTAGAGGGGCTTCAACTGTTATTTTCAATACATTGTCACAGGGACAGAGGAGGGTGTTAGGGAACTCTGTGACTAAAGAGTTTTCCATAAATGGGTGGACCTCAGTTTACAAGCATTAAGTTATTGGGCCAGGAGGGGGAACAGATCATGATTAGGAGAGTGGAAAAGAAAGATGACAAATCACTTTAAGTCAGACAAACCTCTTTCTGTACTAGCTCCCTTACTTACTAATCATAGAACTGTGGATATATTTTTAAAAATTATTAGTGTCTTTAGTTTTCTCACTTGTAAAACACTGAACAGAGCTCCTGTCATTCAGAGCTGTTGTCAACATGACAGTTAAGAGTGTAAAGCACTGACCTGGGGCCTGCATGTAGTAGGCACTCAATAAATCGTGGCAATCATGACATTGGTGATGATGACACTCAGTAACTAGTAGGTGTTATTATTAAAAGTCACAAAAACAGCTAGTACGCAACATGACATTGGCTGGTGTAAAGATCTTACAATTATTTTTAAAGTTTCATTGTATTCATTTGATTATATAGTTTCTTGCCATCACAACAAACACTCCTATTCATGTCTAATTCGATACCTGGTGAGTCCACATAAGCATTTGGGTCCCCACTGATGAGAGCACCATGGCCAGGTCACCCACTTGATCAGGTTCTCTTGCTTTTTGTTGTGCATCTCATCTTATTGTAGGCATTCAAACTGTGGGCTCAGGCAAGCCTTTCCAGTGTGATCATATTAATTTTATATTTTATGTGTTAACATGTGCCTCCAATAACTTGCTTTCCTTGCTCACCATGGTGATGCATTTTTCCTACTTTATGTCCTCGCTCATTGATTATGATGAGCTGCTGACTATTTGAACCTGGTACTTTTACTTGATCACCTCTACGCAGTTTCACTCCCATTCATTTCCAGTTTCTCTTTTATCAGTGTTCTCTCTCAGTCCTTATAGGCCTAGATGTTCATTGTGGTTTCAGCATCTATTTGATCTCCCCTCTCGTGTTTCATTAGCATTTCTTCAATAGTTTCTCAGGGTTATTTCTCATGATTCAGCCATTGTATACTTCTTAAAACTTTTAAGCCTTTGAATAACTGGAGGAATGTCTCACAGAGTCATAACATTTTTTGGTTATATGAATTAACCCTCAAAAATGTATTCAATTATCAGAAATACTTTAATGCATTATATTGGGTTTAAAATGATTAAGGTATGTTTATTATTATGTAATGAAGAAATTCTAAGCTTAATTTCAAAAATGGTAAGTAAGTGTTTAGAGATGCATACAATTCTAGTAAATAGATAATTTCTACCTGTCTCCTGTCATTATCAACGTTTGTAAACTAACGGGCATGGTTTTCTTTTGAATACCAGATGTTTGTGTGTTCATTAGCTCGACTGAATGTGTGAAACATTCGTTGACTTCTTTAGCTCAGTATGTAGAAAGGTAGGTGGGTATATAAGAAAGGAGGAAGAACTGTAGGAAGATATATACGTTGGTATATAGACAGGTAATAAGGATAATTATCATCATTATTATTTTCCTTGGTTTTTTCAGGATTAGCCATGTGAAATACTATTATAATTTGTTGCGTGTGTTACAGGTCTCTTAGTTTGCAAAAAGCATTCACCCTCCTGATCTCCTAACTACTCAATAATAGAAGCTAAGTAAATATTCCCATTTAACAGAAGTGGACATAGAAGTCCAGAGAGGTGAGCTCCATGAGCAACACATTAGATGCAGTAATGTAATGCCATGAAGAAATGGCAAATCTGGAGCTGAATCCCTGGGATCCTAATTCAGTGCTCCTTCTACAATACTAGGTAGGCAGAGATGACAAGAAAAAATGCTGGAAGAAGCAATGGGTACTCCTCTCCCTAGTGCTTCTGTGAAGGGCTTTGGTTCCATTTAAAAAGTAGAATACTCTAAAAGTGGTCACAGTCCTTGGCTCAAGAATTTTGGCTATTTCATAAAGCAACATTAAAACAAAATGGCCCCAGGTCATAAAGATTGCATTGTACTGAGAAATGACCTTGTACAGTGGTCAACCTCAGTCCCAGACAAGCTTGCAAAGCAGAAAATCTTATTTTCCACTTTTCCTGACCAGCTTTTCTGGAGCCCTGAGCTCTGTTTCTTGTGAATGGGGACACTGAGCTAAGAACTGAGATTTCCTGATGCCTAGATATGATATTTACTCATTACCCATATATTTTTCACCTGATATCTGACCTTTGCAGGCCAAAGGGCCAGTTTCTGTTGAGTTCTGATAAAGTCAGTCCACAAATGTTATTTGCTGCTCATCTCATCTGTGACCATCTTCTGCTGGGCATTGGTGCCATCTTATTCTAATCTCTGATTGTTGAAATACAGCTCAGTCCTTGCAGGGATAGGGTCTAGTACATGCCAGAACTTCTTAACATGTAATTTTAATTTTCACAACAAACTTATGAGGTTGGTGCTATCATTTCACTTTACAGACATGAAGATTGAGGCTTAAAAAGGCTAAGCAAACTCACCAGTGGTGAACAGCTACTGCACAGTAGAGCTAGGATCCAAACCCACACCTGTCTGATGTCAAAGTATTAAATTTTACACTCTGTCATTGGCACCTGAATACTTTGTTTTCAAACCCCCAGCTCACCAGCGGTTTGGACCCCAAATTTGAAAGAAACACTATCACCCAACTCAATTCTTCTGACCATGAACAAACATCCCAAGCGGTATGAGAAATTTTAGCAGCCATGGTGCAGAGCTCTCTGAAGCCTGATATAGATTAGGAACAGAGAGAAGATTAGAGGTGTGTATATTATGGATTGTGGGCATAAGACTTGGATAAGGAAAAGATTGCATTGTATTGAGAAATGGCCTTATTTGAAGTAAGGAAGAGACACTCCGTTGATTGGCCACATCCCAAGATGCTAGCATGGCAGTGAAGGTGGGCTTGGAAGGGGAAAAGGAGGAACCTACAGCCCTATTTCTGCCCTGGGTGGTATAAGAGAGTTGAAGGAATTAGGGGAAGAGGAGTGTGCTCCTGGGGGTCACCTCTCTTGAAGGGAGAAGAGAGGCTTCGAGACGGAGTCCCCTTCTACTTGTGTATTTTGTATGGAACAGACATCTCCACACCTTAGTTTCTTTGAATTCCAGGTATTGGAAACAGAAATAGCAAAAACATGTATGCTTTACTACTTCAGATCTACTGAAAATCAGGTTTCTTGACAAGCTAGGATGGGGCTGTCAGTGAGGGGTCGTTCCTGTAATATCAACTTCTGGGTGCAGAGTAGCTACAGAGGGACACAAGGGGCAAAGAGAAAGAGTCTGTGCATTCTTGTAATCATCAACCAATAGTGGAAATGGCAGAGTGACAGAGTAAAGTAGGGAGGAAGAGGGGAGAAGTGGTCGGCAGACACAGTGCTGGGGGAGCAGACAGTGAATGGCGCAGTGGGGGAGCAGACAGTGAATGGCTGGGGGAGAGCGGTGGGGGAGTCTGAGAAGGCTCCTTGTGAACATATTTTGAGCCTTGGAAGATGAGGTAGGTGGGACGCACAGGAAGGAGAGGAACAGCATTCCCACCAGGGAACCTTGTTTGGAGAAGGTACTGAAGTTGATGCCCACAGTCCCTGTGCTGTTTCTTGGCCAGTGTAGGGGACTGTCTTGAATGGCATATGAAAATGAAGTGAAAGATGTCATGGAAAGCACGTGCCTGGGGTGGCTATAACACCTTGCTGCCCTGTTTGCCAATCTGTTAAATGGGAGAAATAATCCGTTTTACAGAAATGTCAGGAGGATTAAAAGTGGTGGTGTATGTCAAGGATCCAGCCCACTGCTTGGCATAAAATAGATGCCCTGTGAACAGCCACTTCTTACTCATTAAAAAGGGAAGATGATGGGTCCTTGGGGCTTCTTTCATATACATTTAAATGGGCGTTCAAAAGGATCTTGGAGCCCCTCTTGGAAACAATAGAATGCTTCCATTGCACTGCACCCCAGGAGGCTGGAGAGAACTCTACTGGGCACCCTATAGGGAACCAACTTCTATTCTTCCTGCTGTAGCTTGCAGTAGGGAGGTCTGGGACCTGATGATTAGGGGCAGACCAGCAGGGGCTGAGGCCCCAAGTCACCCATGCTGATGGACTCTGCCCTGCTGCGTGTGCGTATTCACGCATGAGTGTGTGTGCCTGTGCACATGTGTGTATCTGTGCTCAGGTGTATAAGCAATCATACAAAGGAGGAAGAGAAATGAATCAAAGGACTCTACTACAGAATTCCACCAAGCCACCATGACAATCAAAGAAAAGGAAAAATTTAAAGAATTTATAAAATAACTAGAAAACAATTCATAACATAACAGGAACAAAACCTTACATATCAATGTAAACCTTGATTGTAAATGGATTAAATGTTCATTTAAAATATATAGACTGGCTTAATAAATTTTAAAACATTTTCCAGCTATATGCTGTTTACAAGAAACTCATGTTGCCTGTAAAGGAGTAGAAAAAGATATTCCATGCAAATAGAAACCAAACTCAAAAAGTAGAAGCTATACTTATATCAGGTAAATCAGACTTTAAGTCAAAAACAGTTAAAAAAGGGCTAAAGGGTTACTATATAATAATAAAGGGGTCAGTTCATCAAGAAGCTATGATAATTATAAATATATATTTATAAAATGCTGCATCACCTAGAATTATAAAAGCAATATTTAGTCAGAAACAGAGAGATAAGCAGCAATACAATAATGCTAGGGAAATTCAATATGCCATTCAGAGCATTAGACAAATTATCTAGACAGAAAATAAACAAACAAATATTGGACTAAAATTTGACTTTAGACCAAATGACTTAACAAACATTTATAGAACATTCTACTCAACAACTGCAGAATATACATTCTTCTCATCAGCACATGAATTATTATCCAAATTAGACCACATTTTAGGCCACAAAATAAGTCTCAACAAATTTTAAAATACTGAAATTAGATTAGGTATCTTCTCAGACCACAGTGGAGTAAAACTAGAAATCAATACCAAGGGAAACTCTGGAAACTATACAAATAAATGATATTTAAATAACATGAATGACCATGAAGTCAACAAAGAAATTAAGATGAAAATTATTTATAAAATGAATTCTAAACTTGGAAGCCAAAAGATAACCATGAAAACACATAGAAGTAAAAAACCCATTGGTAAAGCAGATACACAAATGAGGAAGAGCAAGGACTTATGGTAACATAACAAAACACTAACAAAGAACAATGTCAAAATAAGAGAAAAAGTAAGAAACAAAGAATATATAAAATAATTAATATAACAGAAACAATACCTTAGATATCAAAGACAACCCTGAATGTAAATGAATTAAATTATTCACTTAAAATAATAGACTGTGTGAATGAATTTAGAAAACATGGTCTGACTACAGGCTGCCTACAAGAAATGCACTTCACCTATTAAGACACATATAGACAAGAAAGTAAAAGCATGAAAAAAGATATTTCATGCAATGAGAAACTAAACATAAGCAGAAGTAGCTATACTTATATCACATAAACCAGAATTTAAATTAGAAAAAGAAACTCATTAAATAATAATAAAGTGACCAATCCAGCAACAGAATATAACAATTCTAAATATATATATTAACCAAACACCAGAATACCCAGATTCATAAAGCATATATTACTACAGCTAAAGAGAGGGATAGACTATAGACTGCAATGTAACAATTGTGGGAGACTTCAATACCCCACCTCAGCATGAAAAAGATTATTGAAACAGTAAATCAAAAAACAAACACTGGATTTAAACTGGAATTTAGGCCAAATGATTTTAATAGACATTTACAAAACATTTTATCCAACAACAGCAGAATAAGCATTCTTTATATTAGCACATTCTCCATAACAGACTACAAATGTCAACATTTAAAAAAATAGGCTACAGATGGGCCGGGCGTGGTGGGTCACACCTGTAATCCCAGCACTTTGGGAGGCCGAGGTGGGTGGATCACAAGGTCAGGAGATCGAGACCATCCTGGCTAACACTGTGAAACCCAATCTCTTTAAAAATACAAAAAATTAGCCGGACATGGTAGCATGTGCCTGTAGTCCCAGCTACTCAGGAGGCTGAGGCAGGAGAATCACTTGAACCCAGGCGGCGGAGGTTGCAGTGAGCTGAGATTATGCCACTGCACTCCAGCCTAGGTGACAACACAAGACTCCATTTCAAAAAAAAAAAAAAAGGCTACAAATGACAACAACAAAAAATTAAAAAAACTGTAGCAAATATCTCAAGCCACCCTAAAATACAACTAAAAATCAACACCAAGAGACACTTTGGAAACTATATGAATACATGAAAATTAAATAACACCATCCCAAATGACCATTGGGTCAATTAACAGTTAAGATTGACATTTTTTAAAGTATTGAAAGAAATAAAAAAGAAAACACAACATATCAAAATCTATAGTATACAGCAAAAGCATTAAGAACAGATAGGCTATAGCAATAGACATCTAGATCAGAAAGCAGAAAGATTTCAAATCAACAATCTAACAATGCACCTCAAGGAAGTGAAAAAATGTGAACACACCAAACCCAAAATTTGCAGAATGGAAGAAATAATAGAGATTCGAGAAGAACTAAAGAGAGACTAAAGAAAGAAATACAAGGGATCAATGAAATGATAAGTATATTATTCAAAAATATAACCAATATTGATAAACTGCCAGCTTGACTGACCAAGAAAAGAGATAAGAACCAAATCAGCAAAATAAAAAAATAGAAATTACAATTGATATCACAGAAATACCAAAGATAATCAGAGAATATTATAAATGTTAACAAAGGGGAAAATCTAGAGGAAATGATTGAATTTCCATAAACACACAACCTATCCAGATTGAATCAGAAGTAGAAAAACTGAACTAATCAATGAGTAATGAGATTGAGTCAGTAATAAAATGTCTCCCAGCAAAAAAAGAGACAAGATCAGATCTATTAACTGCTGAATTCTTCCAAGTTTATAAAAAAAGAATGAACACCAATCCTCCTCAAACTATTTCAAAAACACATAAGAGAAAGGAACGCTTTACTCATTCTGAGAGGCCCTAAAACCAAACCAGACAAGGATCCAAAAACAACAACAAAAACTACAGGCCAGTATCTGTAATAAACATTGATGCAACAATCCTTAATAAAATGCTAACAAACCAAATACAACAGCACATCAAAAGGTAATACACCACAATCAAGTGAAATTTGTACCAAAAATGCAAGGATGGTCACCTACACATATCAATACACTAAATAAATTGCCTCAGTAGAATGAAGGACAAAACCCATATAACCAGGTCAATAGATGTAGAAGAAGCAATTGAAAACATTCAACATCTGTTCATATTAAACCCCCCCCCCCAACAAACTAGGCATAGAAAGAGCATTCTGCAAAATTATAAAGGTCATATGTGACAAACCCAAAGCTAACAATATACTGAACAGACAAAAGCTGAAAGCTTTTTCTCTAGGACCTAGAACTAAACAGGAATATTCACTTTCACAAATCTTATTGAACATGAAAGTCCTAATCAGTAATCTGGCAAGAGAAAAAAATAACAGACATCCACATTGACTTGCAAAAGGAAGTCAAATTGTCCACTTTGCAGATGACATAATTTTGTATATAGAAAAACCTGAAAAGACTCCAACAAAAGACTATAAGAACTCATAAACAAGGCCAGGCACTGTGGCTCACACCTGTATTCCCAGCACTTTGGGGTGCTGAGGCAGGTGGATCACCTGAGGCCAGGAGTTTGAGAACAGCCTGGCCAACATGGTGAGACCTTGTGTCTACTAAAAATACAAAAATTAGCCCGGCATGGTGGCACGTGCCTGTAGTCCCAGCTAGTTGGGAGGTTGAGGCAGGAGAATCGCTTGAACCCAGGAGACAGAGGTTGCAATGAGCTGAGATCATGCCATTGCACTCCAGCCTGGGCAAAAGAGCAAGACTCCATCTAAAACAACAACAACAACAACAAAAAAAAAAAAAAAAGAGAGAAAATCAATGAAAAAAATAGAAAAGAAAATAATAGAACTCATAAACAAATTCAGCAACTTTGGAGAATACAAAATCAACATACAAAAATCAGTAGTGCTTCTCTACATTGATAATAAATAGTCAAAAAATGAAGCAAGAAGGCAATCCTGTTTACGATAGCTATATAAATTACCCAGGAGTAAATTCAATCAAAGACATGAAAAATCTTTACAAAGAAAACTACGGAATACTGATGAAAGAAATTGAAGAGGACACAAACAAATGTAAAGAAATCTCATGCTCATGGATAGAAAGAATTATTATCATTAAAATGACTACATTGTCCAAAGAAATCTAGAGTCAATGCAATTGCTATCAAAATAACATCGTTTTTATAGAAATAAAAAAACAGATCTAACATTTGTATGAAAACAAAAAAAGAACCATAATAGTGAAAGTAATAAAAAACCAATGGGACAAAATAGAGAACCCAGCAATACACTTATGTTTGTATAGCCTATTGATTTTCAACAAAAGAAGCTAGAACGTGTACTGAGGAAAATATACCCTCTTCAATAAATGGTGCCGGGAAAATTGAATATCCATATGCCAAAGAATGAAACTATATCTCTCACCATACATAAAAGCTAACCCAAGGTGGATTAATGACTTAAACATAAGACCTAAAAGTATAAAACTACCAGAAGAAAACATTTTAAAAAAATGAGAACTTTGGTCTCGGCAAAGATTTTATGGCTAAGACCACAGCCACAGCCAACTAAAAGCAAAATAGACAAAATGAAACTATAATAAATGAAAACGCTTCTGCACAGCAAAAGAAACAATCAAAACAGTGAAGAGACAAACTGTTGCATAGGAGAATATATTGCAAAGTATTCAACTGACAACCAATATTTAGAATATATAAGGAACTCAAATATCTCAACAATAAAAAAAAGATCTCATTAAAAGGGGGTCAAAGGACATTAATGGATATTTCTCAAATGATGACACATTAATGGAAAACAGGTCCAATTAAAAATGCTTAACATCCTCTGGGAAATCCAAATCAAAAGCACAATGAGACATCATCTTACCCCATTAGAATGACTAAGATTAAAAAGACAAAAAATAATACATGCTGTTGAGAATATGAAGAAAAATAATACTTATACACTCTTGGTGGGAATGTAAATTATTAAAACCACTATAGAAAACAGTATAGGTACTTCTCCAAAAAGTAAAAATAGAACTTTCAGATCATTTAGGAAACCCACTACTGGCTATTTACACAAAGGAAACTAAATCAGTATATCAAAGGGATACATGCACTCACATGTGTATCACAGCATTATTCAAAAAAGCAAAGACACGAAATCAACCAGTGTGTCTTCAATGAGCCATGGATACAGAAAATGTGGTTCAGGCACACAATGGAATAATACTATTTAGCCACAACAAATAATGAAATTATGTCATTTGCAGCAACATGGGTGCAACTGGAGGTGACTATGTTGAGTGAAATAAGCCAGGCACAGAAATTCAAATATCACATATTCTCAACTCATACATAAGAGCTAAAAATTTGATCTCATAGAGACAGAGGATAGAATGATAGATACCAGAAGTGTGGAAGGGTGGGAGGGAGAAATAAAGAGAGGCTGATGAATGGGTAAAAACACACTTACATGGAAAAAAGTAAGTTTTAATGCCCAGTAGAAGGCTAGGGTAACTTGTGTTGACAATATCTTGTATATTTCGAAGTAGCTGAAAGAGAGGTCTTGAAATGTTCTCATCACATAGAAATGATATATATTCAAAATGATATCCTATATACCTTGACTTGATCATTACACATTCTATGCATGTAACAAATACTTACATGTATCCCATGCATATGGAAAACATTATGTGTCAATAAAAGAAAAACAAAAAATACAAAGTTTAAATCTAAGCAATTTTAAATTAAATAGAGTAAAATATCCCATCACAAAAATTTTTATATTGTTAATTTGCTTTAATGCCCCATTCCGTGGCAACTAATGAATAAACACAAGATTCCGACCTTCTCTATCATTGGCTTTTTCTTTCTAGACCGTGGGATACATTTATATATGATGAATGCATTCATTACTAAGAAAGAGCGAAAGAAAATTTAAGTTTCTTGAAATTCAGTCATCTCAAATGACTATCTACCAATTAACCTACTAATTTCAGAATCCGCCCCATGAATGTTTTCCTAATAAAATTACTACCATAAAGCCAGCATATGAAGATGCATTTAAGCTAGACTTCTGTTGCCTTGTGAATCAATTTAAAAAAAAAAAAAAACACCTTCTTTAAAAAAAATCCGTGTCATAGTATTGACTTGTAGTACATTGGGCAGCAAGCCTCTATTGCTTGGTAATAATTTGAGCCACAATTTGAGGCTAAACATGCATTTATTTTTATAAAATAAAGATTATAATCTGTAATTTTATATTATACTTTAAAATTATCTGCTGTTATTGTGAAAATTTTACAATTATTTGAAATGAACTCAGTGACTGCATAATATTAAATCAAAAGAATGTCATAAATTTACCATTTTTCTACTGGACATTGAGTTTTCTGCCATTTAAATTTATATTTAATTGTGTGATGATTTCATAAAAATTTCTTGGCCTCACCAGATTGTAAAATTTGTGTTGTTTTTGGTCATTGCTACATTCTTATTTCAGAGCAGTACCTGCTAGGCCTGATGGATGATCTGATAGAAAACTGGCTTCAGCAAGGAGCTTCCACAGGTGACCTTGGTTCTGCAGTGATAACAGCTCCTATTGCATAGGGTAATAAAATTATTCAGAAAAAGCAGGGATACAACATCTACATTTTCCTTGCTTGAAATGGGTTGCCAAATTAGTACTAAGATTTATCTTTTTCTTCTCCAATTAATTTATAATCTATTCCACCTTTCTCTTTCCTGCCCTACCAATCACTGCTCTGTTTGAGGACAGTTGCAGAAAATTTTCTACCAGTATGTTTGCTACAATTTTATTCTACAATTCTGTGAAAATGTGCAACCTTCCAACTCTCAATCAGCATCCCTTCCCTTTCGCAGTTCTTGTTCTGATTCTTTCAAGTTTTTTGAAAGTGTCAGAGAAGAAATAGTTGAACCAATATGTAAAATGACTTTCAATTTACCAACATAGGAAGAACACACATTTGTGACCCCAAAAATGGGTGAAGTTGGCCCTCCTCATCCATGGGTTCCACAACCCTGGATTCAAACAACTGTCAATCAAAAATGTTTTTATAAAAAGTATCTATAATAAACATGTACACATTTTTTTCTTGTCATTATTCCCTAATCAATACAATATAACAACTATTTAGATAGCATTTACATTGTATTAGGTACTATAAGTGATCTAGTGATTAAAGTATATGAGAGAATGTGTAGAGCATAGATTATATGTAAATACCATACCATTTTATATAAGGGACTTTTGCATGCATGGATTTTCATATCCGAAATGAGTCCTGGAATCAAGTTGCCAGGAATACTAAGGAACTACTCTATATAATAAAATGTGAACAAATAGCATTCAAAAAAACTCTAGCCATTTTCTACAATAATTTGTTAAAATGAATAACAGACTCAAGTCTTTCCCTGGCCCATATGGCTTGGGTGGCAGCCCCTGAGATGCAGCTTCCTTCTAGAAAGATGCACATTAAGATCACTGTGTGCAGTTGAGGGGTAGAGTCATATGATGGCTCCCAACTGAGAACAGAACACATTCTTTCTTTTTCACATTTCTACTGCCTGAGATTGTCATCTTGAGAGGCATACCATCTTGCCACAGGAAAGAGGTTCCTAGCAGGCTCTGTCAAACATCTGTTTTCATGTATTTACTATGTACCTACAGTTGCAGATCATGGAAAATTTGAGAATTTATCAAATTTTTTTTCCATTTTGAAAAGTTTCTCTTCTAGTTTGAGAAGACACAATGCTAATAGTAAAAATGAAAGAGGGGTTATCACTACTGATCTCACTAAGACTTAAAGCATGATAAAAGAATATTATGAACAACTTTATGCCCACAGATTTGACAATCTAAATAAAATAGCAAAACTCCTTAGAAGAAATAACCTATCAGAACTCAAGCAAAAAGAGATAATTTGAATAGCAATTATACTTATTAAAGAAATTTTGGCCGGGTGCAGTGGCTCACACCTGTAATCCCAGCACTTTGGGAGGCCAAGGCGGGCAGATCACGAGGTCAGGAGATCGAGACCATCCTGGCTAACACTGTGAAACTCCGTCTCTACTAAAAATACAAAAAAATTAGCCAGGCATGGTGGTGGGCGCCTGTGGTTCCAGCTACTCAGGAGGCTGAGGCAGGGGAATGGCACAAACCCAGGAGGCAGAGCTTGCAGTGAGTAGAGATCACGCCACTGCACTCCAGCCTTGGCGACAGAGCCAGACTCTGTCTCAGAAAAAGAAATCTTGAGTCAATAATCAATAACCTTACCAAATAGAAAGTACCAAGTCCAGACAAGATTACTAATAAATTCTACCAATCATTTAAGGAAGAAATTATAACAATTCTCTACAGTCTGCTCCAGAAAATAGAACCAGAGTGAATACTTCTAAACTCACACTATGAGGCCAATATCATCATGATACAAAATCTAGACCAAGACTTTACAAGAAAAACAGCCACAGAATAACTCACATAAACATAGATGTAAAAAGTTTCAATACAATATTAGAAAATGAAATTCAAAAATGTATAAAAAGAATTATACACCACAACCCAGTGAGAATTATCACATGCATTCAAGGTTGGTTCACCATTTGAAAATCAATTAATCGGCCTGGCGCAGTGGCTCACACCTGTAATCCCAACACTTTGGGAGGCCGAGGTGGGCAGATCACGAGGTCAAGAGATCAAGACCATCCTGGCTAACACAGTGAAACCCCATCTCTACTAAAAATACAAAAAAAAAAAAAAAATTAGCCAGGCATGGTGGCAGGCACCTGTAGTCCCTGCTACTTGGGAGGCTGAGGCAGGAGAATGGCATGAACCCAGGAAGCAGAGCTTGTAGTGAGCCAAGATCAGACCACTGCACTCCAGCCTGGGCAACAGAGCAAGACTCTGTCTCAAAAAACAAATTAATTAGTTCATTATATTAATAATCTAAAGAAAAATCACATAGCCACATCAATGTCAAAAAAGCATTTGACAAAATCCAAACCTGATTCATGATAAAAACTCTCCATAAACTAGGAATAAAGGGAAACTTTCTCAATTTGATAAAGAATATCAACAAAAAAACTTGCATCTAGTCTCCTACTGAATGCTGAAATACTAGATGCTTTCCTGCTAAGATCGAGAACAAGCCAAAGATGCCTCTTCTCACCATCCCCATACAAGCTTATACTATAAACTCTAGCTAATGGAATAAGAAGATTAAAAGTTCATAGACTGGGAGGGAAAAATGAAAATCTCCTTTTTCACAGACGACATGATTGCCATGACACAAAAATCCCACATGATGCAAAAATCCCAAAGCATAACAAAACAAAATAAACCTCTTAGAATAACCAATTATAATGAGCAATTATAGCAACTTTGATGGATACAAGATTATTATACAAATGTCAATTGCTTTTCTTTGTATCTATAATTAATAATTAGAACCTAAAATTAAAAACACAATGGCATTTACACTAGTAACAAACAAATAAAATAGGTACAAATCTAACAAAATAAGTATGAGATCTATATAAAAACTATAAAATTTTGATTAAAAATTAAATATCTACATTAATAGAGTGATCACTCACATTCATAAATAGATTCAACAGTGTTAGAATGTCTTTACTTCCATACTTCATGCATATTCAATACAACCCCAATCAAAATTCTATCAAGTTAGACTGTGAATACTGACAAACTAATTTTATAGTTATTATAGAAAAGCAAAAGATACAGAATAGCCAAAATATTGAAGAAGAACATGGTTGTGGTAACAATGCTACCCAGCTTTAAGAATTACTATTAAGCTACAGTAATCAAAACAGTGTGGTACTGAAGAAAGAATAGAGAAATAGATTAATGAAACAAAATAGCTCAGAAGTTGACCCAAAAAAATATATTCAACTTCTCTTTGATAAAAGAGCAAAGGTAAGTCAATTGAGAAAAGATAATTTTTTTCATTTTTTTTGAGATGGACTCTCACTCTATCACCCAGGCTGGAGTGCAGTGGCACCATCTCGGCTCACTGCAAGCTCCTCCTCCTGAGTTCACGCCATTCTCCTGCCTCAGCCTCAGCTCCTGTAGCTGGGACTACAGGAGCCCGCCACCATGCCTGACTAATTTTTTTTTTTTATTATTTTTAGTAGAGATGGGGTTTCACCGTATTAGCCAGGATAGTCTCCATCTCCTGGCCTCGTGATCTGCCCACCTCGGCCTCCCAAAGTGCTGGGATTACAGGTATGAGCCACCAGGCCCGGCCCCGAGAAAAGATAATTTTTCAACAAACGATACTG
This sequence comes from Homo sapiens, assembly GCF_000001405.40. Classification (NCBI taxonomy): domain Eukaryota; kingdom Metazoa; phylum Chordata; class Mammalia; order Primates; family Hominidae; genus Homo; species Homo sapiens. The sequence continues at coordinate 37,363,625 of NC_000010.11, read as the reverse complement.
GAAGAACTGGACATTCCCATGCAAAAAGAAGAAAAAAACCTGACACAGACCTTACAACTTTCACAAAAATTAACCCAAAGTAGATCATAGACCTATGTAAAATGCAAAACTACAAAACTCCTAGAAGATAACATAGGGAAGAATCTGAATTACATTGGGATTGGCTTCTTTAATATATCAAAATAATTATCCATGAAAGAAAAAATTATACATTGAACTATATGAAAAATAAAACTGCACTGCAAAAGACACTATTCAAATAGGACAATTCAGAGTGAGAGAAAATATTTGCAAAACACATATCTGATAAAGAACACAATTATATGGAGATTTCTCAGAATATTAAAAACAGAACTACCATATGACCCTGAAATACTCCCACTGAGTATATGGCCAAATAAATTGAAGAGATGTAATAAATGGATAAATGGATAAACAAAACGTGCTATATCTACACAGCAGAATACTATTCAGCTATAAAAAGAAATAAAATCTTGTCATTTGAGGCAACATAGATGAATCTGAGGGACATAGGATTAAATAAAATAAGCCAGAGGCAGAGAGAGAAATACCTTGATCTTACTTATATCTGAAATCTACAAAATCTACGAAAGTGAATTTCACAGAAGAGTAGATATGGCAGTTACCAGTGGTTGTGGGGAAGGGAGAAGATAAGAAGAGATTGGCCAATGGGTACAAAGTTATAGTTAGATAGGAAGAATAAGTTATTGTGTCTATTTCACATCAGGGTGACTCTAGGTAATAATAACATATTGTGTATTTCAAGTTACCTGGAAAAAAGAATCTTGAAAGTTACCACCAAAAAGAAATGATAAAGGTTTGAGGTGATGGATATGCTAACTACCCTGATTTTATTATTATGCAATTTACATATATTTTGAAACATCACACTGTATCTCAAAAACATGTGCAATTTTATGATTAAAAGTCAACTAAATGAATGAATTAGTGAATAAATAAATAAATAAATAAATAAATCTACCAATGACAAAAACAATCCCAAAATTATTGAGCCTGTGCTCTGTGTTCCTTGTGGCATACATTTTTCAGTCAGCCACTGCATTTTTAACTGTATTTTATCTTTGTTTTTGCCTTCATGTTTTCCTTGTTCAGAGCTTGAGGGTCAAAAAGACCTATATTAATGTTATGCTTACATGCTCACTCTCACCACTCCTACTCAACATAGTAATGGAAGTCCTAGCCAGAGCATTTAGGCAAGGGAGAGAAATTAAAGGCATCCAAATAGGAAGAAAGGAAGTCAAATTATCTCTGTTTGCTGATGATATGATTCTATACCTAGAAAACTCTAAGGATTCTTCCAAAAGACTCTTAGACATGATAAGTGACTTCAATAATGTGTCAAGATACAAAACGAATGTGAAATACTCAGTAGGTTTTATATACCCTAATAAAATAAAAGCTGATAAGCAAATCAAGGATGCAATCAAATTTAAAATAGCCACGTATGCAAATTTAAATACCTAAAAATATATCTAACCAAGGAGGTGAAAGATCTCTACAAGATAAACTAAAAAAAAAAAAACAGATGAAAGAAACTGCAGATGAAAGAGGGAAAACATTTCATGCTCATGAATTGGAAGAAATAATATTATTAAAATTTCCATACTACCCAAAGCAATCTGCAGACACAACACAATTCTGTCAAATTACCAATGCCATTTTCAGAAATTTTTTACAAAAGCAATCTTAATATTTATCTGGAATCAAAAAAGAGCCTGAATAGCCAAAGCAGTATTAAGCAAAAAGAACAAAGCCAGAGACATCATATTACCTGACTTCAAAATATATTACAAAGCCATATTAAACAAAATAGCATGGCGCTGGTAAAAACAATGGACACATATATCACTGGAACAGAATGGACAGCCCACAAATATATCCACACATCAGCAACCAACTGGTCTTTTCAACAGTCAAAAAATATACAATAGAGAAAAGACACCCTATTCAATAAATGGTTCTGGGATAACTGGCTAGCCATATGCAGAAAAATAAAACTGGACTCATACCTCTCACCATGTACAAAAAATAACACAACATTGATGATACTTAAATATAAGACCTCAGAAAACAAAAATCCTAGAAGATAACCTAGAAAAATTTCTTCTAGACATTGGCATAGGAAATGAGCTTATGACTAAGACTTCAAAAGCAAATCCAACAAAAACAAAAACTGGCAATTGGAATTCTGCACAGCAAGAGAAACAGTCAACAGGGTAAACACATAACCTGCAGAATGGGTGAAAATATTTACAAACTATGCATCCAACAAAGGACTAATATCTAGAATCTTTAAGGAACTTAAATCAACAGAATAACAAATAACTCCAGTAAAGTGGTCAAAGGACATAAATAAACACTTCTTAAAAAGAAGACATACAAGCAGCCAACAAACATAAAAAATGCTCAACATCGCTAATCAACAGAGAAATGTGAATTAAAGCAACAATGAGATACCATCTCACACCAGTCAGAATGACTATTATTAAAAAGTAAAAAAGTCCCAACCAAGCAAAAACAAAACAAAACAAAACAAAAAAAAAGGATATTGGCAGGGATGTGGAGAAAAGAGAACTCTAGCCAAAGGAAAAAATAATAATATATATATATATTCTAGCAAAAAGTCACCTGAACTTGTATGTTTATTTCAACACTATTAGCAATAGCAAGGACATGAAATAAATCTTCTTATTACAGTAGATCAGACAAAGAAGATATACATCACAGAAGACTATGTAGCCATGTAAAAGAATGAAGTTATATTATTTGCAGCACCATGGATGCAGCTGGAGGCCATTATTCTGAGTGAATTAATGCAGAAGCAGAAAATCAAATACCAAATGTTATCACTTATAAGTAGGAGCTAAACAATAAATATACACAGACATAATGATGGAAACAATAGACACTGGGAACTCTGAAAGGTCAAATGGAAAGACAAATTTACCATTATGTTGAAAAACTAGCTCTTAGGTACTATGTTCACTATTTGGGTAGAAGCCCAAACCTCAGCATGTTACCTTGCCTCTTCCCCTTCCTTTATTATTCCTTGAAAGGGATAAGAAATGTATTTGGTTTTCACAATTCATGACAGGCTTCTGAAAGTCAGAACAACCTTAACATCTGGTGACATGCTTGTATTTTAAAGAACTTTACTGGCATATATTTTATATGACATGGTAATCACATGTTTGAAGTGTAACTTTTCTAGCTTTTTAGTATGTTTAAAATTATGCAATCAGTTACAATATAACTTTAAAATATTTCCATCTTTTTAAAGAAAAATGAATTCTATTTTCATTCTCTTTCCTTTAGCATGACAGATTTAGACACAAATTAGTAAATTTTACATCTCTATATATGAGCCTATTATAAAGATTTATAATAAATGGAATAATAAATGATGTGGTCATTTGGGTCTTTTTTTTAAGTTAGCTTAATATTTTTGTTACATTCCTGTTGAAGCATGCATCATTATGTAATTCTCCTTATCAAGTGGTAATGTTTGCATAGATAATGTATTATTTTTCTTTTACAATTTGATAGATATTAGGTTGTATCTACTTGTACATTTCATAAATCTTGCTTCTCTGAGAATTCATATAAAAATCTTTTTATGGCTGTAGAAATTTCCTTTTACATACATACATGAGAGCAAAATTTATGTTTTGTATGTTGATTATATATTCAAAATTTTGAGGAATAGCCAATTATATTTTTATTTCAAAATGACTGCAATATTTACATTCCCAGTTCTAATGTGTATGGGTTCCACATTCTCTGCATGTTTTCAACACTGATTGTCTCTCAGTTATAACCATTCTAGTGGCTGTTTACTACTATCTCATTGTAATTTGATTTGTATTTCTCTCATGGCGGATACTGAACACATTTTTACACAAAATTTGGCAATTTGTATATTTTCTTTGGAAAAAAAATTTATATAATGTATATTTGTCCATTTAAATTGATTAATTGCTTCATTATTGACTTGTAACAATTCTTTGTAAGTTCTGGATATTACATCCTAAACTGATACGTAATTTAAAATTTATTCTCTTATTGAACATCTTGTCTTTTTGTATTCTTCATGGAAATGTTTAAAGAATAAAACATTTTCAATAAGGTACAATCCATTAGTTTTTTCCTTTTGATTATGGTTTTGGTGTTCTATTTTTTAAAGTTCTTACCTAAACCAAAATCACAAAAATATCTTTTTCCTATTGAAATTTATTGGTATCTTTGACAAAATAAGTTTACCATATTAATGTATTTATTAATGGACCTTCAATTTTATTCTACTGTTCTACTTAGATTTATCTTCATAATAGCACTATACTGTTTATCTACTATAACATTGTAGTAAGAATTGATATTTTTAGTATAAGCCATTGAATTATTTTTCAAATTTGTTGTGTATATTTTATTTTCTTTGTACATTCATATTTTATAAAAAGTTTGTCAATTTCTATTTTAAAACAGAGTTGGGAATTTGCATTGAATCTAAATTTGTTGGTTATTTTAATCTAAATACTAAATATTGTTATTCTTAAACATTGGATGGCTCTCAATTTATTCAATGTTTCTTCAATTTATTTTATTATTTAAAAGATTTTTATGTTATAATTTAAAATATTTTAGTGTAAATATGTTTGTCTTGTAGTTGTGATGTTAATTGATTATTAAATTTTTAGTGAATTTGTCACATATTTTTATGTAGAAGAGTATGTATTATATAATAGAAGATTGTGTTTTTTTTCTAATCTGGAAAATTCTGCCTATTTTTCTAGTATAATTTTCTTGGATAATACCTCTAGTACAATGTTGATTAAAATGGTTTAAATTCTTGTCTTGTTTCAAAACTTATAAATAATGCTCTAATTATTTCACTATTATTTATGTTAGCAGTAGGTTTTAATAGATGACTATAAGCAGGACTCAGATGTCTCTTTCTATTAGTACCTAGCTGTGAATCTTATTACAAATGGATATTGGATTTCTTGTCTTGGCTTTTTCTATGGCTGTTAAAATAATAATTTCCCCTTCACTCAAGTAGTAGTATGCAATACTTTGGTTAATTGTTGAATATTTTGCTAACATTGCATTTGTGAAAATATCCTACTTTGTCATAATGTATAATCTTTTTTATATGTTGTTGGATTCAATTTGTTAGTATTTTTGACAACCTATGTGTCTATATTCATACAAAATATTGGCTCATGGTTTTCTTTTATGTGTGATTCTTTTGTATACCGTTTTTATCATGCTAATACTAACTAACATGAATTGGGAAATGTCACCTTTTCTTATATTGCTCTGAGTTTTGGTATATAATTTGTATTAATTCTTCATTAAAAGTTGATGTAATTTATAATTTAAGCAATTTGTCACTGAGTTTTTTATGTGAAAACATTTTAATGTTCTCTTAACATATAATTATTTATAAATTTTGTTTTTTCATATATGTCTATTTATATAATCAATTTTTTAGTTAACTTTTATAGTTTGTACCTATCAAAACATGTATTTCTATTTTGTAGTATTCCATAAAAATATATTTTCTAGGCAGTTGGCATCAAAAACTCTGGAGTGTTGAGGGGCGGTGGCTAAACCCTGTAATCCCAGCACTTTGGGAGGCTGAGACCGGTGGATCACCTGAGGTCAGGAGTTCCAGACCAGCCCGGCCAACATGATGAAACCCAGTGTTTACTAAAAACAAACACACAAAATTAGCCAGGTGTGGTGGTGAAAGCCTGTAATTCCAGCTACTCAGGAGGCTGAGACAGGATAATCACTTGAGCCCAGGACGGGCAGGTTGTAGTGAGCCGAGATCACACCACTGCACTCCAGCCTGGGAGACAAGAGTGAAACTCTGTCTCAAAACAAACAAACAAACACTCTTGAGTAATAATATAGAATAAGGCTTTAGCCCAATTAATGAATGACTTAAAATTTTCTGTGTTATAGGATGGAGAATATGACTATAACTGCTGTTTAAAACTTTTACTTACTGTTTGATAAAAATAAGTTACTGTATCTAAAGAAAATTATTGAAACTGCCATTTCACCTTGGAATTTATAAAGGCAGAATATGCCTACCTCCTATTTTTTAGCAAATTTTAGGTAAGCCAAAAAATAAATTTTAATAAAACTACAAAATAATATTGTATTTGAAGAATTGTTTGAATAAAAGACAATTTTGTGAATCAGAGTTGCCAGCACTTAGCATATACAATATGCTAGTTGTCATTCTAAGGTATTATTTATATTCTTAATACTTTAGAATTTAAACTTAACAACCCAAAGTTTCCTTGGAAAAAAAAAGTTCACACATTTTTATTTATGTTAGTTTATATTAAAATGTTCATAAAAAATCAACTGTCTTGGCATACAACAAATAAATATAGATAAATAATGTTATATAACTTTATTAGAAAGCTTGATTAAAGCATATAAATAAATGGGCAGCCTTTTGTCCAATAAAGAGAGAATGTATATTATTATCAAATATCAGACAAAGTATATTAAATGGAAAAACTTAAGGTCTACAATATGTCATTTAATTCATAATGGCAGAAATCCAGCAGGTCATAGATTTTGGCCCTGAAAATGACAATAGAAACCATTAAATAAAGTATAAGCAACAAATAATATTTAGCCACATGGACGTTTCATTAAGAGCTTACTTCTGGATTAAGTGAAAAATTAAAATGTAATTTTTATGGATTGAGGAAGTCTAATGAGGAAACATTGTGATTGCAGCCAAAAAGCTTAATACAAAATGATAATTCTGCCAATATTAGCTTAATGCTATAGAAAAAACAGTAATTTCTGGCCACCTATAGGTATTATTCTTTGTAGTAGAGTATTAATATTCCAGCAATTTGTGTAACATAAAATTAGATTTTTAATATAAAAATATAGTCCATAAATTATTTTTGTCTTATGATATATTGGGAAATGGGGGTGTGTTCTACTTGGGATTTCTCAAGAGATGCTGATGTGCCACAAAAATAAATACATGTGAAATGTTTTCATGAGTAGTAATGAATTGATGCTTGCACTTTTTGGTAAAATATATATTTTAAAAAGTCTTAAGGCAGGCAGCTACGATTTTCAGAAAAGTACAAAATAACTAAAAATATCTGACATCCCTAGGACAGGGTTTGAAAAAACGTTTCTTATGAGCAGAAACGAAAAGCATGCAGAAGTAATTATACTTACGTAACATAAGATAGACTTTAATTCAAAACCAGTAAAAGAAGACAAAGAAGGACATTATGCAATGATAAAGGAATGAATTCAGCAAGAGAATTTAACCGTTTTAAATATACGGGCACTTAACAGCGACCATTCAAATATATAAAGGAAATATTATTAGATCTAAAGAGAGAGATAGACTTCAACACATAATAATTGAAAACTTCAATACCACCCTTTCATCATTAGACATACCACTTACACAGAATATTAAGTAACATTAAATTTAAACTGCAAATTAGACCAAATGGATCTAACAGACATTTACAGAACACCTCATCCAACAATGACAGAAGCATATTTTTCTTACAAGCACATTAAACATTCTCCAAGACAGATCATATGTCAGGACACAAAACAAGTCTCAATAAATTTTTAATAGTCAAAACCATATCAAATATGTTTTCAGGCCACAATGAAATAAAATGAGACTTCAAAAACATGAGAAACTTTGCAAACTGTACAAATACATGGAGGTTAAACAACATGCTCTGGAATGACCATTGGGTCAAGATAACAATTAAGAAAGATATTTTTTAAAATTGTTGAGACAAACAAAAATCGAAACACAATGTACCAAAACTAATGGAATACTGCAAAAAGAGTGCTAAGAGAGAAGTTTATAGCAACAAACTATCTCAAAAAAAGTAGAAAGCATTCTAATAAAGAATGTAATGTTTTAAATGAACCAAACCCAAAATCAATGGAAGGAAAAAAATAATAAAGATCAGAGCAGAACTAAACAAAATACAAACTAAACACGCAATACAATCAACTCCACATAAATTGGATTTTTAAAAAGATAAGCAAAATTGACAACTTGCTAGGCTATCAAGCAAAAAAGAAAGAAAATCCAAATAAACAAAATCTGAAATAAAAAAACCATTATGACTGATATCACAGAAATACAAAAGGTTATCAGAGATTATTATGAACAACTATACACTAACAAACCAGAAAAACCTAGAGGAAATGAGTAAATTCCTGGACGAATGCAACCTACCAAGATTAAAATCAACAAAAAATAGAACACCTGAGTAGACTGATAATGAGTAATGAGATTGAGTCAGTAATAAGAAGTCTCCCAACAAAGAAAAGTCCAGGCCTGGATGGCTTCACTGCCAAATTCTACCAAACTTTCAAAGAAAGCTAACACCAGTTCTCCTCAAACCATATCAAAACATTAAAGTTAAAAGGAAGAAATTCTCTGTAACTCATATTATTAGGCCAGCATTACCTTGATATCAAAATCAGACAAGAACACAAGACTGAAAGGAACTACAGGCCAATATTCCTGATATACACAGACACAAAAATTCTCAAAAAATACTAGAAAACCAAATTCAGTAGCATATCAAAAATAATAATACAGTATGATCAAGTGGGATCTATCTCTGGGACGCAATGATGGTTCAACATAGGTAAACCAATACACATTTTACATCGCATCAACAAAATGAAGGGCAAAAATCATATAATTATTTCAAACAATACAGAAAATGCATTTGATAAAATTCAACAGGTCTTCACAATAAAAAAATCTCAGCCAACTAGGCATATCATAGAAGAAACATACCTCAACATAATAAAGGTCATATAATCAAAGTCACAGCTAATACTATGCTGAATGGTGAAAAGCTCACAGCCTTTCCTCTAAGCACGGGAACAAGACAAGGACACCCATTTTCACTACTCCTATTCATTGTAGTACTAGAAGTTCTGGCCAGAGCTATCAGGTAAGAGAAAGATATCAGGGGATCCAGCCCCCAATATTTCAATGTAGGTCCTTTTTTATTTCCCCTAAGTGTTGGCCGGTCTGAGAAATAAAGAGAAGAGTACAAAAGAGAGAAATTTTAAAGCTGGGTGTCCGGGGGACACATCACATGTTGGCAGTTTCCATGATGCCCCTTGAGCCACAAAACCATCAAGTTTTTATTAGGGGTTTCAAAAGGGGAGGGGTGTATGAATAGGGAGTGGGTCACAGAGATCACATGTTTGAAAGGCAATAAAATATCACAACAGCAGAGAGGCAGAGTGAGATCACAAGACTGGGGGAAACTAGAATTACTGATGAAGGTCGATGACCTTCTGGGCACACATTTTCATGGATAAATATCTTAACAGGAAACAGGGCTCAAGAGCAGAGAACCGGTCTGACTAGAATTTCACCAGGCTGGAATTTCCCAATCCTAACAAGCCTGGGGGTGCTGCAGGAGACCAGGGAGTATTTCATCCCTTATCTGCAACTGCATAAGACAGACAATCCTAGAGTGGCCATTTTAGAGACCTCCTCCTGGGAATGCATTCCTTCCTTTTTCCAGGGTTATTCCTTGCTGAGAAAAGAATTCAGCGATATTTCTCCTGTTCGCTTTCTGAAAGAAGAGAAATATGACTCAGTTCTGTCTGGCCCCACAGGCAGTCAGACTGTATGGTTATCTCCCTGGTTCCCTGAAAATCACTGTTATCCTGTTCTTTTTAAGGTGCTCAGATTTCATATTGTTCAAACACACATGCTTTATAAACAATTTTTGCAGATAACACAATCATCACAGGGTCCTGAGGTGACAAAATCCTCAGCTTATGAAGATGACAGGATTAAGAGATTAAAGTAAAAACAGGCATAGGAAATTGTAAGAGTATTGATTGGGGAAGTGATAAATGTCCATGAAATCTTCACAATTTATGTTCAGAGACTGCAGTAAAGACAGGAGTAAGAAATTATAAAAGTATTAATTTGGGGAACTAATAAATGTCCATGAAATCTTCACAATTTATGTTGTTCTGCCGTGGCTTCAGCTGGTTCCTCTGTTCGGAGTCCCTGACTTCCCACAACGGAAAGAAATAAAATTCATTCATAAAAACAAAGTCAAATTGTCTTTTTTTTTTTTTTGGTAGATGTCATGATCTTATATCTAGAAAAACTTAAAAACTCCACAAAAAACTCTAAGTTTAATACAGTTTTTGATTAAAAACCAACAAATAAAAATCCATAACATTTCCATACACTAATAATGAATTAAGTGAAAAAGAAATCGAGAAGGCAATTTCATCTACAATAGCTACAAAAATAAAATATTTAGGGAATACACTTGATCTATAAGGTGAAATACATCTACTTCAAAAATACAACAAAACTTTGATGAAAGAAAATGTAGAGGACACAAACAAATGGAAAGACATCTCATCTTCATGGAATGAAAAAATTAATACCATCAAAATAACCATACTTACCCAAAGCAATCTACAGATTCAATGCAATCTCTATGAAAATACTAACGCCATTTTCACAAACATAGACAAAACAATCTTAAAATTTGTATGGAACATCAACAAAAAAACTCTTCAAATTATATCCCCACTTGCGTGTTTATTGCAGCACTATTCACAATAGCAACGATATAACATTAACCAGTTTCCGTCAATGAATAATTGGACAAATGCAATGTGGTATATATGTGTGTATATATATTTATGAACACTATTGGGTAATATAAATAACATGGATGGAAGCGGAGGTCATTTTGTTAAGTGAAATAAGCCAGACATGGAAAGAAAAACTTTGCATGCATTCTCTCATATGTGGAAGCTAAAATGATAATCCTTACAGAGACAGACAGTAGAATAGTATATGCCTGAGGCCCGGCACAGTGTGTGGGTGAGAAAGGGAATGAAAAGAGGGTGGTAAATGAATACAAACCCACAGTTGGAAAGGAATAAAATCTAGTGTTTAGTTGCACTGTAGATAGGCCATAGTTAACTATAATGTATTTTATATTTCCTTGCTAGAACAGATAACTTGAAATGTTCCTGACATATAGAATCGATAAATGCTCAAAGTGGTGGATACCACAGATACCCTGACTTGATCGTTGCACATTCTATACATGTAACAACATATTGCATGTGCTTTATAAATATGTAAAATATTATGTAAATCAATTTTAAATCTACTTTTAGCAATTTCAAAATATACAGTGCATTATTATTTATTATACTCATCATTTTTTGCACTAGATCAATCTCATGCCTCCTGTGTAACTGAAACTTGGGTACTTTTTGATCAACACCTTCCCTTTCTCCATCCACATTCTTCCCCAGCCTCTGACACATTTTCACTCATATTAGGTGACATTTAAATTATAGAAACTAATGGTTTTAGTATACAACAAGCAAATAAACATCATTAACGTTAAATACATTTATTAGAAAGTTTGACTAATTAGGGATAGAAATAAATGGGCAGCATTTTTGGCCAGAAAACAAAAGATAATGATTATTTTCAATTACCAGACCCAAGGATTTGAAATGGAAAGGTTTAGGCCTAAAATACGTTATTGAATTTATGACAGCAGAAATTCAGATCATATTTTCTGATCATTGTAAGTAATATAAATTATTGACTAATATGTAACCAACAAATAATATCTAGCTACATTCAAATTTTATTAAGGTTTTAAAAATTAACTTCTGGGTTAAATGGAAGATTCAAACTGAGATTGCATTTATGGATTGAGGGAAATGTTAATGAGGAAGTATATGATGAAAGCCAAAACCTAAATTCAAATAAGTAATTTTGCCAATATTAAGTTACTTCTATAGAAAAACAGTGAAGTATTATCACTTCAGAAATTTGTGCACAATGTAAGATGAGTTTTCTAATATTAAAAAAATTACACACTACAAATTTTTGTTACCTCATAGTATATTGGAGGAGAGCTGTCTTTTAAATGAAGTAACTAGGATTTTGTTATGAGATGCTGTCATCTGCAACAGAATATATATATAGTTTTCCTCATGTGTACACTATTGATATTTGTGCTTTTTGAGAAAATGCAATACTCATTAAAAACATTTAATACAGAAAGCTAAAATTCTCAGAAAGTCCTAAGAATTCCTAAAATGCTGAATAGAGTTGAAGGGAAAATATAAGAATCTACCAGGAATATAAGTAAAATAAAGAAACAATCCAGAAACAACTCATCATGCTAAGAAGCAAGTGCTGCTCTTAGATATGGGTGACTACATTGATGCCAAATCCATGCAGGTTGTCCGACTTGCCATAAAGCAAATAAAAAAAAAAAATAAAGCCTCAAACTTATGGCAGATCTCAAATCTGAGAAACAAATTATAACTTACGTTGCACACCGAGAAAAAAGTTACTAGAATGAGTGTCAGAAGAAATTCAATACATTAAAAAAAAGAAAAAAATAACATGGAAAGAACAAGAAGTTATAAGCTTAAGAAGTTATATTCAGCCAAGCGGAAGATAGATAATTACAAATAAAACTGATCAATTTAATACTCAATATATAAGTTAAAAATTAAAGTATTATCTAAGCTGATAATATTAGTGAACAGAAATTAGTGAGCACAATTATTATAGTCCAATACAGTAAAAGGAGAAAAGGTAATAGAAAACACAAATATAATTATACATACATGAAGAGTAGAAGTAAAAGAATGAGAAAGAAAACAAATCTAATTGTTTCTTTAAAATATATTTAAAAATAAACAGCAATAGTTGGCTGGTCGCGGTGGCTCACGCCTGTAATCCCAGCACTTTGAGAGACTGAGGCAGGTGGATCACGAGGTCAGAAGATAGAGACCACCCTGGCTAACATGGTGAAACCCTGTCTCTACTAAAAATACAAAAAATTAGCCGGGTGTGGTGGCAGGGGCCTGTAGTCCCAGCTACTCGGGAGGCTGAGGCAGGAGAATGGCATGAACCCAGGAGGCGGAGCTTGCAGTGAGCAGAGATCGCACCACTGCACTCCAGCCTGGGCGACAGAGACAGACTCCATCTCAAAAATAATAATAATAATAAAAAGAGAATACACTTTGGGAGGCCAAGGCTGGCAGATCACGAGGTCAGGAGATTGAGACCATGGTGAAACCCCGTCTCTACTAAAAAATATACAAAAAATTAGCTGGGCGTGGTGGCAGGCACCTGTAGTCCCAGCTACTTGGGAGGCTGAGGCAGGAGAATGGCGTGAACCCGGCAGGTGGAGCTTGCAGTGAGCCGGGATTGCACTACTGCACTCCAGTCTGGGCAACAGAGCAAGACTGTGTCTCAAAAAAAAAAGAAGAAGAGAGAACAGCGATAGTCAAAGAATTCGTAATATAAATATAAGTTTCTACAATTGAAAACATGAATCCTTGAATTCAGAAATTGTGTGTCCAAAAAAGAAAAAAATAAATAATACATAAAAGAAATCATAATCTGTATAACACCAAAAATGAGGAAAACACTAAAAATCAGCAAGAGAAAAATACATAACTTGCAAAGATGAGAGAAAAATTCCACAGCTCTTGTGGAGCCAAAAACAGAGAAATGAATACTAATAGAGGTGAGTAAAATATCATTAAAGCAACAATTAGATACTTAGCTAAAATGCCTTAGTCAAAAAAAGACTAAAATACTTTCAAAAGAAAAAACACTATGTTTTTTGGTTACAAATAGGAGCTTCTTAAGAGTACACTTCAAGAAGAAAGAAATGCTTTTTGTGAATACAGTTAAAAATTAAAGAGTAAGAGACTTGATTTGGGAAGATCAAAATCTGGTGGACTTTGAACTAAAGAAACCAAATAATTCTTGGTAGCATGAAATTCAAAAATATTTAGATATGAAATTACAATTTTACACATTGTACTTAAGTCAGATGAAAATCCTGTGCTACCTTCAGTAATTTAACTGTTGAAGGAAAAATCTGTTTTTTCAGAGGATTATTTTTCTGTTATGATCTTATTAAAAATGATGCCTCTTTGAATTTATTTTTTGCAGAACATTGATTATTCCTTTATCAATTGATTTGTACCAAAGGACACACTGATCTGTACCAAAGAACAAACGGAAGCCTAAAGATGGACCACAAACCTTTGGATATCCAGGATAACTGAGTTAAAAACCTACCACACGGTTAATAAAATAATGATGTCCACTGAGTCCATGACCACAAAGCAAATCACCAGCAGCAGGATGGCATGGGCGGCCCTTTTCGCTGGGGAGGGACTGGAGCAGAGGCTGGGGCTGTGAAGGTGATGGGATCACCTCTGATGGTTAAACAAGAGTACTACCATGCACACAATTGAGAGCAACATAATTTCTACAAAGAAAACATTTGGGGAAAATTCCAGAATAAAAATCAGTCCCCTTGATTATAGAGATTACCTAGGAAAATGAACAATATTTACTTGTCGGTATTTGTCAGTTGCCTGGTCTGTGTCACTTGAAATAAGCTACGGTGTACATGATCATGTTACTTCTGGAAAATAAATTGAGGAACCAAAAAGAGAAGAAAACATGGATAATGTAATTTGTGGATTTATGTTTAACTCTTGCCAACCAGGAGGTGCTAGGATTGATGGTGATGGCCTGGAGAGTACTCAGGAGGCAGGAGGTGCAGATGGAGAGGCCCCTTGTCACTCTGCTCAGGTAGAATTACACTTTACATCTGAAGTCATTCCAAAAATGCAGTGACTCAAATACATCTGGAGACAACAAATCCATTACTATGAGAAGCATCACTAGGTGAATAAAGGCCAAGGTGATGGCCAAGGTGATCACCTGACAGGTGATCAGGTCATGGGGACTTAGGCTTGTTATTCAGAAAGAATGTGAAGATGTGGAGAAAAAAAAAAAAAAAACAAGAAAGTGCTGGCGGACCCCAGTGCCAGCTTGGAAATAAAAGGGATCTTTTAATGATAACATAAGTGGAAAGTGGGTTCTTCCAAATGGCAAAGAGAAAACCTATTTTGTATATCTGGAAAAGAAAGACTTCATATCATCAGTGTTTATTACTTAGTAGTTAATATCCTCACAAATCATCTTCATTTTTATACTATCCTCTTACCCTTGATAAACCCAGACTATCTCATATGACTTCTTGATAATTCAGTCTCTACATTATTTTCTATACCAAATTGTGTACGTAATAATTTAATAAATATTATTAGTAAAACATACATGTATTAATATTTGTCTCACCAAGCCATCCACAATTATGACCTTATAAAATGTACACTATCTATACTCTAATTGTACCTGGGCCTCCCCTTTTAGACATTATACTTTTGTTCTATATTCTCTCACTTTATATTGATGCTGTTAACATAAAATTATCCAATTTTATGTATACAGTTTATGGGAACTTGGTGGAATTTTAAGCTAATATGGAGAAAATTACCAAAGCAAACAGTTGAAAAAAACATTATCTGGTTGTCTTTCTAAGATGCCATCATTTTGACATTTTACATTCTCTATATCTCTTTCACATTTCTGGACCCTAGTTACTACACTGAATTCACCATTATAATTCATTATAATATCCCTATTTTTCATCAGAAGATTAGCAATCTTGATCCTATGTATAACTTTGTATGCCCATTGCCATGAAACATAATATATTCCCAATATCTGAGAAGTAGAACATAAACATCTTTGGAGGGCATTATTGTGCTTACCAAAACCCTCAGCTGTACCACATAAAAATGGTGCTGGGTTTTTCCCAGTTTAGTTTCCATCTAAGAGATTCTTTATCTAAATTCATTTCAACACATCAGCATATTTCTGATATCCATCACTGACTTTTAAAGAGAGTAAACACTACTTGCAATAAGTTTATAAAAACCATAAAGTTGCATCAAAATGATCACATCATGATTTTTTTTTGAGATCCCACTTAATACAGGAATCCCCTCTTACGCCTTGAACAATACTTTGGTCTCCAATTTAAAATATAATTTTCCTCAAGTTGTCTCAGGAAATCCACAACATCAGAACACCTTGCATGATTTCACTGAACAATTTTGCAGCTACTAATGTTATTTGCCAGGATGTAGGCATCGTTGTGCTATAAAATCTATTTAATCCAGTGACTCGAACAATTTACCCTTACATCACAAAAAAATGAAAAACTACCACAATTAATCAGTTTCTTTTGAGATAAAAGTGGGTCCAATGATATGTCAAGATCAATTATGACTATACTGTAGAACATTGCTCTACAACCTCCTGATATCTATGAGTTTATAAGAAACACATTTTATAGTTAAAATTGTTATCTTTGTCCAAGAGCGTAAGTTAGTAAAGAAACATTTATCTTACTGCCAGAACCAATAACTGATAGTTCTTTAGCATCTCTCTGCACCCTCAGCACAATTTTCCTCAGCTATCATGATGGAACCAGGAAAAGCATCAGGATACTATTGACTTAAGAGCTTAATGGTCTCTATATTTTCAGGATTATACTTCCAGTAATATAATACTTGGATATGCACTAATAACATTGGCAACTATTTGTAAACTACATGTTTATATACTTTTATTAATACAATACACACATTATAAGTCACACACAAAAAGAGATAAAATAATTAGATAAAATAACATAAGAATTTGAATATTTTCTTCTTTTGCCTAAGATATATTCAGCTTGCCCCATGTATTTTATGGCCCTCTTTCTGCTAATAACAATAACACACTAAAAAATACTTGCTCTGAGTCATCAGATGGAGTCTTCCTTCAACAAGGCTCTTCAGGTCATTGGTGCTGAGGCAGGACAAGAAAACAGCATGATATCACGGATTAGAATTGATAACTAACCCAAATGTCCATCAATAATAGACAGGATAAAGAAAATGTGGCACATATACACCATGGAATACTATGCAGCCATAAAAAGGATGATTTCATGTCTTTTGCAGGGACATGAATGAAGCTGGAAAGCATCATTCTCAGCAAAATATCACAAGGAGAGAAAATCAAACACCACATGTTCTCACTCATAAGTGGGAGCTGAACAATGAGAACACATGGACACAGGGGAGGGAAACATCACATGCTGTGGCCTGTTGGGGGGTGGGGGCTGGGGGAGGGATAGCATTAGGAGAAATACCTAAGTGAGTGACGAGATGGATGCAGCAAACCAATGTGGCACATGTATACCTATGTAACAAACCTGCACTTTGTGCACATGTACCCTAGAAAATAAAGTATAATAATACTTTGGGAAAGTATTATTATAGTTTGGGAAAGTTACTTTAGAAACAAGACAAGAATATCTGTTTCTACCACTTCTATTCAACATTATACTGAAGGTCTTAGTGAAAGATATCATGCAACAAAAATAATCAATGGCCTCCACCTGGGGATTGGAAACTTTACAGTATCATGCAAATAAAAATTTCTAAGGAATTTTGAAAAACCCACTAGAACGAATAAATGAGTTCAGCAAGTTTGCATGATTCAACATCTGTACAAATTTTTTTGAAGATGGCTGACTAGGAGCATTTCAAGCCAGCTGCATCCATTTAGTACCATAATAGTATATAGACAATCATACATTCAGTACATTATCCAAGAGAGAATGCAAGAGTTCAACAGAAAAGTGACAGGAAATGGCAAAAACTAGAAAGGAAAAGAAAAACAGGCAGCCTGTGTGGCCAAGACTGGCTGGAAATCAGGAGTGACTCTATAATATAGGAGAAAGTAAGCAACAGCTTTTCTCTGGTCCATTTTCTCACCGGGGAATCATAAAATCTAGATCATGGGAGAGCACTTTGACCCTCCCATTCCCTGAATCTAGCAAAGGGTGACCCTGAATCAGGTGACTGAGAGAAGAAACCACTCAAGGGAGGGAACATGCCCTTGGTTCCACACACTTCCTATAGCCTAAGAAGCTATAGCAAGATGCCATTTTTAATCTTAGCTCTTAACAGACTGTTCATGGTCCTAGTTATCAGGGTTGTTGACATTCCTAGTCATTAAGGAAACTCAAGCTGCTGCTCATGGAACTGGGGCATGAGCAGGGAGTGGGCTAACACAACCAAGACTGAGAAGCAAGCATGACATGGACTGCAGCCAACAGCACTGAAAGTGGTCATTATCCCAAGGACTTGAGCAGGGTGACAGCTGTCACAGTGGCTTGGTCTTGAGCTGTGGAGGAGTTCCTATGAACCAGGGTTGAACTAAAGAACAGCATAAATTTCTCAGGTCTGACAGAATAGCCAGGTTGTCTGTGACAGGTGGGAGGAGGGAGCAAGCCCCAGTGGGGCTGGGCATGAGAGGGATAAATTTACCCAACCACCAGTCACCAGTCAAAGTTGTGGATGCTGAGACCACCACCCCCGTCCCTGTGGCAGGACCCCAGAGCAGTGACAGTTGCCCCTCACCCAAGCATTTCACCAGCCCCCTGAGGATTGCCTAACTCCTATCAAATACATCTGTGCAGGCACTCACCACTGGGGGAACCTGAGTGTAATTCAGCTCCATCCAGTATCACCCCTTCCTTAGGACAAAGTGCAGGATCCAGGGTCCTGGGGAGGTTCCCCAATCTAATCCACCACCTGGGACAACAAATTGTGTCTTTTGGGGGCACCGAAGTTGGGCATAAACCACACACTGCTTCCATCACAGCTGGCTTTTACCTGCAAGTGCCAACAACTGGCCTAGACACTGGCATACACAGCCCATTGCAACCATTGCCAACACAATTGGGACTCAGAAGAGCACTTGAGACTTGGAAGAGCATTTCGCCACTTCTTCTACCTACATTGCCCATGCCACCATGGCTGTCCAGAAGTTTGAGAGTCCATTTGCCCTCCCGGTATGCTACAATTACAACTGGCATCTGAGTAAGCTACCCTGCTGGTGGCCTGCCTGGAGTCACCAACACAGGTGCCAGCATATGTCACTATAGGTCAAAAGGATAGATAAGCTTAGTTCACCAACACTACCACTGAAACCTAGAGATGGGCCCATACAGCACTTCAGTGTAGCCATCACAACTTCACTGTAGCCCCTAGCAATAACCACACTGTAATGCACTGAGGAAACCACAGATACCACTAATGATATTTACAGCCAAAGAAATCACACAGAGACTTCATGATTGAATGCAAAGCCAACAAACCCTACCCAACCAACATTATAGTCACATCTTCAGGAAAAAAATCCTCACCCTCAAAGAAAGTAAATTCAAAAATAAAAAGTGACTTTTACATCAGATGCACAGAAATCAATGTACAGACATAAGAAACATAAGAAAGCAAGGACATATGACATCCCTAAAGGAATATAATATTTCCTTAACAAAAGTTTTTTTTTTTTTTTGAGACGGAGTCTCTCTCTGTCTCCCAGGCCAGAGTGCAGTGGTGCGATCTCGGCTCACTGCAAGCTCCACCTCCCAGGTTCACGCCATTCTCCTGCCTCAGCCTCCCGAGTAGCTGGGACTACAGGCGCCCGCCACCACAGCCAGCTAATTTTCTTTGTATTTTTTTAGTAGAGGCGGGCTTTCATCATGTTAGCCAGGATGGTCTTGATCTCCTGACCTCATGATCCACCTGCCTCAGGCTCCCAAAGTGCTGGGATTACAGGCGTGAGCCACTGTGTCCGGCAAGGAAAGATCTTAACCAAAAATAAGTCCTCAAAATATCAGAGAAAAATTCAAAAATATTATTTAAAGTCAGCAGGTTCACAAGACTTCTTACACCACATAATGTGTCATATCTTCTCCAGCTCTAATAACATTTTCCTCATTGTCCTTCAGCCCTTCACTGTCAGTCTCTTCATGGCTCTTCCAGCTTCTGCCCCTTACCCGGTACCAATTCAATGCCACGTAGTTTTGTTAAAAAAGCACTTCCGACTTCCATGTGCCAAATTCATTTCTTGTTATCTACTGCTGCATAATAAACTTCCCCAAAACTTTCTAATGGCTTTAAACAATAGGCATTTCATTATAATATATCTCACAATTCCAGATGTCAGAAACTCAAACAGGGCTCAATTGGGGTAATATTTTTTTTTTCCACATGATAGTAACAAAGGTTACCCTGTGGTATTCAGATGTTATCTGGGCTGGGCTGGGTTGGTCACTCACATGTCCGGCACTTTGATGGAGAAGGTTGGGCTCAGCTGGGAGCTTCAACTGGAGTATCTACACATGGCCTCTCTAGCATCACAGTCTCAAGGTAGCCAGACTTCTTATGTGGCAGCTCAGGGCTTTCAGAGTGTTCCCAGACAGCTGTACCAAAGATGCAAGGCCTCTTATGCCCTACATTCAGAAGTCCCAGTATCTGCTATATTCTAATGGTCAAATGATACACTAAGGCCAGCCCACACTCAGGGGAAGAGAATTATAATCCATCTCGTATTGAGAGAAATCGAAAGGATTTTGTGGCTCTATTTTAACATTTTGATTGATGTATAATTGCCATACAATAAATTGCACCTGTTTATGGTGTAAAATTTGGTTAAGTTTTGACACATGTATGCCCATGAAACCATCACCACTATCATGATAATAAATATATTCATCACCCCCTAAAAATTACAAAACATTAAGTTTAAAGAAGTTCAGTGAGATGCATGGGAAATCTGAAAACCAATAAAAGAAAGTGAGAAAATCAATTCAAGGTACAAATGAGAAAGGAAATAGGTATCTCAAAAAAGAAAAGAAAAGAAAACCCAGAAATTCTGAAGGAAAAAAAATATATTGGAGGAAATACAAAACACATTTAAAACATTAAAAAATAGGCTATACCAAGGAAAAGAAAAAAATTCCATGACTTGAAGTAGGTCCTTTAAAATAATTAAGACAAAATTTTGCAAAATAAATTTTTAAAATAAGTGAAACTCTTTGAGACATTTGGGACTCCATAGGACAAACCAAATTATGAATTGTATTCTTAAGGGTTATGAGAATTCAAAAGACCTAGAGAACCTATTTAATGAAATAACAGATAAAATCTTTCCACATTTAGCAAGAGATTTAGACATTCAGATATGGAAGGCTCAGTGTTCCCTAACAAATGCAGTGAAAAAGGACTTCACCACAGCACATTAAAATCTGACTGTCTCAAATCAATGTAAATGCATAGATTCTAAAACCAGAAAGAGAAGTACATCTACTCACCTATGAAGGAGACCCCATCAGACTAACAGTGGATTTCTCAGCAGAAATCATAAAGGCCAGAAAACAGTGGAATGGCATTTTCAAAATGCTGAAAGAAAAAATAATGTCAGCTAAGAATTCCACATTCAGCAAGGCTAAACTTCATAAATAAAGTATATATGAATCTTTTCCAGGCAAGCAAATCCTAAAGAAATTTGTCACCACTAGACTGGCCCTACAAGAAATGCTCAACTCATTCCTAAACATGGAAGTAAAAAGACAACATTTACAACCAGGAAAACACATGAAAGTATAAAACTCACTGGTAAAGCAATCACATGAAGGAGGAAGAGAAACGAATCACAGGACTTTACTACAGAAACTCCACTACAGAAACTCCACCAAACAACGACAGTCAAAGAAAAGGAAAAATTCAAAGAATTTATAAATTAACTAGAAAACAATAACATGACAGGAACAAAACCTTACATATCAATTACATTCCTTGATTGTAAATGGATTAAATATTCATTTAAAAATATATAGACTGGCTGAATACATTTTGAGCTATATGCTGCTTACGAGAAACTCATGTTACCTGTAAAGGAGTGGACAAAGATACTCCATGCAAATGAAAACTAAAAGCAAAAAGGAGAAGCTACACTTATACCAGATAAATCAGACCTTAAGTCAAAAACAGTTAAGGAAATGCAAAAGGGTTATTATATAATAATAAAGGGGTCAATTCATTAAGAACTTACACCAATTACAAATATATATTTACAAAATGCTGGATCACCCACATTTATAAAACCTATATTTAGTTATAAACAGAGAGATAGGGAGAAATACAATAATACTTGGGAAATTCAACACACCATTCAGAGCATTAGACAAATTATCTAGATAGAAAATAAATAAATAAACGTTGGACTAAAATGGGACTTTAGACCAAATGACTTAACAGACATTTACAGAACATTCTACTCAACAACTGCAGAATATATATTCTTCTCATCAGCACATGGATTATTGTCCAAGACAGACCATATTTTAGGCCACAAAATAAGTCTCAACAAATTTTAAAATACTGAAATCAGATTAAGTATCTTCGCAGACCACAGTGGAGTAAAACTAGAAATCAATACCAAGAGAAACTCTGGAAATTATACAAATAAGTGAAATTTAAATAACATGAATGACCGTGAAGTCAACAAAGAAATTAAGATGAAAATTATTTATAAAATGAATTCTAAAATTGGAAGCAAAAGGAAAACCTTCATGAAAACAAATAAAATTAAAAAACCCATTGGTAAAGCAAATACACAAATAAGGAAGAGCAAGGATTCATGGTACCACTACAAAAAAACTAACAACAATGACAAAGTCAGAGAAATAGTAAGGAACAAAGAATATATAAAACAGTTAAGAATATAACAGAAACACTACCTTAGATATCAAAGACAACCTTGAATGTAAATGCATTATATTATTCACTTAAAATAATAGACTGTGTGAATGAATTTAGAAAACATGGTCTGACTACATGCTGCCTACAAGAAATGCACCTCACCTATTAAGACAAATATAGATGAGAAAGCAAAAGCATGAAAAAAGATATTTCATGCAACAAGAAACCAAAAGTAAGCAGAAGTAGCTATACTTATATCACACAAACCAGAATTTAAGTTAGAAAAAGAAAAGAAACTCATTAAATAATAATAAAGTGATCAATCCAGCAACAGAGTATAACAATTCTGAATATATACATTCAGCAAACACTGGAATACCCAGATTCATAAAGCAAATATTACTACATCTAAAAAGAGGAATAGACTGCAATACAATAACTGTGGGAGACTTCAATACCCCCACCTCAGCATGAAAAAGATTATTAAAACAGTAAATCAAAAAACAAACACTGGATTTAAACTGGAATTTAGGCCAAATGATTTTAATAGTTATTTACAAAACATTTTATCCAACAAGGGCGGAATAAACGTTCTTTTTATTAGCACATTCTCCATACAGCCTACAAATGTCAACATTTAAAAAACAATAGGCTGCCCCAGCGGTGTGGCTCACGCCTGTAACCCGAGCACTTTGGGAGGCCGAGACGGGCAGATCACGAGGTCAGTAAATCGAGACCATCCTGGCCAACACAGTGAAACCCCATCTCTACTAAAGGTACAAAAAATTAGCGGGGCGTGGTGGTGGGCGCCTGTAGTCCCAGCTACTCAGGAGGCTGAGGCAGGAGAACAGGGTGAACCCAGGAGGCGGAGCTTGCAGTGAGCCGAGATTGCGCCACTGCACTCCAGCCTGGGCAACAGTGCAAGGCTCCGTCTCAAAAAATAAATAAATACATAAATAAATAAATAAATAAAATAAAACAAAACACAATAGGCTATAAACGACAACAAAGTAAAAAATATATATATATTGCAAATAACTCGAACCACCATAAAATACAAGTAAAAACCTACACCAAGAGGATCTTTGGAAACTATATGAATACATGAAAATTAAATAACATAATCCCAAATGACCATTAATAGTTAAGATGGACTTTTTTTTTGAACTTTCAAAATGTATTTTAATCGCATTCCAAAAAGAAATAAAATTTCTAGATACAAATACATCTCATTCAAATCACTTTTTAACATACATTCTGCAACTTAAAATGTTATAAGGAATCACTATTTCCATCTTTTATAATCTCAATATATTATATATTTAATATATAATAGATGTACAATACATACAGGTAGTCAGCAAGTTTACAAAGTAATTTCTTTAAAGTCTGATCAGTATTGATAAATATTTTTAGACTATTAAAAGGAACTATTTAGGATCATAGAATAAAAAAAATATGGCAGGTCTAAGCCTAATGGCAAGATTACAAGTGTTCATATGGCCAATCATTTTAAAAGAACTCTCAAGGTGGGTAGAATATGTTTTAAAACAATACTCTTGCCATTCTCAAGCAGCAGTAGTTGTAGATAATAACCATATTCATCTCCACTAAATTTAAAATAACTATGCAGCTTTCTTTACTATAATATACAGTAGCTATCTCTTCCTTTCTGTTGGATTTTATCGTTTCAAGAGTAACTAATATATTACCAACAGAAGAGACTTTAGCCCCTTTCTCTCCCCTAAAGCATGGCTCAGTTTGAAGATTGTTCTATAGGCAGCCACTATGACGACCAGCAGTACCATAATACCATTAAAAGCAATCAATAACTGGAGTCATGTGAGATGTTTCAAAGACTGCTGGAGGTTTCTGTAAGCCAAGGTAATCAGAAATATTACCCTTGTAGATAGCCCTCATACCAGTAAATACCAACAGTTAAAATTCCAATGCCACAGTGTAACAGTTAACAATCTATTTTGTAATTTTAACATTAATTCACCCTGAGAATACAGAGGAAACATTTAATACAAGATATTCTGATTTTTTTCCATTGTATTTGCTTTCTTCTGGTTTTCGTCAGCCCTTTAAGGGCACAAATATTTGAATTTAAACTGTGATTTTGATATGCTTTTTTGTTAACTGAGATTCATGCCACAGTCAGATACTGGTGATAAAAAAGCCCAAAAAGGCTTGTAGAAAAGAGGCAAGCAGCAATCTACCAGGTCAGAAAAGACAGAAGTCCTCAAAAAACAAGAAGTGTAAAAATGTTTTTAAGCTGCTCAGTGCCACTGTTATTTGTGTAACAGTAACCTTCATCTTCTCTTCAGCTGATGGTAATTCAGAGTAAACAGAATTGTAGAGTAGACTATTATCCACTGGTAAGGTAGAGACAGATTCTGGATAAATACCCCAGGAATGATTACCTAGTGTTTTCAAAAGCAGAGTTGTGTGAAACAGTGTTACCAGAGGCACCACATACTGCAGTGCAATGACAAAAAGATAATAAAAGACTCAAGCCACCATTTTCTGTAGCTCAACTGTACTTATTCACCCTGCTTCTTTCTTCATCTGATCCACACATTTTTGGGCTAAATTTAAATAAGCTTGCAGGTGACTATGCATCATGGCCAACCGCAAAGCACACAGCAGGATTATTAACCAGATTTGCAGAGTACCAAATGTGGCTTCTGTCATTAAAGTGATGCTTTCTTCACCCAAGGTTGGGTTCATAATGTAGTCTTTGGTGACTGGTTTTACCCAGAGCAGAACCATAAATAAATGTGCCAAGAAGCTGATATGAAATAATGTTTGTGTAATTTTTTCTGTTGCCAAATTCAGGGTATCCAGATGCATTTGAGCCAGCCGTAATCCAGGAAATGTGAAAAAAGCCCCAGTGAGTGAACAGAAAATAGCCAGGAAAAAATTTGGAAGTAAGTTTTAAAACAGGACTCTGAGATTCTAAACCTTGCTTTTCAAGAAACTGCATCGCACTGCCTGAAAAATTTGTAAACCCTGTTTCAAGTCCAAATTCCAGATAATTTTCTGTTACAATCAACACTGCCATTGCTTTGACAAAGAAAAAAAATCCAAAGGTGACACAAACAGATCTTTCACCAGCATCTTCTACTTTAAAATAGTGTGTAATTAATGAAAATAGAACTTCGATTGCAAAAGACGAAACAAGCAGGCACCAGACTAAGCTGATATTTATTTCCTGTGTAGGCTTCATAAACTTGTAGTCGACTTCAGTTACTAGATACACGACTGTAGCAGCCACTGTGAAATCCACCAGTCACTGGTATTCTGGGAAGTAATGCAATGCTAATGTATCCACTTCTGTAACTGACTTTGTTTCTAGACGAAGGTCAATATCCTTTGGAATGGTTAATGGCTTACTTTCAGTGTGACCATTATATTTCCTATCTTTTTTGCTTTTCTCTTTTTGCTGATTCCCTGCAAGAATTCTTGATTCTTCTACTGTAGAATGTTGATACCACCTCAAACTGCCATTACAGAGTAGCCATTGAGCAAGAGAATAGCGAGGTATAATCTTCTGCATGACACTGGCCATCACCATGGTAACAACAGCTGTATACCTATCACACCCTATGAGCGAGAACATGCGGTGTTTGGTTTTCAAGATGGACATTTTTTTAAACTATCGAAAGAAATAAAAATGAAAACACGACATGTCAAAATCTATACTATACAGCAAAAGCATTAAGAACAGGTAGGCTATAGCAATAAACATCTACACCAGAAAGCAGAAAGATTTCTTATAAACAATCTAACAATGCACCTCAAGGAAGTGAAAAAGCAAGAACACAGCAAACCCAAAATTTGCAGGATGAAAGAAATAATAAAGATTGGAGAAAAACTAAAGATAGACTAAGGAAAGAAATGCAAAGGTCAATGAAGTGATAAGTATGTTATTCAAAAATATAACCAATATTGATAAACTGCTAGCTTGACTAACCAAGAAAAGAGATAAGAAACAAATCAGCAAAATAAAAGAACAGACACTACAATTGATATCACAGAAATATCAAAGATAATCAGAGAATATTATAAATGCTAACAAACAGGAAAATATAGAGGAAATGATTGAATTTCTATAAACACACAACCTATCCAATTGAATCAGAAGTAGAAAAACTGAACTGATGAATGAATAATGAAATTGAGTCAGTAATAAAATGTCTCCCAACAAAAAAAAGAGACATGATCAGGTCGATTAACTGCTGAATTCTTCCAAATGTATTAAAAAAGAATGAACATCAATCCTCCTCAAACTATTTCAAAAACACATAAGAGAAAGGAATGCTTCCAAACTTATTTTGTGAGGCCACAATACCAAACCAGACAAGGATCTGCCACCAACAACACAAAACTACAGGCCAATATCTGTAAGAAAACGTAGATGCAATGATCTTTAATAAAATACTAGCAAACCAAATGCAACAGCACATCAAAAGGTAATGCACCATGATCAAGTGAAATTTATACCGAAATGCAAGGATGGTCACATACACATATCAATACACTGAATACATTGCCTCAGTAGAATGAAGAACAAAACCCATATAACTAGGTTAATAGATGTAGAAAAAGTAATTGATAAAATTTAACATCTGTTCATATTAAAAACTCTCAACAAACTAGACATAGAAAGATCATTCTGCAAAATTATAAAGGTCATATGTGACAAACCCAAAGCTAACAATATACTGAACAGACAAAAGCTGAAAGCTTTTTCTCTAAGACACAGAACAAAAAAAGAATGTTCACTTTCACAAATCTTATTGAACATGAAAGTCCTAATCAGTAATCTGGGAAGAGAAAAAAATAAGAAACATCCAAATTGACTTGCAAAAAGAAGTCAAATTGTCCACTTTGCAGATGACATAATTTTGTATATAGAAAGACCTAAAAAAGACTCCAACAAAAGACTGTAAGAACTCATAAACAAGGCCAGGCACTGTGGCTCATGCCTGTATTCCCAGCGCTTTGGGAGGCCAAGACAGGTGGATCTCCTGAGGCCAGGAGTTCAAGAATAGCCTGGCCAACACGATGAGACCCTGTGTCTACTAAAAGTGAAAAAATTAGCCTGTGGTGGCACGCACTTGTAGTCCCAGCTAGTCTGGAGGCTGAGGCAGGAGAATCACTTGAACCCAGAAGGCAGAGATTGCAGTGAGCTGAGATCATGCCATTGCACTCCAGCCTAGGCAAAAGAGCAAGACTCCATCTACAAAAAAAAAAAAAAAAAAAAAAAAAAAAAGAAAGAAAAGAAAAAAAGAAAAGAACTCATAAATAAATTTAGTAAATTTGGACAATATGAAATCAACATACAAAAATCAATCAGTAGTGTTTCAATACATTGATAATAAAATAGTCAAAAAATGAAGCAAGAAGGCAATCCTGTTTACAATAGCTATATAGATTACCCAGGAGTAAATTTAACCAAGACATGAAAAATGTTTACAAAGATAACTACAGAACACTGATGAAAGAAATTGAAGAGGACACAAACAAATTTAAAGAAATCTCATGCTCATGGATAGAATTATTATCATTAAAATGACTACATTGTCCAAAGAAATCTAGAGTCAATGCAATTGCTATCAAAATAACACCACTTTTATAGAAATAAAAAAACAGAAATCTATCATTTGTATGAAACCTAAAAAGAACTACAATAGCCAAATTAATCCTGAGCAAAACCAATGGAACAAAACAGAGAACCCAGCAATACACTTATGTTTGTATAGCCTATTGATTTTCAACAAAGGCAGCTAGAATGTACACTGGGAAAAGAATACCCTCTTCAGTAAATGGTGCTGGGAAAATTGAATATCCATATGCAAAAGACTGAAACTATATCTCTTACCATACACAAAAGCCAACCCAAGATGGATTAATGACTTAAACATAAGATCTAAAATTATAAAACTACAAGAAGAAAACATTTAAAAAATCAGAACATTGGTCTAGGCAAATATTTTTTGGTTAAGACCTCAAAAACAGAGCCAACTAAACACAAAGACAAAATGAAACTATAATAAATGAAAAAGCTTCTGCACAGCAAAAGAAATAATCAAAATGCCGAAGAGACAAACTGTTGCATAGAATATATTGAAAAGTACTCAGCTGACAACAAATATTTAGAATATATAAGAAACTCAAGCAAGTCAAGAATAAAAAAAACTCATTAAAAAGTGGTCAAAGGACATGCATGGATATTTCTCAAATGATGACACAGTAATGAAAAACAGGTCCATGAAAAAATGCTTAACATCCTCTGGGAAATGCAAATCAAAAGCACAATGAGGCATCATTTTACCTCAGTTAGAATGGCTATGATATGCACACGTATGTTTATTGCGGCATTATTCACAATAGCAAAGACTTGGAACCAACCCAAATGTCCAACAATGATAGACTGGATTAAGAAAATGTGGCACATATACACCATGGAATACTATGCAGTCATAAAAAATGATGAGTTCATGTCCTTTGTAGGGACATGGATGAAATTGGAAATCATCATTCTCAGTAAACTATCGCAAGAACAAAAAAACCAAACACTGCATATTCTCACTCATAGGTGGGAATTGAACAATGAGAACACATGGACCCAGGAAGGGGAACATCACACTCTGGGGACTGTTGTGGGGTGGGGGGAGTGGGGAGGGATAGCACTGGGAGATATACCTAATGCTAGATGACGAGTTAGTGGGTGCAGTGCACCAGCATGGCACATGTATACATATGTAACTAACCTGCACATTGTGCACATGTACCCTAAAACTTAAAGTATAATAATAATTTTTAAAAAAGACAAAAAATAATAGACACAGTTAAGAATGTGATAAAAATTAATGTTTATATGCTGTTGGTGGGAATGTAAATTAGTACAACCAGTATAGAAAACAGTATAGATATTTCTCCAAAAAGTAAAAATAGAACTTCCAGATGATTCAGGACCCCACTATTGGGTATTTACTCAAAGGAAATTAAATCAGTATATCAAAAGGATAACACACTCACATGTGTATCACAGCATTATTCACAATAGCAAAGACACAAAATCAACCAGTGTTTCTTCAATGAGCCAATGGATACAGAAAATGTAGTACACACTCACACACACAATGGAATACTATTCAGCTATAACAAAGAATAAAATTAAGTCATTTGCAACTGGAGGTGACTACATTGAGTGAAATAAGCCAGGCACAGGAATTCAAATACCACATGTCCTCAACTCATACATGAGAGCTAAAAACTTGATCTCACGGAAATAGGCAATAGACTGATAGATACCAGAGGCTTGGAAGTGTGGAAGGGTGGGAGAGGAAAATAAAGAGAGGCTGGCAAATGGGAAAAACACACACATAGAAAAAGTAAGTTTTAATGTCCAGTGGAAGGCTAGTGTGACTTGTGTTAACAATATATTTTATATTACAAAGCAGCTAAAAGAGAGGTATTGAAATGTTCTCATCACATAGAAATGATTTATATTCAAAATGATATCCTATATACCTTGACTTGATCATTACACATTCTATGCATGCAACAAAAACTCACATGTATCCCATACTTATGTAAAACATTATGTGTCAGTAAAAGAAAAACAAAAAATACAAAGTTTAAATCTAAGCAACTTTAAAATAAATAGACTAAAATATCCCATAGCAAACATTTTCATATTGTTAATTTGTTTTAATGCCCCATTCCCTGTGGCAACTAGTGAATAAACACAAGATTCCAACCTTCTTTGTCATTCGCTTTTTCTTTCTAGGCCATGGAATACATTTCCATATGATGAATGCAATCATTACTAAGAAAGAGCAAAATAAAACAAGTTTCTTGAGACTCAGTCATCTCAATAGAATACAGGTGTTTCTAAATCTCCTTTGGCTAGCATTAACTATTTTTTATGTAACTCTATATCCACATGAAGATGAAAATTTTTACTCATTATGTATTGTTTCTTTGGATATGATCTATAAAATAACAAATACTCATTATTAAACATTTGAAATACATGGAAAATCATCCATAAATATTGTTGATATATTGGTATATTTTCATTCCTTTTATATTTATTTATTTAAATATTTTTATTTTTATTTCAATGATTTTTGAGGTACAGGTGGTTTTTGGTCCACGGATAAGTTTTTTAGCGGTGATTTATTAGATTTTTGTGCACCCACATCTGAGCAGTATACACTGTACCCAATATGTTTTTTATCACCCCCACCAACCTTCACTCTTGAGTTAAAATTAGTGATGTTTAGCATTTTTCATATGTTTTTGACTGTGTATCTTCTTTTGATAATTGTCTATTCATGAACTTTGCATACTTTCTCACAGAATTATTCACTTTTTCTTGCTGATTTGAGTTCCTTGTAGATTCTAGATACTAGGATAATATAAGTCCCTTATGTTATTTTTATGCATTTGTATTCTCATAGCTTAGCTTCCCCTTATAAGTGAAAATACACAATTTTTTTTTAATTCCTGAGTTTCTTAACTTAGAATAATTTCCTCTAACTCCATTTAAGTTGCTGCAAAGGACATTATTTTGCTCCTTTTTTATGGGGGAGTCGTATTTCATGGTGCATATATATCACATTTTCTTCATCCGTTCCTTGGATGATGGGCACTTAGGTTAATTCTATACCTTTGTAATAGTTAATTGTGCTGCTATAAACATACATGTTCATATGCCTTTTCCATATAATGACTTATTTTTTGTGGGGGTGGGGTGGTAGATACCCAGAGGCAAGATTGCTAAATTGAATGGTAGTTCTACTTTTAGTTCTTTAAGGAATACACATACTGCTTTCCATCGTGGTTGTACTAACTTACATTCTCACCAGCAGTGTAAAAGTATTCCATTTTTATCACATCCATGCCAATATCTTTTTTTTTTTTTTTACTTTTTAATTATAGCCATTCATGCAGGAGTAAGGCGGTATCTCACTGTGGGTCTAATTTGCATTTCCCTGATAATTAGTGATGTTCAGCATTTTTTCATGTTTGTTGGCAGTTAGTATACTTCTTTAAAAAATTGTCTATTCATGTCCTTTGCATACATTTGATGGGATTATTTTTTTTTTCTGGCCAATTTGCCTGAGTTGCTTGTAGTTATTGGATATTAATCCTTTCTGATATGCATAGTTTGCATGCAAATATTTTGTCTCTGTGGGTTGTCTGTTTACTCTGCTATCATTATTATTATTTGCTGTGCGTAAGCTTTTTAGTTTGATTAGGTCCCATTTATTGATTTATTTTTGTTTTATTTGCTTACGAGATCTAAGCCATAAATTCTTTTTCTAAGCCAATGCCTGGAAGAGGTTTTCTGATGTTATCTTCTAGAATTTATATGGTTTCTGGTCTCAGATTTCAGACTTTGATCCATCAGAAGTTGATTTTTGTATAAGGTGAGAGCTGAAGATTTAGTTTCATTGACAGTTATCCAAGCACCATTTGATGAAGAGGGTGTCCTTTTATGTTCTTGTATGCTTTGTCAAAGATCAGTTGGCTGTATTTGGCTTTATTTCAGGGGTTGTCTATTCTGCTCTGTTGGTCTGCATGTCTATTTTTATACCAGTACCACGTTGCTTTGGTAACTACAGCCTTGCACTATAATTTGAAGTCAGGTAATGTGATGACTCCAGATTTGTTGTTTTTGCTTAGTATGGTTTTGGCTCTGAAGGCTCTTTATGGGTTCCAAATGAAATTTAGAAGTTTTTTTTTCCAGTTCTGTGAAGAATAATGATGGTATTTTGATAAAAATTACATTGAATCTATAGATTGAGCAGTATGGTCATTTTCACAACAATTTTTTTTATATCTGTATTAGCGTATTTTCATACTGCTGTAAAGAAGTGCCCAAGACTGGAAATATATGTGTAAATATATATATTTATATAATATATAACATGTTATATTATATAAATATATATAATATATATTATATATATAATATATATTATATAAATATATATTATATATATAATATATATTTATATAATATATATTATATAAATATATATAATATAAATATATATAATATTTATGTATTATAAATATATATAATATATATTATATATTACCTATTATATATATATTATATATATATATAATAAAATATAATGGAAAGAGGTTTAATTGACTCACAGTTCCACAGGGCTTGGGGGGACTCAGGAAACTTACAATTATGGTGGAAGGTAAAGGGGAAGCAAGCAAGACACCTTCTTCACTTGGCAGCAGGAGGGAGAATGAACACAGGAGGAACTATCAAACTCTTATAAAACCATCAGATTCATGAGAATTTACTATTACAAAAACAGCATGGGAGAAATCACCCCCATGATCCAATTACCTCCATCTGGTCTCTTTCTTGACAAATGGGGATTATGGGAATTATAATTAAAAATGAGGTTAGTGTAAGGACACAAACTTAACCAGGTCACAATCTATGAGCATGAAATATGTTTCCATTTGTTTGTGTCATCCATGATTTCTTTCAGCAGTGTTTTATAATTTTTCCTTGTAGAGCTCTTTCACTTTTTTTTTTTGTTAAATATATTTCTAAGTATTTATTTATTTTTGCAGCTATTGTAAAACAGATTGAGTTCTTAATTTGATTCTCAGCTTCGTTGTTTTTGGTGTATGGTAGTGCTACTAATTTGTGTACATTGATTTTGTATCCTAAGACTTTACTAAATTTGTTTGTAAAATCTGGAAGCTTTTTAGATGAGCCTTTCGAGTTTTTTAGGTATGCAATCATACCACCAGTGAACAGAAAGAGTTTGACTTCCTCTTTTCAAGACTGGATGCACTTTATGTATTTCTTTTGTTTGGTTGCTCTGGCCAGGACTTCCACTACTATGCTGAATATAAGTGATAAAAGTGGGCATCCTTGTCTTGTTTCAGTTCTCAGGGGGAATGCTTTCAAATTATCTGATTTAGTATGATGTTGGCAGTGGGTTTGTCATAAATGGCTTTTATTTGTTTGAGGTAAGTGCCTTCTATGCCTATTTTGTTGAGGAAATTTATCATAAAATAATTCTCGATTTTATCAAATGCTTTTTCTGCATTTTTGAGATAATCATACTTTTTTAAAAATTCTGTTCATAAGACGTATCACATTTATTGACTTGCATATGTTAAACCATCCCTGCATCCCTAGGATAAAACCTACGTTGTCATGATGTCTTATCTTTTTGATGTGCTGTTGAATTCAGTTAGCTGTATATTGTTGAGAATTTTTGCAATTATGTTCATCAGGGACATTGGTCTGTAGATGTCTGTTTTTGTTGTAGCCTTTGCTGGTTTTGCTATTAGGATGATAATGGCTGTATAGAATAGTTTAGGGAAGATTTCCTCTTTCTCTATTTTTTGGAATAGTTTTAGAAGAAATAGTACCAATTCTTCTTTGAATGTCTAATTGAATTCAGCTGTGAATCCTTCTGGTTTTAGCCCTTTTTTGTTGTTGGCAACTTTCTTTTTATAACCAATTCCATTTAGCTGCTTGTTATTGGGCTGTTCATGGTTTCTATTTCTTACTGATGTAAGACGGTTGTATATTTTGAAGGATCTATCAATTTTCTCTAGATTTCCTAGTCTGTATGTGTAAAGGTGTTCACAGTAGCCTTAAATAATTTTTTATAATTTTTGTGGTATTGGTTGTAATATGTCCAGTTTTATTTCTAACTGAGCTTATTTAGATTTTCTCTTTTCTTTTCTTGACTTATCTTACTAAGATCAATTTTGTTTATCTTTTCAAAAAAATAGCTTTTTGTTTATCTTTTCTATTTTTTGTTTCAATGTCATTCAGTTCTGCTCTGATCTTCGTTATTTCTTGCTTTCTGCTTTGTTTGGGTTTAGTTGTTCCTGTTTCTCTAGTTTCTTGAAGTGTGACCTTAGTTGTCTATTTGTGCTCTTTCAGACTTTTTGATGTAGGCATTTAATGCTATAAACTTTCCTCTTAGCACCATTTTTGCTGTATCCCAGATGTTTGGATAAGTTGTGCCACTATTACTGTTCATTTTAAAGAATTGTTAAATTTCCATCTTGATTTAATTTTTAACTCAAACATTAATCAAGAGAAGATTGCTTAATTTCCATTTATTTTTATAGTTTTGAGGGTTCCTTTTGAAGTTAATTTCCAGTTTTATTTCACTGTGAGCTGAGAAAATTCTTGATATGATTTTGATTTTCCTAAATTTATTGACACTTGTTTTTTTTGTGCCCTATTGTATGGCATATCTTAAAGAATTTTCCATGTGCTGAAGAGAAGAATGCATATTCTGCAGTTTGGGGGAAGAATGTTCTGTGAATGTCTGTTAGGTGTATTTGTTCTAGAGTGTAATTTAACTTCATTGCTTCTTCTTTACTTTATGTCTTGATGATTTGTGTAGTGCTGTCAGTAAAGTATTGAAGTTCCCCATTATTACTGTGTTGCTGTTTTTCTCAGTTCTTAGGTGTAGTAAGAATTGTTTTATAAATCTGGGAGCTCCAGTGTTAGATGCCTATAAATTTGGGATTGTAATATCTTCTTGTTGGATGAATCCTTTTATCATTATACAGTATTCTTCTTTGTTTTTTTTAAAGACAAAAAAGGATACTGATCTTCCTGTTGGATTAATCCTTTTATCATTATATAGTATCCTTCTTTGTCTTTTTTTAATATAGAAAAGGATACAGACCTTAAAGCAACAAAGCTTTGTAGCTTTAAGGTTTGTTTTGTTTGATATAAGAATAGCTACTCCTGCTTGCTTTTGGTTTTCATTTTTGTGGAATATCATTTTCCACCTTTTTACCTTAAGTTTCATGAGTCCTTATGTGTTAGGTGACTCTCTTGAAGACAGCAGATATGTGGTTGGTGGATTTTTATCCATTCTGTCATTCTATATTTTTTTACTTGGAGCATTTAGGCCATTTACATTCAATGTTAATGTTAAGATGTGAGATACTGTTCAATTAATTCTTTCAGTTGTTACTTAGACACTTTGTTTTTCTCATTGTGTTATTGTTTTAAAGGCCCTGTTAGTTTTATGCTTTAAGGAGGTTCTATTTTGGTGTATAGCAAGCTTTTGTTTTAAAATTTAGAACTCCCTTTAGCATTTCTTGTAGTGCTGGTTTGGAAGTGGCAAATTCCCTCAGCACTTGTCTGAAAAAAGTCAATGTGAAGGAGAGAATTTTAAGAGCTGTGAGACAGAGTATCAGGTAACCTATTAAAAAACCTGTCAGACTAACAGCAGACTTCTCAGCAAAAACCTTACAAACCAGAGGGATTGGGGTCCTCCTGCTTTTAGCCTGAAACCATATAAATTCCAGCCAAGAATTACATGTCTATCAAAATTAAGCTTCATAAATGAAAAATTGATAAAGTATTTTTCAAGCTTTTTACTGCATAGTTTGTGCTTTTGTTTTCTTCTATATAATTGTCTGTATACCAAATACAGAATTTTCAATTCTTTTTATTTTTAACATGCACATTTTTCTATTCCATTATAAAATTATTTTAAATATTTTAATGTCATTTAATTGACTGCATCAGTGAAATTTTTCAAAATTTACTTTATTTTACAGTATTCTATAAATCATATGTGCCTTTTATGTCCAGATAAAATAACAGATGCAATAATACTACAAAAAAAACTAAATAGGTGTCATTCTTGCATTTATGAAACTTAAAGTGAAGGAAATAGAGATTATAAAATCATACACATATTAATGTTATCATGAAAAGTTGCCAAGACCAGCTTGGTCAGGGAGACTAACCCAGCGGCGCTAGAAGAATTAAAGACACACGCACATAAATATAGAGGTGTGGAGTGGGAAATCAAGGGTCTCACAGCCTTCAGAGCTGAGAGCCTCAATCAGAGATTTACCCATGTATTTATTAACAGCAAGCCAGTGATAAGCATTGTTTCTATAGATTATAGATTAACTAAAAATATTCCTTATAGGAAACAAAGGGATGGGCCAAAATAAAGGGATGGGTTTGGCTAGCTATCTGCAGCAGTAGCATGTCCTTAAAGCAGAGATTGCTCATGCTATTGTTTGTAGTTTAAGAATGCCTTAAAGTGGTTTTCCGCCCTGGGTGGGCCAGGTATTCCTTGCCCTCATTCTGGTAAACCCACAACCTTCCAGTGTGGGCATCATGGCCATCATAAACATGTCACAGTGCTGCAGAGATTTTGTTTATGGCCAGTTTGGGGGCCCGTTTATGGCCAGATTTTGGGGGGCCTGTTCCCAACAAAAAGTAAAATGTGCTTTGACAGAATTTTAAAAGGTAACCACTGAGATTAACAGTTTAGGGCAGGCATCTCTGCAAAAGGGACACATCAACTAATAAGAAATCCTTAGAAACAATTCCTGTTGTTTTTGCTTACTCAGAATTCCTTTCATTTCTTTCCCAAATAGCATTATCTTTTCTATCAGTGAATTGTACCTCCCACATTTCATACCCTCTTGGCCCATGGGTGAACATGTGACCCATGCCAAGACAATAATAGTTTCTCTTGGGTGTTTAAACCTTAAACATGTACTCAAATGAGTAGAAAATGGTCAGACCTATGATAGTCCAATGGTAGTAAAATAAAGCCTATTGGTTAATTCTTGTTCATCTAACTCTTAAAACCAAGCTTATTTCTGTCCTTCCAGAATTATGAGACAGGCTTTGCCCTTAATTCTCTGCAATAAGCATAAATCGGTAACAGATTCCCCTTTTTGCTTAAATTGTACAGAATTTCCTTCTGTGGCTTATGTAACAATCAACCCTAGCTGACACAGTCATTATGGTATAGTAAGAAAAGAAATAAGATGCTCACAGATGAAGCTAGGAGTCAACTGGTGTAGGCTTTCAGGGCATAAAGGACTTTTAAATTTCATTCTAATGGAAAGCCATTTAAAAAATTTAAGCAGGAGACTGCATAATCAGAAGTATGTTTTCATAATAAAACAGCTTCCATGTCAGGATTAACACTCAAGGTTCATTGTCTCACAGCTATGGAAAACAAGGACATGGACACACAAAAAGTGAGGTTGAGAGCAGAAGTTTAATAGGCAAAAGAAAGAGAATAGCTCTCTGCTGCAGACAGGAGTCTGGAGACATTGGTGGTCTGTGGTGAAATGCAGGGGGTTTTATAGATAAGATGCTGAGGGGGTGGTGTCTGACTTATATAGGGTGTAAAAAACTGGTTAGACCAGGTGTGCCATTTGCACAGGACACAAATCTTTGGTAGCTCCCACCCTAATCTTTTATTATGCAGGTGGGTTTCTCTAAGGTATGTTAATTCTTGTTGAAAGTGAGCTAGGGGTTTATATGCTAAGCCAACTAAGCGGTCTCTTGCCTTAAAATAAAATCATCTGTAAGAAAAGACCATCCATACAGCATTTCAAAAGGGTTCAGACCTAACTTTGAAGGGTAAAGCCACAGTAAAGCCCTGGAAAGAAGAGTAGCCCAAAGAAGGTGTTTTCCTTGGGACAGTTGTGTTGCAGGGCTGTTACAGGGTTTGAGGAGGCCCTGCATTTTCAGGTTATTAATAATGGCTTCTAGCCCATTCCTAGAATCTGGCTTTAGGGAATATTGTCCTAACTATCATCTAAACCCTCCAAAAAACTGGGATCCACAAGATGGATCTGGACTGGCCTAGTGCTTATAACTTGACCTATTCTTCCATGAATTG
This sequence comes from Homo sapiens, assembly GCF_000001405.40. NCBI lineage: Eukaryota > Metazoa > Chordata > Mammalia > Primates > Hominidae > Homo > Homo sapiens. The sequence continues at coordinate 37,325,310 of NC_000010.11, read as the reverse complement.
CCCACACTTCTGAATTAATATTAGCTTCTACCAGGGGGAAACAAAGAGTTTGTCCTGGGGCTATAAGAATGCTGACCCCGGAGATCGAGACCATCCTGGCTAACAAGGTGAAACCCCGTCTCTACTAAAAATACAAAAAATTAGCCGGGCGCGGTGGCGGGCGCCTGTAGTCCCAGCTACTCGGGAGGCTGAGGCAGGAGAATGGCGTGAACCCAGGAAGCGGAGCTTGCAGTGAGCCGAGATTGCGCCACTGCAGTCCGCAGTCCAGCCTGGGCGACAGAGCGAGACTCCGTCTCAAAAAAAAAAAAAAAAGAATGCTGACCCCATGTGAGCTACAATATCTCTACCTAATAAAGGAGTGGGATTTTAGGCATGATTAAGAAGATATGTGTAAATAATACATCCCCCAAACTACAACTAAGGGGTTGAGAAAAATATCAGGTTAGAATCTTTCCTGAGATGCCTATCACGGTCATGCTACAGAAAGAGGGGAGGCCTGGATTAGAGAGAAGTAAAAGACTGGCTTCAGTTTCCAGAAAGAAGTCCACCCTCCTTCCTTCTATTTCCAGAATCACCAGGGTTCCTGAGCAATAATGGAAGTTTGAGCCACTGGAGCTGGGGGTCTGATCCCAGGGACCCATCAGTCCTATTCGACCACTGGTGAAACCAGTTTTGGACATGGTGACCTCCATCTCTGGGGGCAGTTTGATTTCCAGTGGTCACTGCCATGTGCTGTACAGGGTCAAGGTGGCTTCTTCTTGCTCACTGGGCAATCCTTCTTAAAGTGCCCTGACTTGCCACATTGGTAGCAACTAGCAGATGCACCTCAGGGATCCTGGATCTTGCAAGTGTGTAAAGCAGCCACTATAGCCCCTGTCCTTCTCTGTGATTCCTCTCTTTCTCCTGGGCCTCTTCCTGGTTTCTATTACAAAATACCAAGGTGGCCACCCTCAAGAGCTTTTCCAAGGTGGTATCTGGTCCTATAGCCTGCGTCTGCAGTTTCCTTCTAATATCAGGCGCTTCCTGTGTAATAAACATGTCTTTTAAAATTGGTGACCCTCAACTGATTCAGATGATATGGTGGTGTGTTTTATTAGTGCTTCTCTCAGCCTTGCCATAAAGGTTGTGGGATTCTCATCTGGGTTTTTGTCTGTCATGGACATTTTAGAGTAACTAAGAGGTTTGGCACTAATTCTTCATAGGCCTTCCAATAAGCACATTAAAGTGTTTTCTTTTCTATTCATCTGTGGAGTCACTCGGGTTCTAATCAGGGTTGTCAAGATGTATTTCCTCTCTTTCTATTGGGAATGGTGTTTTCCCTTTTTTTGTTCTTGCCTACTTTCTCTTTTGCTTTTTGGCCTTCTAGAAGAGACATATTGCTCATCTTTGAATTCCTCTGATGCCGGCAGAGCTGCCTGTTTTTCAGCAGTAGTTAGAGCTTGGCTTAGGAGCAACATAACATCCCTCCATGAGAGGTCAAACACCTGAGATAAATTTTGGAAGGCTTCTATATAGCTATCAGGGTCATTAGAAAATTGCCCTAAGTCTCCCTTTATTTGCCTAAGGTCCTGAAATGAGAAAGGAACTTGAACCCTAGTGGCATCACCTTCATTGGGCATTTCCTATATGAGTAAGAGCAAAGCTGGAGGAGTGGGAAACTTTGGAGATGGTGGAAGTGGAAGAGCCTATGGTGTGGTTAGAGGGGGGCCTGAATAAGGGGGACAGGAAGGGCTATGATACTAGATTGCTCCCTCAGATGGTTCTCCTAGAAGTTGCCTTTCTAGTTTTGGAGAATTATTTGCTTTGTGCCTGCCTGATATGACTGCTAAAAGAGCTGGGCCAATTGTGCAATGCTTGCAAAAGTCTAGGTTGTCTCACAGGGCAAAGAAAACCTGTACATAGAAAACCTTTAATCATTTGCTCTCTCATCTACAGAAAAGATCTAATTTTTGGATAGTATTAAAATCAAAGCTTCCCTCCAAAGCCAGGTTAGTTCAAGATAATAAGAAGGCCACACTCTTGTGCAAAAGAAATTTAGCCACTTTTTCTTCAAAGTCCTAGGGTCATAGGAGTCCCAGTGCTTCAGAATGCACTCCAGAGGAGTACAGGCCAAAGATGGTCTGTTACCCATCTAAAAAGAGAAGTGAGAAAAAAATATCCCTTTAGTCTCCTTCCTTCCTTTCTTTTTTTTTTTTTTTTTTTCTGACGGAGTCTCACTCTGTCACCCAGGCTGGAGTGCAGTGGCACATCTCAACTCACTACAAGCTCTGCCTCCAAGGTTCATGCCATTCTCCTGCCTCAGCCTCCCAGGTAGCTGGGACTACAGGACCCTGCCACCACGCCCAGCTAACGTTTTGTATCTTTAGTAGAGAAAGGGTTTCACCGTGTTAGCCAGGATGGTCTATATCTCCTGACCTCATGATCCGCCTGCCTTGGCCTCCCAAAGTGCTGGGATTACAGGTGTGAGCCACCGCACCCAGCCTAGTGTCCTTCCTTTCTTTTGGAATGACCCAGGGTGAAGAAGGTGACAATTGGGGTATCCTTTCAACTGTTTCCTTCCTTGGTTCCCTAAGCCCCGGCATCCATTAAAGGTGGATGCAGACATCACCCTCAGGCATGGATCCGGGGGAGCTAAGCAATGGGATTAGTCATACATACCAATGCAACTGTAGTCCTCTGCTGGTGATTTCCCTTTGACTTTCTAGACTTCTGTGATCTGTGTGACTTCCCAATAGATGGCTCTCAGGACAGACTATGTAACAGTTGTATGTCGGCAAGGCCCCTTAATGGAGCAAAAGGACGGGGTTGCGCTGTATATTCTGTTATTATACCCCAGATTAAAGTGTATATTCTTAGGCAGTAGTTCTGGTTAACATCCTTACTACATAAAATCCACTTACTATTTAAGTATTATTCTAACAGGAGGTAGAATAGCTGCCTTAAAAAATGTAGTGATCGAATGGCAGTTTTTCTGCTGAATGGAAATTACTGACACAAAATTTGGTTTTGGGAGACATTTTCCTCCTTGTTGTTGAGTTTTCCCATTCACGGATAGGGCATAAAGCTTGGTTTATAGTTGAGGGGTGCAAAAGGGGAATAGGATTGGGAAAATACAGTGTTCCAGCAAAGGTCTGACAAGGTACATCTTGGAGAGGATTCCTATTCTGCTAGGTGGCACTGTAGGTCTTGAAATACTGTGTACTTTCCAGACAAAGGATAGAGAAAAAGACCTTCACTGGGTGGGGGAGAGGAGAACCCTTGTTCCTAGAAAAATCACAAAAAAGGCAATCCTTTAAGCTATATTCCCAGTTTTACTGTGGCATTTGCTGATGTTGACTGACAGGATTATTTCCTTTAACTGTAAAAATTCCTGCAGCTTTGTATATAAAGGGGGAACAGGAGACATGGTGGTCATGGAGAGGAAAGAAAAAAAATTTGATGGACAGAACTTGGAGATTGTGTTGCTGATGCCTAATGAGCAGTAAGAGGCTGGAAGAGTATGTCCAGAAGCCTTCAGGTAACACTGGGGTGTAGCCTTGGCCAGGAACTGCCTCTGGATCTCTTCCAGTCCCACATGACGGCTAGGCTCTTTGTGAAAGTCAACCAGTTTAAAACAGAGCCAACATTCCCAGAATCCTGAAGGCACTGGGGGATTCGCTCAGCATTCCCCAGCAAGCCTGTCACCTCACCTGCGTCTTGAGAATGGTGGTGAGCATAAATGACCATCTCTTAACTGGCAATCAGATACCCAGTCTTTTAACTGGCCATCAGATACCCAGTTTTAAGTTTGATTTTACAATTTAAAATTGAGGAGAGAAGGCCTCAAAATAAAAGTAGAGATTTGGGTTCCACTCCTATACTTACCCTTCTGATGAATCTACCTTGGATCCTGGATGAGCTCCCACAATGAAACAGCCTCATCTAGAGTAACACTCATGGTTCCTTATCTTATGGCCATGGAAAACTAGGATGCAGACACTCAAAGAGTGAGGTTGAGAGTGGAAGGCAAAAGAAAGAGAATAGCTCTCTGCTGCAAAGAGTTGTCCTGGAAAAATGGGTTGCCTGTCCATGGCAAAATACAGAGGGTATTTTACCTCCTCAGCTGGTGAGGAGGCAGTGTCTGATTGGAATAGGACATGAAAAACTGGTTAGACCAGGTGTGCCATTTGCATAGAAGGTGAATCTCTGGTAGCCCCATTTTAATCTCTTATTATGCAGGCAGGTTATCTGCCTGAGCTGTGACATGTTGCCCATTTCTATGTTCCGGTAAACATGGTAACAAAAGGGAGGATGGAGCCTCCATGTTGAATATGCGTGGCCCCCAGGTAGCATTTTTCTCTTGGCATAGCTGCCAGCATTCCCCCATGCAAGCTTCCAGCTTGCTTATCTATGTCTGAAGCTCGATTTTTCAGGCTGCTCTTTCTAAGAGAAAAGAAATACTTTTCTGGGCTGCTTTTTGTTAGAAGGGAAGCTCTGTCGAGGACTCTTTATCCCTCATTATCTGCCTAAATAATTTCTTTCTACATAGCTCCTGTATCAATAAGATCACTTTGGGCTGGGCATGGGGGCTCATGCCTATAATCCCAGCACTTTGGGAGGCTGTGGCAGGTGGATCACCTGAGGTCAGGAATTCAAGACCACACTGGCCAACATGGTGAAACCCCATCTCTTCTGAAAATGCAAAAATTATCTGGGCATGGTGGTGGGCACCTGTAATCCCAGCTACTCGGGAGGCTGAGGCAGGAAAATCACTTAAACACAGGAGCCAGAGGTTGCAATGAGCTGAGATTGTGCCATCGCACTCCAGCCTGGGCTACACGAGTGAAACTCCACCTTGCTGGGTGTAGTGGATCACACCTGTAATCCCAGCACTTTGGGAGGCCGAGGCAGGTAGATCACCTCAGATCACCTGAGGTTGGGAGTTTGAGACCAGCCTGACCAACATGGAGAAACTCCATCTCTACTAAAAATACAAAATTAGCTGGGCATGATGGTGCATGGCTGTGATCACAGCCACTCAGGAGGCTGAGGCAGGAGAATCACTTGAACCAAGGAGGTGGAGGTTGCAGTGAGCCAAGATCACACCATTGCACTCCAGCCTGGGCAACAAGAGCAAAACTCCATCTCGAAAAAAAAAAAAAAAGAGTGAAACTTTACCTCAAAAAGAAAATCACTTTGCAGTGTGGACAATGCCTTCAAAGACAACAGAGGAGTAAAGTCAGGGAGACCACTTCAGTAGCTATTGTCAAATTGGAGAAAAAATATTTTAAGTACTAAAATCTGGTAAAAATTGTGAAGTGAGAAACGCAAATGCCCAAAGAATTTTTATACAATTTAGGATACAACAAAGCTATGGGAAAACTAAAAATTGTCAGAAAAGTAAGACCATGGAATACTATGTAGCCATAAAAAGAATGAAATTATGTCCTTTGCAGAAACAGGGATGGAGCTGGAGACTGTTACACTTAACAAACCAATACAGAAACTGAAAGCCAAATACCACATATTCTCACATAGGAGCTAAACATTAATACATAGACCTATAGAGGGGAACAACAAACACTTGAACCTATCAGAAGGTGGAGGGTGGGGTGGGATGAGAGAGAGGATCAGAAAAAAAATGAATGGGTAATAGGCTTAATACCAGGGGGATAAAATAATCTGTATAACAAACTACCATGACACTAATTTACCTATATAACAGACCTGCACATGCAATCCTGAAAAATTAAAGTGAAGTAAAAGAAGAAAGAATAGGAAAGCCAAGCTAAGCACACTGTAACAAAAGCAAAAATATTAAAATATTAAAGTAAAAAGTGTTTCTAACAGGAATGTCTCAATGAAAACATTTTTGATGAAATGTTGCCTAAGATGAAGACAAAATATTTATTGATTTGGCAACGTGAAAGTCATTCCTGACCTGAGTGGAGGTCACTAAAAATTGGTTTGAAAAAATAAATCACTGAAAGAATTTCTGTTTCTGGTAATAAGAAAAACTAGACAACCTAAAAACTATCCTAGTTAAAATTACCTAAAATGAATACCTGAGTACCTAAGAAACTAAGAAAAATCTTTAGGGGTCAGAAATAAAATGGATACCTTAAAACTTAAAGCTCAAAGAGGCTGCCTTAGAGAAGTTATCCTGTCTCAATTCTGTATGAACTTTGGTTTGAATATTCCAAACACAAATACTTCAGGCTTCTAATGAATGGAAGGTTGAAACTGATGAGACCCTGTTCATATGGCTGAGACTTTCAAAGGGGTACACTTTCAGCAGAAGGGTAGAACATTTAATGACAAAAACAAACAAAAAAACCACACATGCACAGAAATCACAAAACCCAAAACCATGGCATTGGGAGACAATAATAAAGCTTGTCCAATTTGCTCTATGCTCTGGAGAGGAGGTAAAGAGTGTGCTATAATAATGTAAACAGGCTTGCATTCAAATAGATTTTGGGTTTGAATTTACACTATGTGCCTGGTTTGATTAATCCCAAACATTAAATTAACATAAGGAGTCAGATGGTGGAGTAAACACAAAACCTCAAACCAGGCTGAAACATAAATTTATAATCCAACATAAGGAAATATGAAAGGAACCAATCCCTATGATCACAAATTAACAGATACAAACATTTAGACTGCCCTCCAAGGGTCTCACAAAATAAAAATGCAAATAAAGATTATAAGATAAGTATTTTCAATGATTAAGGACCTAAGAGGAGGAATTTAAAAATATGAGAAAGAAACAACACTCTATATAAAAGAGAGGAACTCAGAATATCTTCTAGGGGTAGGCAGAATTCTCAAGAAACCCCCAGTTCCCTAACCCCAGGTACTTTAATGAAACACTAATGCAGGTTCTGCTGTAAAGGGACTTTGCAGATTGAATTAAGGTTAATGGTCAGCTGACTTTAAAATAAGGATTTTATCCTGCATTACCTGGGCAGACCCAATGTAATCACACGAGCCTTCAAAAGCAGAAAGGGAAGGTAGAAAGCCAGTGGGAGATGTGGCAGAACAGAAAGTAAGAGACATGCAGCAGAAGGGGAAGTCAGAGAAGTTCTGAGTATGAGAAGGATTCAACTCATCTTTGCTGGCTTGAAGATGTAGGGACACATGCAAAGTCCTTATAAAAGTCTCTAGGAACTAAAGGTGTCCCCTGTCCTATAGCTGACAGTCAGTAAGGAACGGTTACCTCAGTTCTATAAATGCAAGAAAGGCAATGGATTCTGCTAACAGCATAAATGTGCTTGGAAGAAGTTTCTTTCCAGAGTCTTCTGAAAAGAGCCCAGCAGGCCAACACCTGATTTCAGCCTGATGTAATGTTTTCTTGTAACATGCTTTCAAGGAGTTTTAGAACTTGGGGGGCTCTGAAATTCTCATTTTACTTAGAAATTACTTATGCTTGCTCAGCAATCATTGTGTATACTTGAGAACTCTTGAGATATAAGAAAGCCTGTAAGTTGTTTCTAAATATGATAAACTCATTGTGCTTCCTAAGCTTAACAGTTATTACAACTGATGTTCATTTTAAAATGTTGTAAGTGTTTCTTAGTTTTATTATGCAGAGGTTTCCTGCTCCCCAATTTTTGGAGCCTATAAATATTTTTTTTCAGGTCCCAAAGAATGTTGTAGGTCCTTAAAACTCTAGTAGGTTCTGAGCCCTGTGCTTGAGCCAAGTGAAAGACAGAACAGTCCTGTGCATGCTTCAGACACATGTAGTGGTTGTATATACACTTGCAGTAAGATCAGCCTGCTATCCCCACATATTCACAATTTTAATTTTATTGAATACTGTGCTTTTGGTGTTGTTGACTGATGACTTTTTAGTGACTAGCATAGGTGATATATAATGAATGCTTAATAAATGTACTTAACATAATCAAAAATCCACAACTTCAACTATATGTCATAATCTCCTTCCTAATATATTTATTTGAAATTATATTTCTAAAGCCTCTCAAAATTTTTGGATTCTCTTTAATAAAAAAAGCTTTATCTTTATTGTGTTAAAAGGTGGTAGAAATAAAATATAAAACCCTACACAAAGTGGAAATCTCTATAAATATTTGACTTCTAGATATGTGTTTCATTAGAAGTTAGTTACAGATTTCCTTCTAAGCATTTATAGAATGATATTCAGAATATTCTAGACATTCCACATCCTTAATACGGCAATGGCTTTCTAGTACTCTGAAAATTTTTCTCATGACCAGGAAAATTTTTCTTGGTGGTATAGACATATTAACAGAGTGTACCCTAAGACAATCTTAACGTACATGATGAAACAAAAACTACGCACAGGCCTAGCTGTTATGTGCAGGGAAGGGCAGGCAGGCTGATGTTCATAAGCAATTAGAAATGCAAGAAGCAATATTTGTTCCAAAAGTTCACATGATCCTTTTCAACTCCAGCAGAAATATTAATTAATTAAAAACAACTCCCTCATCTAGGTATGCTGAAGTGGGATTAACAAAATTTAAATGAATAATAACATGAATTATTTCACATGCAAACCTTCATGTGTGATACTCATCCTTGGATAAAATAATTGAGTCTGAAATCCAAAGGCTTGGCTTTAACTCCTCTGTGGAATACTTGTGGGAAAGAGAGTTTCTTGGGTGCCAGATGAGTTGGTCTCCCCTGTGTGAGACACCCATGGGGAGCCATGGGCGGCCTCTGAGGAGAAAAGTCTCCTTATTGCCTTCATGTCTTTATGCCCCGAAAGCATAAACACTCAGCGGCATTCCACAGGTTGCCCAGGGAGATAACACTCCCTTGAAGCAGTGGAGTATAATCAAACATCTTGGCTCCTCCTGAAACCTGCTTCCTCCTGTTTCAGTCCCAATAAGTTAAAGATCTTAAGTAGTTTACACACACAACTTTGCTCAAGGAAATTCACAGAAACTGCCACTGCTATATATCTTATTGAATGACTCAAGAGTTCTCCACTGATTAATCCTTTTCCTCATCCCTTCCTACCCCTCCCATCTGCCCTAAGAACAAAGATCTTGTAAACCAATAAATTGGGTGAAGCCAGAGAGCTCTGGGCCATGAGCAAGCCTCCGATGCTCTGGTCCCCTGGATCCACCTTTTAAATGCTTATTCTGTCTCTATAATTCCTTTGTCTCCGCTGGACTTGGGGTACCCGCCGGGTGGTGTGGGGCTGGTTTCCCCAACAATATTACTAAACCTACATCTTTCCACCTTAAGATAGTAATGCCATGACATCGATTTTTTGGGACATGGGTAGTTTTGCTCACCTCTAAACCCAATAAAACCCCCATTCTTACCTAGAGACAGACCCAGTGACCCAGAAAGTCAGATTTCATGTGGCCACTGAAAGAGTGCAACTTAAATTTGAGAATAACCAAAATCCTTAAAATTGAGCATGTTGTGCTTCTATAGAAAACCAATATGGGAAAAAAAATGTATGAATAGAAAAACAGAGAAAGGGACCAGGAGAATTTGTGTTCTGTAGGTATTGGGATGAAGCTCCTTACCTCTTTCCATTGCTTTTCCATACCACTGCTTTTCCCAGGACTGGAGACTTGGTTTCCAGCTCTTTGCACCTCCTCCAGCAATGTCTTTTTTGCAGATGTGCTTGGCCTTGTATTATGAGGAAAAAACAAAAGAACATGGTGTAAGAATTTGACACAGCTGAAAAGAGAGGTTACTCCCATCTCGGGCCATACCCAAATGCCCTTTGATAGAGGTCAAGTCTGGAGAAGTGGTGTAGCATGTACAGTCAACATGCATGATGTGTAACTCCATCTCCATAGGCTAGAGGCATCCTAAGTGCTGCAGACCAGACCTGGACAATAAATGTCAAGAGTCACCACCACCCCGAAAAGAACTAGAAGTCTGTAGATCTGCTGAGGAGCCCAGTCATTAAAATACAGGATGGGGTTCACAGAGACTCAAGGTCTGCCTCTGAAGCTTTTCTTGGTAGGATCTGAAAACCCAGAAGATGCTTTAAATCCTCACCCTAGTGAACAGATGCAGGTTCCCTGGTCCTTGGCCTGACTGCAGTCAGAGAGCCCAGGAGTTAGCTGGTTTTCTCCCTCCATTTTTGGTGTGAAAAGAGCCACTGCCACAGCAGCCATGGACTTAGGATGCTAGAGTGCATGGTCTGGATGCAAAACTTTTGCCCTGAAATGTGGCATCAACACAAATACAGAGTCCAGATTTTTCATCTTCCTCTGGTGATGACTCACCATTAGTGTCCATACATGTAGGTGCTTATGAAATAACCCTCAGCCAGGACAGCTCACTCTTCTGGAACTGTAGGAAGTGTTCTTATACCTTTTTTTTCAGATTAAACTGATTAATACCTTACAGTGTTCAAATATTTGGCTAATCTCAGCGTTTTTCTAATTTGGAGCCTGAACAAAGCTAAAATTGAGCTACTATTGGAAACAATCTAGAAGAAGAAAAGACATTTAATAAGATATAGGTTATATTGGAGGGAAAAACTGTCAAGAGAATAGGTTCATGAATTAGCAACACCTCAGGGTAAAAACTTTTGCATTGGTTTAATTTCAAAATAAGCACATGTGAGAATTCTGCTGGGTACCAGAACTCAAAGATAGAATGAGAACAAAAACTGAGCACATTTGCCCCAAAATAAAAAGTGTCAGGAGAACATTCTGAAGACGTGGGCCATTTCTGTAGAATCACATTCTACCACCACCCGCCCTCCACCTTCAATAAAAGAAAGCATGTTAAGATAATATGAGTCATCTCCCGATGCTTTGAGTTAATCCATCATAGAGTATTAGCACTGAGACACTATACATGTTCCTGGCATCCTTTCCCCCAAAGTAAACAAGAGAAAGCCACACAGACTTTAACACATTATACCTTAATTCCATCAACAGTGTCCTGAGACTGAGGATAGATAAAATACTTCAGGTCAAAGCAGAGCCTGTGGAATTTTAATTTAAACAATAGATGAGAAAATGTCTTTTGTTGGAAAAGAGACATTCAAAAAAGATGTTAAAATATACCCTGTTTATTATGAATTATTTGGGAACGTAAACATTACCTTTTATCTTACAGACCAGACTGACAAGGCCACCGAGTGTGTGCCCCACCTGCTGTGAGCCATCAGCTTGCACAGGTACCAGGAGAAATAGGAAGGCTGGGCACTTATAATCTACAGCTTAGGCCAAGAACAAAGAGAATCCAACCCAGCGTGGAAGCTGCTTGTTTCCTCTCATTCAAAACCAGGCCTCAGAGGGCAATGGTCTGAGCATCTCTATGCTCCCAGGCATTGTGCATGGTCTCAGTGGATGAAATTGCATCCATATATGAGAGTTACTCAGCAATTTGTTAATATTTCCACTAGGCTAGCCCCTGTGAGCTAGCCTGGAAACTTTGCTGCTATTGGAGAACAATGCATTGCAATGCTGGGGATGATTCATCTTCTCTTTCTGCATGTAGCACTTGAATAGAAGGGGTGCTGGTAATTTAAAACAGTGTTCTCAAGCACTTTTTATGTCATAAGGCCTGAATTAGGAAAAAAGATTCTAAAATATTCCCTGTCTAAAATCTACAAGTGAGTGGCCTAATACTGTTATTTATAGGTTACAAAGTGAGTTGTTAAGCATTGGCCACTGGCACGTCACTTAAGTCTCACCAGGAGCCAGGATTTTGTGTGTTCTGCATCACGACTTTGACAAAGTAAGCCCCATTATCTGTAAATGGCTTATTCCCCAGTAGTCCAGGCTTCATCTAACCCCACATCAAGAGGACAGATGACCACAGAAGGGACAAAGTGGGGTTGCGGCAACTGACACATGAGTATGAGACTTGTGACTCTTCAGTCTACCTAAGGGTGTCTCCAGGTTCTTAGAGACTTTTAAAATAAATAGGTTGATTTAGGATCTTACTTCCCATCTTTTTGTTTTGGAAATTTTTTTTCCTGGACCCTTTTTGCATGCAAGTATAGCCAGTCAAAGTGTTTAGTTCTAAACGTGGATGAAAATGTAAATATAATGTGCTCCAAAATAAATTAGTTTAGTTAGAAAGTTAAAAAAAAATCAAGGTCTATTTGTACTTAGAAATAGCTCATTATCTCTTATTTCCATTTAACTGCCTATCTGGGGTTATAATAAGATAATAAAGGCCAGGTGCAGTGGCTCACGCCTGTAATCCCAGCACTTTGGGAGGTTGAGATGGGGGGATCACTTTAGGTCAGGATTTTGAGACCAGCCTGACCAAGATGGTGAAACCCGATCTCTACTAAAAAATACAAAAATTAACCAGGTGTGATGGTGCATGCCTGTAATCCCAGCTACTTGGGAGGCTGAGGCAGGAGAATCACTGGAATCTGGCAGGCAGAGGTTGCAGTGAGCCAAGGTCGCACCACTGTACTGCAGCCTGGGTGAAAGAGAGAGACTGTGTCTCACAAAACAAAACAAAAGAAACAAACAAAAAAAGAAAATAAAGTCATTCTAGAATTGGGGACTGTATTGTTTGAACAAAGGCAAAGTACAAGACATACAGTTAGATAAATGAAAATG